>NC_000017.11:15945656-16248686 GCF_000001405.40 Homo sapiens | reverse complement strand
AGAAAAATCCTAGACTGCCAGGAAGGAATGGTTGGTAGAAATATGGACATTAAAGGTGATTCTGGTGAGGACTCAGGAAAGGAAAAGGAGACTGGAGAGAAAACCTCCATCTTCTCAGAGAATACATAAACAATCATGAACAGAATGTCAGTGGAAATATGGTCTTTAAGGCCATTCTGATGGGGTCTCAGAGAAAAATGAGATAAGACATTGGAAAATGGAGAAAAGGTGATCACTATTATAAAGAAGCAAAGAACCTGCCTGTATTGTGTTCTAGTGTTTTGTGGAAGATAGAACTTCTGAAGGATGAAATTAGATATTTAGCTGAGGCGAATTCTAAGTAAAATTTTGAAGGTGTGGCCTGGGTCCTCTTGACTGTTTATAGTAAAATGTAAGAGTTGAGAGATAAAGAAGAAATTGCTACGTTTAAAAGGAACCAGAACGTAAAGGTTTTGGAAAATTTTCAGCCTGTCCATATTGTAAAAAAATGAGAAAGCTTGAGGCTGGGCGCAGTGGCTCAAGCCTGTAATCCCAGCACTTTGGGAGGCCAAGGCTGGTGGATCACGAGGTCAGGAGTTCAGGACCAGCCTGACCAACATGCTGAAACCCCGTCTCTACTAAAAACACAAAAATTAGCCAGGTGTGGTGGTGCGCGCCTGTAATCCCGGCTACTTGGGAGGCTGAGGCAGGAGAATCGCTTGAACCCAGGAGGCAGAGGTTGCAGTGAGCTGAGATCGTGCCACTGTACTCCAGCCTGGGCGACAGAGTGAGACTCCATCTCCAAAAGAAAAAAAAAAGAGAGAAAGCTTGTTCTGAAGAGAGCACTCTGGTGTGACTGAACAACCATTTGATGAGGTGATTAGCATGGGTGTGAACCACACATGTAATCAACCACCTCAATAACAGCCAGGAGAAAGAAAAAATCGGGTGGGACGAAAGAAGCCTGCTGGACTTAAGAGTCTACAGGACCAGACAACAGAGCTATCTGGCTGCAAACATGCGTCGTCCTTCAAGAAAAGGGAAGAATGACCTCAAAAGTTATCCAGAGATCAGAAGGACTACCATTCCCACCACAGGCTCCAGAGGGCTTGGAGGGCCGAATATCCGCCCAAAGAGGATTGTTCTCAAGCCTCAAGATCTAATGGAGTTTACCTTCCTAGGTTTTGGCCTTGCCTGGGGCCTGTCACCCATTTCTCCCTTTTGGAATGAAAATATCTATCCTATGCCTCTCCATTCCTTATATTTTGTAAATATATAACTTGTCTGTTTTCACAGGTTCACAGCTGGTGAGGCTATTTAGATGAGACTTTGGACTTTCGAGTTAATGCTGGAATGAGTTAAGACTTTGGAGGCTGTTAGGATGGGATGAATGTATTTTGCATGAAATAAGGACATGAATGTGGGAGTCTGGGATGGAATACTATGAACTGAATAGTGTCCTCAACAAATTCATGTGCTGAAGCCCTAACCACTAATTGTAACTATTTTGAGATAGGGTTTTAGGAGGTAACTAAGATCACATGAGGTCATACGAGTGGGGCTTTAATCCAATAAAACTTGTAGCCTTTTAAGAAGAGGGAGGGAAGAAGGAGAGAGTGAGAGAATCTCTTTCCAGCATGTGAGAACATAGCGAGAAGGTCATCTGCAAGCCAGGAAGAGAGTCCTCATAAGAAAGTGACCCTGCAAGACCTTGATCTGGGCCGGGCGCGGTGGCTCACGCCTGTAATCCCAGCACTTTGGGAGGCCGAGGCGGGTGGATCATGAGGTCAGGAGATCGAGACCATCCTGGCTAACAAGGTGAAACCCCGTCTCTACTAAAAAAATACAAAAAAAATTAGCCGGGCGCGGTGGCGGGCGCCTGTAGTCCCAGCTACTCGGGAGGCTGAGGCAGGAGAATGGCGTGAACCCGGGAAGCAGAGCTTGCAGTGAGCCGAGATTGCGCCACTGCAGTCCGCAGTCCGGCCTGGGCGACAGAGCGAGACTCCGTCTCAAAAAAAAAAAAAAAAAAAAAAAAGACCTTGATCTGGACTTCTAGCCTGCAGAAATGTGGGAAAATAAATTTCTATTGTTTAAGCCACACTGTCTACGGTATTTTGTTAAGGGAGCCCAAGCAGACTAAGATGCATTTTTCTTGAATCTTCAAACTGGCTTCTTTAAGTATTTACTTTTTTTTTTTGAGACGGAGTCTCACTCTGTTGCCAGGCTAGAGTGCAGTGGTGCAATCTCGGCTCAGTGCAACCTCCGCTTCCCGGGTTCAAGCGATTCTCCTGCGTCAGCCTCCCAAGTAGCTGGGACTACAGGTGTGCACCACCATGCCCAGCTAATTTTTGTATTTTTAGTAGAGACGGGGTTTCACCGTGTTGGCCAGGATGGTCTCGATCTCTTGACCTCGTGATCCACCTGCCTCCCAAAGTGCTGGGATTACAGGTGTGAGCCACCGCACCCGGCCTGAAGTACTTACTTTTAATAGGCTTACTATCCCTCTACTATAGCATTTCACGAGTAGGGGAGTGATGCTGAAGCTACATGGTCTTCATGTGATATATAAAAAATATAGGTGCCATGACCGGGCGCAGTGGCTCACGCCTGTAATCCCAGCACTTTGGGAGGCCGAGGCGGGTGGATCACAAGGTCAGTAGATCAAGACCATCCTGGCTAACATGGTGAAACCCCGTCTCTACTAAAAACACAAAAATAAAAATAGCTGGTCAAGGTGGCGGGTGCCTGTAGTCCCAGCTACTTGGGAGGCTGAGGTGGGAGAATGGTGTGAACCCAGGAGGCAGAGCTTGAAGCGAGCTGAGATTGTGCCACTGCACTCCAGCCTGGGTGACAGAGGGAGACTCCGAGACTCCGTCTCAAAAAAAAATATATATATATATATGTGTGTGTGTGTATATATATATATATGTGTGTGTGTATGTATATATATATGTGTGTGTATATATATGTGTGTGTGTATATATATATGTGTGTATATATATATAGGCCAGGCATAGTGGCTCACACCTGTAATCTCAGCATTTTGGAGGGCTGAGGCGGGCAGATCATGAGGTCAAGAGATCGAGACCATCCTGCCCAACATGGTGAAACCCCGTCTCTACTAAAAATACAAAAAATTAGCCACTGCACTCCAGCCTGGCGATAGAGCAAGACTCCGTCTCAAATATATATATATATATATACTCCCTGGCTTACAATCTGGCTACGTCCCAATAAACCCATCCTAAACTGAAAATATCATAAGTAAAAAACACACTCTAGGCCGGGTGTAGTGGCTCATGCTTGTAATCCCAGCACTTTGGAAGGCCGAGGCAGGTGGATCATCTGAGTTCAGGACTTCAAGACCAGCCTGGCCAACACGGCAAAATCCCGTCTCTACTAAAAATACAAAAATTTAGCTGGGCATAGTGGCAGGCGCCTGTAATCCCAGCTTCTTGAGAGGCCGAGGCGGGTGGATCACGAGGTCAAGAGATTGAGACCATCCTGGCCAATGTGGTGAAACCTCGTCTCTACTAAAAATACAAAAATTAGCTGGGCGTGGTGGTGGGCACCTGTAATCCTAGCTTCCTGGGAGGCTGAGGCAGGAAAATTGCTTGAATCCAGGAGGTGGAGGTTGCAGTGAGCCGAGATTGCACCATTACACTCCAGCCTGGGCAACAAGAGCGAAACTCCGTCTCAAAAAAACAAGAACAACAAAAAACACACTCTAGTCTGGGTGTGATGGCTCACACCTGTAATCCCAGCACTTTGGAAGGCTGAGGTGGGTGGGTTGCTTGAGCTCAGGAGCTCAAAACCAGCCTATGCAACGTGGCAAAACCCTGTCTCTAAAATAATTACCAAAAAAATTAGCTAGATGTGGTGACGTGTGCCTGTAGTCCCAGCTACTCGGGAGACTGAGGCAGGAGGGTCACTTGAGCCCGGGAGGTGGAGGCTGCAGTAAGCCATGATCCTGCCACTGCACTCTAACCTGGGTGACAGAGTGAGACCCTGTCTCAAAAGCAAAAAACAAAAACCAAAAACTCCCCGCTTTATACCTTCAACTTAGGAGGTGTTTATCCAAATGTAACCCCATCCCAAGTTGAGGAGTGTACTGAATGCACATTGCTTTCTATCAGAGTAAAGATCTTAATAACCAAGATCTCCAAAACAGATTTGTCCCCGAAAACATTTGCATTACTGGGCCAAAGCAGACACTGCACAGGCAGGACATTGTGCAAATGGAGTGCCTGAGAAAAAACACGATTACTAATATTGAAATTGCCTTTGCAAAATTATGACTGAGACAGTGAAAGAGATCTAACTTAACTGACTCCATCTTGCTTCTAACCTCCAAGCTGTCCTTGTTCATTCCTGGGCATAGGATGAACTAACTTTGGGAGAAACTTAATTTATAGATCATAGTTTAAACAAAGACGGTAACAGCCCTTTCCCAAAGCAGACCTCCTTGCCTGGGGACTAGATTGCCTTTGTAGGACTAACGAGTTAGGCCCAAGATTATAAATTATGGTTTAGGAGTCATGCAGCTGGAGGACACAAGATTCTAACCCTCCCTAAACTGCTAAGATCAGTGCTTGAGATATTTTGCAGACCCTGCACTTGATGGATCACCCAGATCAATAAACTGGCTCATCTGATCTTGTAGTCCCCCACCCAGGAACTGACTCAGCCCAAGAAGAGACCTTCGACTCCCCATGATTTCGTCTCTGACCAATCAGCTCACTGGCTTCGCCCCACCCACCACATTATGCTTAAAAACTCTGCTGCCTGAATGCTCAGGGAGACAGATTTGAGTAACAGTAAAACTCTGGTCTCCCGCAGCTCTGCGTGAATTACTCTTTCACCATTGCAGCTCTCCATCTGGATAAATTGGCTCTGTCTAGGCAGTGGGCAAGGTGAACCCCTTGGGCGGTTACAATATTAATGTGAAAAAACAAATCACAACACTCACAGAGTAAGAGGGTGGGATATCATCTTTGAAAACAAAGGAACCCATAACTCCTTTCACAAATTAACTCAAAACCATGTATCTTTCGAGGTTTACGGAGGAAGAAATTTAGGAACAGAATTCAGTAACTTGCCTAGGTTACGCAATTAAAAACTTTAAACTTGGGTTTCAGTCTGGGCAGTCTGGCTCTATAAATCCACTGGTATAAACAGAAGAAATTCTCCCGTGGTGACCCCAGTAGTTTACCATGAAGCAAGTAAGATCAAGAATAAATCTAAACTTTTTCCTTCATCTCTTTGTAGCATACTGAAATGAATGGGATCCCCACCCCAAATCAAATACAGTGAACATCAATTCCCACCAATGCCTAATATTATAAAGAATAATCAGCAGGCCAGAAACGGTGGCTCACGCCTGTAATCCCAACACTTTGGGAGTTCGAGGCAGGTGGATCCCCTGAGGTCAGCAGTTCGAGACCAGCCTGGCCAACATGGTGAAACCCTATCTCTACTAAAAATATAAAAATTAGCTGGGTGGGTGGCACACGCCTGTGATCCTAGCTACTTGGGAGGCTGAGGCAGGAGAATTGCTTGAACCCGAGAGGTGGAGGTTGCTGTGAGCCAAGATTGCACCACTGCATTCCAGCCTGGGTAACAGAGCAAGACTCCGTCTCATAAACAAACAAACAAACACACACCAGTAACAACACAGTTAATGGTTAAACACTGGATATGTTGTCAATCAAATCATAAATACGGATAAAGTTGCCTGCTTTCCCTTTTTTGTTTAACATAGATTAAGGAAATCCACTCAAAGAAATAAGAAATGGATCAGGGCTGAGCGCAGTGGCTCATGCCTGTAATCCCAGCACTTTGGGAAGTGGACCATTTGTGGTCAGGAGTTCAAGACCAGCCTGACCAACATGGTGAAACCCCATCTTTACTAAAAAAACAAAAAATTAGCCGGGTATGGTGGTGTATGCCTGTAATCTCAGCTACTCAGGAGGCTGAGACAGAAGAATCACTTGAACCCAGGAGGCAGAGATTGTGTTACAAGCGAGACTCTGTCTCAAAAAAAAAAAAAAAAAAAAAAAAAAAGGAATCAGAAATAAGAGGCATATGTTGAAAACATGAAAGATTGTATTAGCATTATTTGCAGATGATTTACCTACAAAACTTTAGGGAATCAAGTTAAAACTGGTAGGCTTTTTACAGAAGTTTCAAAGTGATGAATATAAAATAAATACATTAAAAAATCAATAAAGCTACATACTAGCAGTAAATTCTTAACCAAAAAATCTTTTTCACAGCAATAATAATAAAAAAGAATCAAAATAACTTTAACAAGAATTGTTTAGTACCTAGATGAAGAAAACTATAAAAAGTTCTATATAGACTGGGAATGGTGGCTCATGCTGTAATATCAGCACTTTGGGAAGCTGAGGCAGATCACTTGAGCCCAAGGGTTGGAGACCAGCCTGGGTGACATGGCAAGACTCTGGATCTAAAATAATTTTTAAAATTAGCTGGGCATGGTGGTGCACACCTGTAGTCCTAGCTACTTAGGAGGCTGAGGTGGGAAGATTGCTTGAGCCCAGAAGTTAGAGTTTGCAGTGAGACAGGATCATGTCATTGCACTTTAGCCTGATGGCAGAGACCTTGTCTCCAAAAACAAACAAAAAAAAACCCCAAAGAAAAAGTCCTATACTCTGACCCAGTAATTCAATATCTAGAAATTCATTTATGGAAAGAGTCAGAACTTCAAAGAGATTTGCTAAAAAAATTGTAAGTGCTTAAATATTAGAAAGATTTAAATATTCAATAGTAGGAGAATGTTAAATGTTATGGTACATCTTCACGATTAAATCTTTACAATCATTAAAGACTTTTAATGATTATTTAATGACATAGAAAAATGCTAAAAATACTCTCTAGTAAAAAAAGCAGGGTACCAAATTTCTTATACCATTTGATGCTAATTTTGTTTAATACTGAGCAGATAATTCTCATTTTCCTTATAATTTTCTCAAGTATTCCCACCTTACATCTCAATGCTTCCAATTCTCCTCATTATAGTTTGTGGTTTTATTTTCCTCTAACTGATCCCCAGTTCTTATCACTCCAGTTAATCCATGGGCAATTTCATTCACCCCAAAGATTTTCTTTTTTTTTTTTAAGACAGAGTTTCACTCTTGTTGCCCATTCTGGAGTGCAGTGGTGTGATCTCGGCTCACTGCACCGTCCTCCTCCCAGGTTCAAGTGATTCTCCTGCCTCAGCCTCCATGCACCACCACACACGGCTAATTTTGTATTTTTAGTAGAGATGGGGTTTCTCCACGTTGGTCAGGCTGGTCTCAAACTCCTGACCTCAGGTGATCCGCCCACCTCAGCCTCCCAAAGTGCTGGAATTACAGGCCTGAGCCACTGCACCCAGCCCACCCCAAAGACTTTCATCCTCCCATATGCTAAAGATGCCTAATTTATTATCTCTTCATACCCAATTCTCCTCCTTTGCAAACTACCCTCGCTAATCTTTATCCACCTAGATATCTAGGTGGGTTTCCATTATCCCAAATTTCTTTTGTTCGTTGAATTCCTGCCACTTCTTTTTTTTTTTTTTTTTTTTTTGAGAGGGAGTTTCGTTTTTGTTGCCCAGGCTGAAGTGCAATGGCGTGATTTCGGCTCACTGCAACCTCTGCCTCCTGGGTTCAAGCCATTCTCCTGCCTCAGCCTCCCAAGTAGCTGGGATTACAGGGATGTGCCACCACACCCGGCTAATTTTGTATTTTTAGTAGAGACCGGGTTTCTCCATGTTGGTCAGGCTGGTCTCGAACTCCCGACCTCAGGTGATCTGCCCCCCACCCCCTCGGCCTCCCAAAGTGCTGGGATTAGAGGCGTGAGCCACCATGCCCGGCCTATTTCTACCTCTTAAATAATACTGGAGGCCAGGTGCGCTGGCTCACGCCTCTAATCTCAGCATTTTGGGAGGCCAAAGTGGGAGACTGCTTGAGTCCAGGAGTTCAAGACCTGCTTGGGCAAGCTAGCAAGACTCCATCTCTACCGAAAAAAAAAAAAGGTAGCTGGCAAGGTGGTGCATGCCTGTGGTCCCAGTTACTCGGGAGGCTGAGGTGGAAGGATCCCTTGCACCCGGGAGTTAGGCTGCAGTGAGCCGTGATTGTGTCACTGCATTCATCCTGGGTGACAGAGCAAAACTCTGTCTCAAATAAAATGAAAAAAACAAAAGAAAACAAAACCTTGGGGCTGGGGCTGCGCGTGGTGGCTCACATCCATAATCTCAGCACTTTGAGGGGCTGAGGTGGGAGGATTGCTTGAGCCTAGGAGTTCCAAACCAGCCTGGGTTCATTAGTTCCTTCTCACATTGCTATAAAGAAATACCTGAGACTGGGTAATTTATAAGGAAAAGAGGTTTAATTGGCTCATGGCTCTGCAGGCTATAAAGGAAGCATAGCAGTTTCCACTTTTGAGGAGGCCTCAGGAAGCTTCCAATCATGGCAGAAGGCAAAGGGGGAGCAAGCATCCTACATGGCAGAGGCAGGAGCAAGAGAGAGAGGGAGGAAGTACTATACACTTCTAAACAAGCAGATCTTGCCAGAACTCACTGACAAGGACAGTACCAAGGAGGATAGTGCTAAACTATTCATGAGAAATCTGCCTCCATGATCCAATCACCTCCTACTGATCCAACGCCCCACCTCCAATGTTAGGATTACAGTTCCACATGAGATTTTGGTGGG
The DNA here is from genome assembly GCF_000001405.40 of Homo sapiens. Taxonomy (NCBI): domain Eukaryota; kingdom Metazoa; phylum Chordata; class Mammalia; order Primates; family Hominidae; genus Homo; species Homo sapiens. Next base: position 16,239,987 of record NC_000017.11, on the reverse strand, counting down.
GACACAGATCGAAATCATATCACTGAGTAATTCAGGGAGAACCCATCTCTACGAAAAGTTAAAAAATAAGCCAGGCATGGTGGCCCACACCTGTAGTCCCAGCTACTCAGGAGTTCAAGGCTGCAGTGAGCTAAGATTGCACCACTGCCTAAACAGCCTGGGTGTCAGCGTGACACCTTGTCTCTAAAAAAAAAAAGAGTTGAATTCATCCCATCATCTCCATCTCAGTTGCTGCTACCCTAATTTGAGATATCCTCCCTCCACTGGGACAAAGACAATAGACTCATCTACAATCTTGATCTCTTCAATCCATACTTTCATTAGAGTAATCATTCTGAAGCACAAAACTCATCATCTCTCTCCACTATTCACAGTTTACATTTCTGTATGATATCATGAAGGTTCAACAGAAAGAGATATATGTTTTGCCAAAGCTAATTTGTTCACAGCTCACCTAAACTTTACTGCCTTTTCTTTTTCTTTTTTTTTTCTTTTTTATTTTTTTGAGACAGAGTCTCACTCTGTCACCCAGGCTGGAGTGCAGTGGTGCGATCTCAGCTCACTGCAACCTCCGCCTCCTGGGTTCAAGCGATTCTCCTGCCTTAGCTTCCTGTGTAGCTGGGATTACAGGTGTATGCCACCACGCCTGGCTAATTTTTTGTATCTTTAGTAGAGACGGGGTTTCACCATGTTGGCCAGGCTGGTCTTGAACCCTTGACCTCCTGATCCGCCTGCCTCGGCCTCCCAAAGTGCTGGGATTACAGGCGTGAGCCACCCGGCTGGCCCAAAATTCATTTTTATTTTTCATTTTAATTTTTAGAGACAGGGTTCTGCCATGTTGCCTAGGCTGGCTTTGAACTTCTGGCCTCAAGCAATCCTCCTACCTCAGCCTCCTGAGTATCCAGGACTACAGGGTGCGTGCCACCACACCTAGCTAAATTTTCAGGTCGGGCAAGGTGGCTCCGGCCTGTAATCCCAGCACTTCGGGAGGCCAAGGCGGATGGATCATCTGAGGTCAGGAGTTCAAGACCAACCTGGCCAACATGGCGAAACCCCGTCTTTTTTTTTTTTTTTTTTTGAGACGGGGTCTCACTCTGTCGCACCAGGCTGGAGTGCAGCGGCGTGATCTCAGCTCACTGCAACCTTCACCTCCTGTGTTCAAGCAGTTCTCCTGCCTCAGCCTCATGAGTAGCTGGGATTACAGGCACGTACCACCACATCTGGCTAATTTTTTTATTTTTAGTAGAGACGGGGTTTCACCATTTTGGTCAGGATGGTCTCGAACTCCTGACCTCATGATCCTCCTGCCTCGGCCTCCCAAAGTGCTGGGATTACAGGTGTGAGTCACGGCGCCTGGCAACCCTGTCTTACTAAAAATACAAAAATTAGCTGGGCATGGTGGTGGGCGCCTGTAATCCCAGCTACTCGGGAGGCTGAGGCAGGAGAATGGCTTGAACACAGGAGGAGGAGGTTGCAGTGAGCTGAGATCACACCACTGCACTGCAGCCTGGGTGACAGAGCAAGACCCCGTCTCAAAAAAAAAAAAAAAAGAAAAAAAGAAACACTCCAGTACCTTCCACTAAGGTTTAAATTGTTATATTTTGTCATTTGGGGTTAATCTATATAGGTATTTATTTTTTTCTGAATTATCTTAAAGTAAATTGCAGGCATCATAATCAGTCATATTGTATTTAGTATTAGTTTTGAGTATTTACTGTTTTGAGTATACATAATACCATAATACCAGCCCCTTCTTTCATGTTTTATTAAATTCTTTTTTTTTTTTTTTTTTGAGACGGAGTCTCATCCTGTCACCCAGGCTGGAGTGCAATGGCGCGATCTCGGCTCACTGCAACCTCCATCTCCTGGGTTCAAGCAATTCTCCTGCCTCAGCCTCCCGAGTATCTGGGATTACAGGCGCGTGCCTCCACACCCCACTAATTTTTGTATTTTTAGTAGAGATGGAGTTTCACCATGTTGGCCAGGCTGGTCTCGAACTCCTGACCTCGTGATCCACCCACCTCGGCCTCCCCAAGTGCTGGGATTACAGGCGTGAGCCAATGCGCCCGGCCCTGAAATTCTTGAAAAGATTAAAGAAGAAAATAAGTAATTATGTTCATGTTCTTGGAAAGGACTTTCAGTGTGACAGAAAAGAGATTCAATTTTTTTTTTTTTTTTTTTTGCTTTTGAGACAGGATCTCACTCTGTTATCCGGGCTGGAGTTCAGTGGGCATGATCTTGGCTCACTGCAGCCTCCACCTTCTGGGTTCAGGTGATCCTCTCACCTCAGTCACCCAAGTAGTTGGGATTTCGGGCATGCCACCATGCCCAGCTAATTTTTGTATTTTTAGTAGAGACGGGGTTTCACCACGTTGCCCAGGCTGGTCTCAAATTCCTAGGCTCAAGCGATCTGTCCACCTCGGCCTCCCAAAGTGCTTGGATTACAGGTAGGAGCCACCACACCCAACCAGAGATTCCATTGTAAATATCAATGACGTTAAACAAAACCCCTGAAATATTAACTTTGAATTGTAATCATCTGTATATATTTCTGATTTTTTTCCTTTAAAAAAAAAAATAGGCCAGGCGCAGTGGCTCACGTCTGTAATCCCAGCACTTTGGGAGGCCGAGGAGGGCGGATCACTTGAGGTCAAAAGTTCAAGACCAGCCTGGCCAACATGGCGAAACCCCTTCTCTACTAAAGATACAAAAATTAGCCAGGTGTAGTGGTGTGTGCCTGTAATCCCAGCTACTCAGGAGGCTGAGGCAGGAGAATCACTTTAGCTCAGGTGGCGGACGTTGCAGTGAGCTGAGATGGCACCACTGCACTCCAGCCTGGGCGACACAGCAAGACTCCATCTCAAAAAAAAAAAAAAAAAAAAAAAAGCCAGGTGTGGTGGTGAGTGCCTGTAGTCCCAGTTACTCGGGAGGCTGACACAGGAGGATTGCCTGAACCCAGGAGTTCAAGGCTACAGTGAAGTGTGATCACGCCAGTTCACTCCACCCTGGGTAACAGTGAGATCCTGTCTCTAAAAAATACAAAAGCACATAAAAAACATACATCTTAGCTCTGTCCACTATAAAGGTCAAGTAGCAATGAGAAATAATAACACTATAGCGGCCAGGCGTGGTGGCTCATGCCTGTAATCCCAACACTTTGGGAGGCTGAGGCAGGCAGGTCACCTGAGGTCAGGAGTTCGAGACCAGCCTGACCAACATGGTGAAACCCCTGTCTCTACTAAAAATATAAAAATTAGCTGGGCATGGTGGCGTGTACCTGTAATCCCAGCTACCCAGGAGGCTGAGGCAGGAGACTCGCTGGAACCAGGGAGGCAGAGGCTACAGTGAGCCAAGATCGCACCACTGCACTCCAGCCTGGGCAACAGAGCAAGACTCTGTCTAAAAAAATAAATAAATAACACTATTGCAATGAACACTCCTACTATGCTGGTTATGGACTCTAAATACCATTCCCTACTAAGACAAACAAAGGCTCTTTGGAGAAATGGCTGATTTCAGAATTGGAGCAGGAAAGTATACAAGATAGTACTGGAAAATCTCATTGTACTTGAAAGAAAGGAAGGAAATCATAAAAGACAGAGGTCATATGAAAAGGACATATAAGCCAACATGGAGAGACTCTCTGGCCAAACATAAGACAATTTAGTATTAAAGAACATATGACTGAACCTGAAACACCGAATACATAAAAACGCGTAATTTCCTAATGAAAGTTAGGTGTCCTCCCATTCAAGAAACAAACAATAGATCACGACTGTAGGTGTACGGCGTATCAACTCTTTATTCTGAAAAATGTCAATTAAGGGGAAAAAATTAAGCACCTATCCTGTTTTTTTGTTTCAAATTATTATACATAGCAGGGTAACTAAGTAGCCTTAATTAATAGTGAAGATTCTGTTTTACAAAAGAATTATAGATAGTACACATAGAATATGTGAGACTATTGGAAACTAAGCATTTTGCAACTTCTAGGTAATTAATGATTCAGGCAATAGGCATGAGAACATATGAAAGTTTGACGGGGGTCTTTAAAATAAAGGGAGTCATTGCCATCTGAACTCACTGATCAACTGTAGATTCACTATAGGTCTAACAGATAGTACGTGTCTCCTGATATGATGCAAAGTACATAGTACAGCCTATGAAATATTCTTGCCCCCCAAAAAGTTAGACCCAAATCTGATTTGCCGTGTGCAAAAAAAAAAAAAAAAAAAGACCGGACACAGTGGTTCATGGCTATAATCACAGCACTTTGGGAGGCCGAGGCAGGTGGATCACCTGAGGTCGGGAGTTCAAGATCAGCCTGGCCTGGCCAATATGGTGAAACCCCATCTCTACTAAAAATACAAAAAATTAGCCAGGTGTGGTGGTGGATGCCTGTAATCTCAACTACTTGGGAGACTGAGGGGGGAGAACCGCTTGAATCCAGGAGGTGGAGGTTGCAGTGAGCCGAGATGGCACCACTGCACTCCAGGCTGGGCGGGAACAGAGTGAGACTCCGTCTCAAAAAAAAAAAAAAAAAAAAAAAAAAGAACGTAGACATACAGGAAACAAACAGATAAATCCAGAATGCAGGACATTCTGTATGACAACATAATTCAGTTTCTTCAACAAATCCACTGATTTGGAGAAAAGGGTAATTAAATGCAGAATATCAACCAACTATAATGTGTGGTCCTTGTCGAAATCCTGATTTGAGTAAACCAATTGTAAAAGGAAATCTTTGAGCTACCTGAAGAAATTCTGATATGGACTGGGTGTTGGTGGACACCAAAGAATTACTGTTATTGTTAATATTGTTAGATGTAATGATAATGGCTGTCTGTAGCTAGATGAAAAGTGTCCCATCTTCTTAAGAGATGCAGACCTAAGTACCTTGGGGTAAAAAACCTGGTGGTTGGAGTTTTCTTTAAAATGTTTCATATACACAAAAGATGTTAAGTTAGGGATAGGTGAAGAAACAAGCACTGTATAGTAAAGTCTCGATAATCAGTGGGTTTAGGTAATAGGCAAATGGGGGTTTATGATACTATTCTTTATACTTTTGTATGTTTTTGAAATTTATAATAAAACTTTTTAAAGCTATAGATGTAAAGAGAAGTACCCATGTCAGGAAAAAAAATCCGAACAGAAGTTAAAAAATTTATTTCAATCACGCTGTCATTTAAAAACAAATGTGAAGTTATTATTATTATTATTTTTGAGACGGAGTCTTGCTCTCTCATCCAGGCTGAAGTGCAATGGTGTGATCTTGGCTCACTGCAACCTCTGCCTCCCAGGTTCAAGCGATTCTCCTGCCTCAGCTTCCCAAGTAGCTGAGATTACAGGCGTAGGCCAATACGCCCGGCTAATTTTTGTAGTTTTAGTAGATGCGGGGTTTTACCATGTTTGGCCAGGTTGGTCTTGAACTCCTGACCTGAGGTGATCTGCCCACCTCGGCCTCCCAAAGTGCTGGGATTACAGGCGTAAGCCACTGTGCCCCGCTGTGAAGTTATTTTATGTAGACTTTTCTTTTCTTTTTTGAGATGAAGTCTCACTGTCGCCCAGGATGGAGTGCAATGGCTTGATCTCAGCTCACTGCAACCTCCAACTCCTGGGTTCAAGTGATTCTCCTGCCTCAGCCTCTTTAGTAGCTGGACCACAATGCCCAGCTAATTTTTGTATTTTTAGTAGAGATGCGGTTTTACCATGTTGGCCAGGCTGGTCTCAAACTCCTGAGACCGCCCACCTCGGCCTCCCAAAGTACTGGGATTACAAGCGTGAACCATGGCACCGAGCCCTAGACTTTTCATACAAGATGTTCTCAGCCACTCACATTAGTTTTTTGTGTGTCTTTTGAGTATATCACTGCATATTTATTGCCAATAAATTTCTACATTGTTAAAAGATATATTACCTGTTGTCAATAATCATTACACTGGAGAGTGGAATCCCCAAAACATCACAGCTCTGCAAAAGTTCTTTCTTACGAGTCTCTCCTTGATTGTAGTAATTTCCTGAGGGTAACAAATATACAGTGGTAGATTTTTTTTTTTTAACAGTGGAGACCTATCTATTCACTCATTCTTATCCTGTTTTTGTTCCTTAAAGGATTTAAGCTGCCTGAAAATGTGTGATTATGATACAAAGTTTAAGAAAACACGACACCAAGATACTCCTGTGAGAAGACTACCAGTAGCACAATCTTTAGAATCACCATTCACAATTCTTTCCCATCTTTGTATCTATATACCTATCTGTCTGTCTGCATTTCAGTCACATGCTAGAGGCAGCATGGTACACAGCCAAGGGTACTAACTTTGAAGTTAAGCAGATTTAGGATCACACCATGTACGACCACTCAGAACAACTGGGGCCCCCTCTTCATTGACAGTCCTCAAATCCTGTTTAACATTGATTTAAGGATGAAGCTTTCCAAGCTCATTCTTGTTGGTATAGAAAAAGAAAATAGAGGTTGCTACTCCTGAGTATTACAGGAAAATGTGTAGATACCATTTAGGAAAGCTTCCTCTTTTGAAGAGTTTCATAGCCAGCTATCCAGCATACCCCAAGGGGATCTTGATCCCATTGGCACCCCAAACAACTTATATATTCTTTATTTTCCCAAAACATATACTATATTCCCTAAAAATAGTTCTGGTAAATAAAACTCCTCTGTAACCTTACAAATAATAATACAGTGACATTTTGGTATCACTTAAGTTGGACTCATTTTGAGCAACTGTCCAGCTAATGCACCTGTTACTTCAACTCTCCAATAAATAATTGCAGGTCTGATTTGTGCAAGTTACTTAACTTTCTTGAGCCACAGTTTCTTCACCAGTTAAGTGGAGATAATGGCCATTTTTTTTTTTTTTAAGAGTCTTGCTCTGTCGCCCTGGCTGGAGTACAGCAGCGCGATCTTGGCTCACTGCAACCTCTGCCTCCAGAGTTCAAGCGATTCTCCTGCCTCAGCTCAGTAGTTAGGATTACAGGCACCCGCCACCACACCGGGCTAATTTTTGTATTTTTATTTGAGATGGGGTTTCACCATGTTGGACAGGCTGGTCTTGAACTCCTGACCTTGTGATCCATCCGCCTCAGCCTCCCAAAGTGCTGGGATTACAAGTGTGAGCCACTGCGCCCAGCAAACAGGTTTAGTTTACAGGTTTAGTTTTGTATTGTCCTCATCATACCTTTTTTTGCGTTTTTTTTTTTTAAGTCATAAACTATTTTGTGTATATTTTGGGTTTCCCTCAAATCTCTACACATACCCTCTCCCATTTTTTCTCCCTAGATTACTTGATTTTTGGTGATAAATAGTCTCATGTACATTAGTGTTGCAATTGCTAAGTTCAAAGGCTGTGCACATTAGTCTATGATTATGGTTATCAGAAACTGCTTAGAATTGAGGCTAATGTGTTTTATTGGGGCCAGTTTTATTGCTTTGTGTTTGAACTAAGGAACTTACAACAGTTCTGGAAGCTGAAGTCAAGGACCATTTTAACTATTTTCAATAAGTTTGGTGAACCTGTAGGCACTTAACAGAACACATGTCTGAGATCTTTCAGCAGCTTTTAACTGATACATTCTAGAACAATGTCCAACTAAGACAGGTGCACCCTAGGATGCACAAAATAATCTTTTGGGGTGGTGGAGAAAAAGCATTAGGATGTCTCCCCCTAATTTTCTTTTCTTTCCTTTTTTCTGAGACAGAGTTTTGCTCTTGTTGCCCAGGCTGGAGTGCAGTGGTGTGATCTCAGTTCACTGCAACCTCCGCCTCTCAGGTGCAAGCGATTCTCTTGCCTCAGCCTCCTAAGTAGCTGGGTTTACAGGTGCCCACCACCACGCCTGGCTAATTTTTGTATTTTTAGTAGAGACGGGATTTCATTATGTTGGCCAGGCTGGTCTTGAACTCCTGACCTCAGGTGATCCACCCACCTCTGCCTCCCAAAGTGAAGGGATTACAGGAGTGAGCCACAGTGCTCAGCCATCTCCCCCTAATTTGTTTACCTTGTTTTTTATAAATGTAAGTTTTTGTTAATGTTTTTAATGTACACATTAGTCCATATACTTATGATATATTGTAAATAAATAAAAAAACTCAACATTTTTTACTGATAGGAAAATGTGACCAAAGAGTTTGAGACCATTATTCTAGGAAACAGAAAATAATAAAATTAATGTAATTTCTAGATGTAGAACTACATTATGTGTGTGTTTGTGTATAAGCTCATGCACAATTGTATGCTTAGTAGTCTTCCCATAACATACTTCTCAGTCATAACTAGCAATCATAATCACATTTAATACAAAGTAAAGACATTTTGTAAAGACTCAAATTTATACATCATAATTTATAAGGGTAAACATTTTATTTTACTTAAAAAATTTAAAATTAGTTTATTCTAAATAGGTAATAGATTTATATGGTTAAAAAAAAATCAAAGCTGGGCATAGTGGCTCATGTCTGTATTCCCAGCACTTTGGAAGGCTGTGGCAAGAGGATCACTTGAGGCCAGGAGTTCAAAACCAGCCTGGTCAACATAGTGAGACCCTGTTTTCACAAAAGAAAAATTTTAAAAATTAGCTGGGCATGGTGGCTCACGCCTGTAGTCCCACTGACTCGGGAGGCTGAAGTGGGAGGAACGCTTGAGCCTGGGATTTTGAGGCTATAGTGAACCATGACCACACCACTGCACTACAGCCTGGGTGACAATGTGAGACCCTGTGTCTCAAAAAAAAAAAAAAAAAAGAAAAGAAAATAAATCAGTAAGAAGCTGGGTGTGGTGGCTCATGCCTGTAATCCCAGCTCCTAGCACTTTGGAAGGCGGGCACACTGTTTAAGGCCAGGAATTCAAGACCAGGCTGGGGAATATAGCAAGACCTCTCTCTACCAAAAAAAAAAAAAAAAAAAAAAGAAAAACCAAAACCAAAAAAAAAACCATATAAAGGAAAAAAGCTCCTCTCCCACTCCAACCCGGGAAGTTTTAATTTGTTAGAACAAGAAATGGACTGGGCATGAAGGCATCATGGTCCCAACACTATCTGTCTTTTTACTAACTATATGAATTTGGAGAAATTCTTTAATTTTTGTAATTTTATTCTTTAAAAATAAAATTTTTACCTTTATACATTGTGATGTATAAATTTGAGTCTTTACAACGTGACTTTATTTTGTATTAAATGTGATTATGAGGCTGGCCACGGTGGCTCAGGCCTGTAATCCTAGCCTGTAATTACTTGGGAGGCTGAGGCAGGAGAAAAGCTTGAACCCAGGAAGTAGAAGTTGCAGTGAGCTGAGACTGTGCCACTGCACTCCAGCCTGGTAACAGAGTGAGACTCCATCTCAAAAAAAAAAAAAAGTGATTATGACTGCTAGATTGCTAGTTACGACTGAGAAGTATGTTATGGGAAGGAATAGCTGCAATGTTTTTCCTTTAACATGACCAAGTAATTCTAAAATGTATTTGGAAGACAAAATGGTACAAGTTTCTTCCCCTATAAAATGAGGGAATTTAGATGCTATGTCAAGATCTATTCGGGGTAACAGAAACCACATCAAATAGTTACAACAGCAAGAATTTAATGCAAAGATTTTGACGCATAACTGAGGGAGGATCTAAGGGACAAAAGGAACAGTGAAGTAACCCAGAGTTTAGAGATAGCAAGAAGTGACTACCAACCCTCGGTTGGCAAGGTAAAGGAAGGAGGCAGTGTTACTGGAGCCCAGAGGCCTGGGTTCCCAAAGGAAGCTGAAACTAAGAGAGCTAGATCCTCTTCTATTAGGATGTGTCCACAGAACCCAGTCTAAGAAATCATGACTTGGCCAGGCACAGTGCCTCATGCCTGTAATCCCAGCACTTTGAGAGGCCGAGGCAGGTGGATCACGAGGTCAAGAGATTGAGACCATCCTGGCCAACATAGTGAAACCCCATCTCTACTAAAAATACAATAATTAGCTGGGCATGGTGGGCACACGCCTGTAGTCCCAGCTACTCGGGAGGTTAAGGCAGGAGAATCTCTTGAACCTAGGAGGTGGAGGTTGCAGTGAGCTGAGATCGTGCCACTGCACTCCAGCCTGGTGACAGAGCGAGACTCCGTCTCAAAAAAAAAAAAAAAAAAAAAATCATGACTTTAAAATGAAACTAGAATCAGAAAATGGGCAAAGGACTTGAATAGGTATTCTCTAAAGAAGATATATAGATGGCCAATAAGCATGTGAAAAGATGCAAGATGCTCATCATCCTTAGTCATCAGGGAAATGAAAATCAAAACCACAATGTGACATCATCACTGCACACTTACTAGGATGGCTATAGTCCAAAAAATGGAAAATTACAAATGCTGACAAAGATGTGGAGAAACTGGAACCATAGTTCATTGCTGGTGGCAACGTAAAACTGTACAGTTGCTGCAGAAAACAGTTTGTCAATTCTCAAAAAATTTAAATACAGAATTACCATATGTCTCAGCAATTATACTCAAAAAAAAAAAAAAAAAAAAGGAAAACCGGTACTCAAATAAATACTTGTACACCAATGTTCATAGAAGCATTATTCATAATAGCCCCAAATTGGAAATAACCCAAGTGCCTATCATTAGATGAATGATAAACAAAATGTGGTATATATACATACATATATATATGTATGTATATATACACAATGGAATATTAATAAAGCCATAAAAAGAAATGAAGTTTTTTTTTGAGACAGGGACTTGCTCTGTCACCCAGGCCGGAATGCAGCAGACTGATCAGAGCTTACTGCAGCCTTGACCTCCTGGATTCAAGGGATTCTCCCACTTCAGCCTCCCAAGTAGCTGGGACTATAGGCACTCGCCACCCAGACTGGCTAATTTTTTTATTTTTATTTTTTGTAAAGACGAAATCTCACTATGTTGTCCAGACTGGTCTTGAACTCCTGGTCTCAAGGGATCCTTCCACTTCAGCCTCCCAAAGTGCTGGGATTACAGGTGTGAGCCACTGAGCTCAACCAGAAATGAAGTTCTGATACATGCCACAATATGGATGAACTTTGAAAACAGTATGCTAATTAGCATAAGCCAGGCATAAAATAACAATTATTGTATGATTCCACTTATTCGAGTTACCTAGAATAGACAAATTCATAGAGATAGAAAGAATGGTGGTTACCAGAGGCTTGGGAGAGGAGGGGAAAAGGAATGCTAAACAGGTATAGAGTTTCTATTTGGGATGATGAAATAGTGGTGATGGTTACATAATACTATGAAAGTGCTTACTGCCATGGAATTGAACACTTAAAAATGTTTAAAATCGCCGGGCGTGGTGGCTTACGCCTGTAATCCCATCACTTTGGGAGGCCAAGGCGGGCGGATCACGAGGTCAGGAGATCGAGACCATCCTGGCTAACACGGTGAAACCCCGTCTCTACTAAAAATACAAAAAATTAGCCGGGCGTGGTGGCGGGAGCCTGTAGTCCCAGCTACTCGGGAGGCTGAGGCAGGAGAATGGTGTAAGTAAACCCGGGAGGCGGAGCTTGCAGTGAGCGTACATCGCGCCACTGCACTCCAGCCTGGGCGACAGAGCAAGACTCCGTCTCAAAAAAATAAAATAAAATAAATAAAGAAATAAAATAAAATAAAATCGCTGGGCGCAGTGGCTCACGCCTGTAATCCTAGCACTTTGGGAGGCCGAGGAAGGTGGATCACCTCAGGTCAGGAGTTCAAGACAAGCCTGGCCAACATGGTGAAACTCCATTCTCTAATAAAAATATAAAAAAATTAGCCGGGCATGGTGGTGGTGGGTGCCTGTAATCCCAGCTATTCAGGGGGCTGAGGTAGGAGAATTGCTTGAACCTGGGAGGCGGAGGTTGCAGTGAGCCGAGATCATGCCATTGCACTCTAGTGTGGGCAACAAGAGTGAAACTCCATCTCAAAAAAAAAAAAAAAAAAGTTTAAAATGGTAAGTTCTTGTTATGTATGTCTTACCACAATTTAAATAATATTAAAAACTGGATTTTCAATGAATAAAATCTTTCAATTATGAAATTGCTGGGATTATAGGCGTTATCCCTATAAAACAGAAGTTGTCTTTAAAAGATCACTAAGAGAAAAAAATTAAAAAGGCTGGGTGCAGTGGCTCATGCCTGTAATCCCAAACTTTGGGGGGCCAAGGTGGGTGGATCACCTGAGGTCGGGAGTTCGAGACCAGCCTGACCAACATGGAGAAACCCAGTCTTTACTAAAAATACAAAATTAGCCGGGCATGGTGGCACATGCCTGTAATCACAGCTACTTGGGAGGCTGAGGCAGGAAAATCGCTTGAACCTGGGAGGCAGAGGTTGCAGTGAGCCGAGATCATGCCATTGTACTCCAGCCTGGGCAACAAGAGTGAAACTCCATCTCAAAAAAAAAAAAAAAAAAAGAAAAGAAAATTAAAAAGAAAAATGAGCTCATATCTCTGCAGATCAAGAAACATTGTCACATGCTATATTATCAGCCAATATAGCCATACTTGCGAGTAGTGTCATTTCTCATTATTCCCAAAAGGATTGCATTCATATCGACTCTTACTAATGAAATTGCTACCTTTCACTGGGTGAGGTGGCTCACGCCTGTAATCCCAGCACTTTGGGAGGCCAAGGCAGGCGGATTACTTGAGGTCAGGAGTTTGAGACTAGCCTGGCCAACATGGTGAAACCCTGGCTCTACAAAAATACCAAAATTAGCTGGTCATGATGGTGGCACGCGCCTGTAATCCCAGCTACTTGGGAAGCTGAGGCAGGAGAGTCACTTGAACCCGAGAGGTGGAGGTTGCAGTGAGCCGAGATCGTGCCACTGCACTCCAGCCTGGGTGACAGAGGGAGACTCCGTCTCAAAAAAAAAAAAGAAAAAACCCAAAAAAGCAGTATTAAAAATAACCCCTAATAAGTTCTATTTAGGCAATATGGTAAATCAGATATGCAGAGAAACCCTCAGGATGAATACCTGAACATGTGAGATAAAAGGCAAACATGTTCTAGAATGCATGGTTTAACTAGCAGGAAAGTAAGGGATATACTTGAAGGACTAAAACAATAGGTAGACATAAATCCTGAGAGGTATTATGCGGCTGACCCAGAGCACTTTGAGAACATCTACATATCCTTGGTGGCCTAAAGTCAAGGGAGCAGCAGATAAAGCTTGGACACAGATAAGGAGACCTCCACATAAAGACAGGACCTTCAAAAGGCAATACCTTCACTGGATGAACCAGAAAAAAACTTGCCCTAGACAGATATGGTGGGGCTACATCCTATCTGTAGGCTTGGTTCTAGCAGAAGGGAAAATAAGAAAAAATGTCACCCCCTAAGAATTGCTAATCACATACTCTCCTTTACTTGGTGTGATAGACTGTATTTTCCAAAAGTAGCTACAGCAATATTTCTAGTCCCATATGCACTTGTAGAATGTCTACATTCCCCTTTAGGAGGTGGAATCTAATTCTCTCCTTAAACCTGGATGTGGCTTATGATACTGCAAGATTTTTAAGGATAGGTCATAAAAGGAAATATGGTTATCCCTAGCACAGGCTCTTTCTTAGGACACTTGCCCAAGAACCCAGCCACCAGGTTGTGAGGAAGCCCAGGTCACATGGATATACCATATGTGGATGTTCTGGCTGACATCTGTAGCAAAGTCCCCAGCTGACAGCCAGATACGTAAGTGCATGAGTATTCAGGTGATTCCAGCCCCTAGTCTTTGGGTCCTCCAAATGAGGTACTAAACATTGTGAGGCAGAGACAAGTATACTTTGTCTGAAACCATGAAAAAAAAGGTGATTGGTTTTTCTTGTTGTTGTTTGTTTTTGAGACATGGGCTTAGTCTATAAGGCATGATCATCATAGCTTACTCTAGTCGCAAACTCCTGGGCTCAAGTGTTCTTCCACCTCAGCCTCCCAAGTAGCTGAGACTACATGCAGCTGCCACCAAGCCTGGCTAACTTTTTTTTTTTTTTTTTCCTGGTCTGGCTATGTTGCCCAGGCTGAACTCTTGGGTTAAGTGATCCTCCTGCTTCGGCCTCAGAAAGTGCCAGGATTATAGGTGTGTGCCAGCACACAGGCTGGAAAGATTTAATTATGGTTTTAAGCTACAAGGTCTTGAGACAATTTGTTTCACAGCATTCCACAGTGAATGCTCTTGGGTTTGATCCCTGAATTTATATGACCTCTATGGCCTGAAAAATCTCAATCTAAAATTTTAGAGTGATGAGAGGTAGGTAGTGCCCTTAGCTACCTGGCTGAAGCTAAAGTAAATCACCAAAATATTACCACAAATATGGTTCTAAGAAACACGTGCAAAAAACAAAACAACAACAACAACAAAAGAAAACAAAAGGCCAGGCACGGTGGCTCACGCCTGTAATCCCAGGTGTGAAACCCCATCTCTACTGAAAAAAAAAAAAAAAATTAGCCGGGCATGGTGGCAGGTGACTGTAGTCCCAGCTACTCAGGAGGCTGAGGCAGGAGAATGGCGTGAACCCAGGAGGCGGAGCTTGCAGTGAGCTGAGATTGTGCCACTGCACTTCAGCCTGGGCAACAGAGCTAGACTCCGTATCAAAAAAAAAAAAAAAAAAAAAAAGAAACGTGCTTACATTTAAAAAAATCACAAAATACACATGGAACCGAGTCACCCCGAATGAATTACTAGAACAAAGAACAGAATCAGATATACAGACTGCAGAAACTGGAATTATTAGAAGCAGATATAAATGTTTAATATATTTAAAGAAATTAAAGAGGATACTGAAGTATGAGAAAGTAACAGACTATATTTGCAAAAGGAATGTCTACACATAAGAACAGATTAATGGACACAATGACATAATCATCTCAATACACATTTAAGACCTTAATTATAAAACTATTAACAGATAGTAAAGAAGGCCAACATATAATAAATGGAAGCATACCATAGTATCAGAGACAGAAAGGCTTTATATTGGAAATGTCAGTTCTCCTTATATTAATCAGTAGAGTCAGTGAAATTCCAATAAAAATGCCAGCAAGGGCCACGCACTGTGGCTCACGCCTGTAATCCCAGCACTTTGGGAGGCTGAGGTGGGCGGATCACGAGGTCAGGAGATCGAGACCATCCTGGCTAACACGGTGAAACCCTATTTCTGCTAAAAATACAAAAAATTAGCCGGGCATGGTGGCACATGCCCGTAGTCCCAGCTATTTGGGAGGCTGAGGCAGGAGAATCGCTTGAACCTGGGAGGTGGAGGTTGCAGTGAGCCGAGACTGCGCCACTGCACTCCAGCCTGGACGTCAGAGTGAGACTCTGTCACAAGGGGGAAAAAATGTCAGCAAGATTTTTCCTTGAACATCACCAAGCTAATTCTAAAATGTATTTGGGGGCTGGGCATGGTGGCTCATCCTGTAATCCCAGCACTTTGGGAGGCCAAGAAGGATTGGATCACCTGAGGTCAAGAGTTGGAGACCAGCCTGGCCAACATGGCAAAATCCCGTCTCTACTAAAAATACAAAAATTAGCTGGGCGTGGTGGTGCATGCCTGTAGTCCCAGCTACTCGGGAGGCTGAAGCAGGGGGATCACTTGAATCCAGGAGGCGGAGGCTACAGTGAGCCAAGATTGTGCAACAGTGAGGCTCTGTCTTCCCCCATAAAAAAGGTATTTGGAAAAAGGGTCAAAAACAGCAAACATACCCTGAAGAACAATCAGAAGACTATTCATATCAGATAATAGCGCTTCTATAATATAGTGTAGCTTTCTTTTCCCCCTGAGACGGAGTCTTGCTCTGTCGCAAGAGCAAGAGGCTGGAGTGCAGTGGCGCAATCTTGGCTCACTGCAACCTCCGCCTCCCAGGTTCAAGTGATTCTCCTGCCTCAGCCTCCTGAGTAGCTGGGACTACAGGCGCACATCACCATGCCCAGCTAATTTTTGTATTTTTAGTAGAGACAGGGTTTCACCACGTTGGCCAAGATGGTCCTGCTCTCTTGAACTAGTGATCCACCCGTCTCTGTCTCCCAAAGTGCTGGGATTACAGGCGTGAACCAACACTTCTGGCCTAGTGTAGCTTTTATAAGCTACAGTAATTAAGACAGGGTTGTTGAGATGACTAAAGTGTATAGACCAGAATTACATGGAAATCTGATATATGAGAGCTGGCAGTGCAGTCTAGAGAAGAAAGGCTGGGCTGAATTGATTTTCCTGACTCCAATCTTTCCTTCCAAACCATTCTCCCCATTGCCACCAGAATGAGCTTTCTTTTTTTTTTTTCTTTTTTAAATAGATGGGGTCTCACTATGTTGACCAGGTTGGTCTTGAACTCCTGGCCTCAAGCAATCCTCCCACTTTGGCCTCCCAAAGTACTGGGATTACAGGCATGAGCCACCACACCCGGTCCAAGACTGAGCTTTTATTTTTGAGATAGAGTCTAGCTCTGTCGCTCAGGCTGAAGTGCAGTGGAGCGATCTTGGCTCACTGCAACCTCCACCTCCTGGGTTCAAGCAATTCTTCTGCCTCAGCCTCCTGAGTAGCTGGGATTACAGGCATCCACCACCACACCCGGCTAATTTTTGTATTTTTAGTAGAGATGGGGTTTCGCCGTGTTTGCCAGGCTGGTCTCGAACTCCTGACCTTGTGATCTGCCCACCTTGGCCTCCCAAAGTTCTGGGGTTACAGGCACGAGCCACTGCGCCTGGCCAAGAATGAGCTTTCTAAAACACAAAACTGATTATGTTACTTCTCTACCATATATATTCAATGACATCCTACTATATAAGAGATGCATCTATTAGTAGGTATTTTAGTGGTCACATAAATTGGAGGAATACTGGATTAAACCAAGTCAAAATTTTTTACAGCAATGCTTCTCAAAGATGTTGATATTCTCATAAAGACTGTAAACGTCTACATAGAGGATAGCACATCTGGCTATTCTCCAAACTTGACCGAGGCATTCTTTTCATTTTATTTATTTATTTTTTCTGAGTCAGAGTCTTGCTCTATTGCCCAGGCTGGATTGCAATGGCACAATCTCTGCTCACTGCAATCTCCACCTACTGGGTTCAAGCGATTCTCCTGTCTCAGCCTCCAGAGTAGCTGGGATTACAGGCATGCACCACCACACCTGGCTAATTTTTGTATTTTTAGTAGAAATGGGGTTTCACCAAGCTGGCCAGGCTGGTCTGGAACTCCTGACCTCACGTGATGCACCTGTCTCGGCCTCCCAAAGTGCTGGGATTACTGGTGTAAGCTACTGTGCCTGGCCTCTTTTTTTTTTTTTTTAATAGCAGCTTGATGAACTAATGTTCCTTGGAACATACACTGGGAATCAATTTAGATATTTCATCAACTGACAAGGCATACAAGGCAATGTGAGAGGCAGATTGGGTGTAACGGTTTTAGAACAGAGAAAAACCACAGGGTCCTGGCTTCTTTACACTGTAGCTGGTCACTTCAGTTGTTACTTAAACTTTGTGATTCAGTTCCCATACTTGTATAATGGAAAAAACAATAGTACCTACCTCACAGAGTTGCTGACAGGATGAAATGAGCCACCAATAACAAAGCAATTATTATTTTTTCCCTGCTTCTCCCTTTCCCTTAAACTGAAGATCTTGTTAGAATGAATTATTCATGCAAATCCAAGAGTTACTGATGCCTTTACTACTGCTTGCTTCCTATATATATATCTACTCCTATTTTTAAAGTCCAGCTCAAAAGAAAACCAATTTGGAGATTTCCTTAATCTAAACCCCTGAAAAGAGATTTAATGCTTTTTTCCATTTTGTGTCCATAGTACTTTCTCCATCAAAACATCATAGCTTTCATTACATTACAAATTAATAGCTTCCTGTTTTTTATATTAAAATGTTAAATCAGCAGAATAGATAATGTTTAATCCACACGTTTGAATGACTTGTGAATTTAAGAAGGGATTTTAAAAATTAGACCAGGAGCAGTGGCTCATGCTGTAATCCTATTATTTTGGGAGGCCAAGGCAGGTGGATCACTTGAGGAGTTCAAGACCAGCCTGGCCAACAAGGTGAAACCCTATCTCCATTAAAAATGCAAAAATTGGCCAGGCGTGGTGGCTCACGTCTGTAATCCCAGCATTCTGGGAGGCCGAGGTGGGCGAATCACGAGGTCAGGAGTTCAAGAGCAGCCCAGCCAACATGGTGAAACCCTGTCTCTACTAAAAACACAAAAAATTAGCTGGGCATAGTGGCGGGCACCTGTAATCCCAGCTACTTGGGAGGCTGAGGCAGGAGAATCACTTGAACCCAGGAGGCGGAGGTTGCAGTGAGCCGAGATTGTGCCACTGCACTCCAGCCTGGGAGACAGAGCTAGACTCAAAACAAAACAAAAACAAAAACAAAAATTAGCCAGGTATGGTGATGCATGCCTGTAGTCCCAGCTACTTGGGAGGCTGAGGCAGGAGAATTGCTTGAATCCAGGAGGCAGAGGTTGCAGTGACCCAAGATTGCGCCATTGCACTCCAGCCCGGGCGACAGTGAGACTCCGTCTCAAAAAAAAAAAAAAAAAAAGTTGGGTGTGCTGGCACACGCCTATAGTCTCAACTATTGGTAGGCTGAGGCGGGAGGATCACTTGAGCCCAAGACTTGGAGGCTGTAGGGAGCTGTGATCCAGTCAGCTTTTAGTTTTATTTATATTTTATATTGCAACTATAGGAGTCAAATTAAGCAAGTTTGTTTCAAGATTTTCAAGAGAAGCCTGGATTTTATTTGCAAAATATTACAGGTACAGCTCTTTAATAAATTCATCCTTATTTTCAATAGGTTCATAAAAATTTGGGACCAGAATTGAAAATTTTTTCAAATAAAAAATACAGAGCATGCACTTGGCACTCAATGTTTTTATTGTCTTTCATTATTTCCTCTGAATCCAACTTATCATTTTGTTTTTTCTTGTATGTTATTCATGTTTGGTTTATTTTATAAAGACAGGGTCTTGCTCTGTCACCTGATATGAGAGCTGACAGTGCAGTCTAGAGGGGAAAGGCTCTAGACAGAACAAGACCCCATTTTTATAAAATAAACAAACAGGCCATGCTCAGTGGCTCATGCATGTAATCCCAGCACTTTGGGAGGCCGGGCCAGGTGGATCACCTGAGGTCAGGAGTTCGAGACCAGTTTGGCCGCCATGGTGAAACCCTGTCTCTACTGAAAATACAAACATTAGCCTGGCGTGGCTGGGCGCGGTGGCTCACGCCTGTAATCCCAGCACTTTGGGAGGCCAAGGTGGGCGGATCACCTGAGGTCGGGAGTTTTGAGACCAGCCTGACCAACATGGAGAAAGCCCGTCTCTACTAAAAATACAAAATTGGCTGGGCGTGGCGGTGAATGCCTGTAATCCCGCTACTCCAGAGGCTGAGGCAGGAAAATCGCTTGAACCTGGGAGGCAGATGTTGCAGTGAGCCAAGATCGAACCACTGCACTCTAGCCTGAGAGACAGGGTGAGACTCTGCCTCAAAAAAAAAAAAAAAAAAAAAAAAAATAACAATTTAAAAAAACACAAATAAAGAATAAATAACATACAATAAAAAACAAAATGGATTCAGAGGAAATAATGAAATACAATAAAAACATTGAGTGCCAAGTGCATGCTCTCTCTCTCTATATATATTTTTTGAGACGGAGTCTCCCTCTGTTGCCAGGCTGGAGTGCAGTGGCGCGATCTCAGCTCACTGTAACCTCCGCCTCCTGGGTTCAAGTGATTCTCCTGCCTCAGCCTCCCGAGTAGCTGGGACTACAGGCGTGGACCACCACAGCCAGCTAATTTTTGTATTTGTAGGAGAGACGGGGTTTCAACATGTTGGCCAAGATGGTTTTGATCTCTTGACCTCATGATCTGCCCGCCTCGGCCTCCCAAAGTGCTCGGATTACAGGCATGAGCCACCATGCCCGGCCTATATTTTTTATTTGAAAAAATTTTCAATTCTGGTCCCAAATTTTTATGAACCTATTGAAAATAAGGGTAAGTTTATTAAACAGCTATACCTATAATGTTTTGCAAATAAAATCCAGGCTTCTTTTGAAGACCTTGTAACAAATTTGCTTATAATTTGACTCCTATAGTTGTAATATAAAATACAAATACAACTAAAAGCTGGCCAGCCGGGTGTGGTGGCTCACACCTGTAATCCCAGCACTTTGGGAGGCCGAGGTGGGTGGATCACTTGTCAGGAGTTCGAGACTAGCCTGGCTATCCCAGCAAAACCTCAGCTCTACCAAAAATACAAAAATTAGCCCAACATGTGGTGCACACTGTAGTCCCAGCTACTCGAGAGGCTGAGGTAAGAGAATTGCTTAAACTCAGGAGGCGTAGGTTGCAGTGAACTGAGATTGCGCCCCTGCACTCCAGCCTGGGTGACAGAGTGAGACTCCATCTCAAAAAGAAAACTAAACAAAAAACCCCCCACCAAACCTAGAAGCTAAGAAAAAATGGTGGCATTACTTGTAACTATTTGCAATTAATATTCTTAACAGAGCATAAATTTTAGAAGAAAAGTGCTTGGGCTCCAATTCTTAATAAATATGTAAAATGGTTTACTTTTACTGGTAACAAAGGTTTTTGGGGGAGAAGATACTAAACAAATTAAGAAATTTATAAAAAATGGCCAGGTGTGGTGGCTTACGCCTGTAATCCCAGCACTTTGGGAGGCTGAGGCGGGCAGATCAAAAGTTCAGGAGATCAAGACCATCCTGGCTAACACAGTGAAACCCCGTCTCTACTAAAAACTAAAAACAAATAAAAAAATTAGCTGGGCATGGTGGCGGGCGGGCGCCTGTAGTCCCAGAAAGAAGGGCGTGAACCCAGGAGGCAGAACTTACAGTGAGCCGAGATTGCGCCACTGCACTCCAGCCTAGGCGATAGAGCAAGACTCCGTCTCAAAAAAAAAAAAAAAAAAATTTATAAAAAATGTCAGTCAATGCTACAGAAAGTAGTATATTAAGACAGATACTCTCATTAGTGCCAGTAAGAATGTAAATAGGTAGGCCAGGCATGGTGGCTCACACTTGTAATCCCAAGCACTTTGGGAGGCCAAGGCAGGTGGATCACTAGAGGTCAGGAGTTTGAGACCAGCCTGGCTAACATGGTGAAACCTCATCTCTACTAAAAATACAAAAATTAGCCAGGTGTGGTGGCATGCGCTTGTAAACCCAGCTACTTGGCAGGCTGACGCAGGAGAATCACTTGAACCCGGGTGGTGGAGGTTGCAGTGAGCCGAGATCACGCCACGGCACTCCAGCCTGGGCAACAGAGCGAGACTATCTCAGAAAAAAAAAAAAAAAAAAAGAGTAAGTTGGCATTTTGTTTTTGGGAATGTGTTTTGCAATGCAAAGCCTAAAAACAGCCAATTTTAAAAATTAATACTCATGAAATAATATAAAATACATAAAGATGTTCTCTGCTCTTTGCAATAAACTAGGAAAAAACCCTCTGAATGTACAAACAATAAGGGATGATTAAGGTTTATCCCGATGAAGCCATTTAACAGGCTATACATTTAGATCTAATTAATATAGGTAGATGTTTAAAGTTTCATGAGGACACTGCTCTTATCTAGCTTTCCACTTTTGTATCCCTAGGGCATAGAATAAGGCCTAGCACATAAATGTTTAATAAGTATTTGGTAAATAAATGAAAAAGTAATGTCGAGTAAAAACGATATAAAATTTTATAAAATGTGATTTCTGTGAAGAAGCTGTATAGAAAAAGAATTGGAAAGACACACAAACAAATGGGAAAAGAGGTCATGGGCAATTTAAAAAAATAGCTTTATTGAGGTATACTTTGACATGCCATAAAATTCACCCATTGTATGTGTACAATTCAATTACTTCATTTATACAACTGTTCAATTATCACCATATTCCAGCTTAATGGTCAATATTTGCTTTGTCATTTGATCTTTTCTCTATGGTAAGCAAAAATCTATTATTTGAAAGGTTCCTTCACTGAAAGCTGGGTGGAGTTGAACTCTAAAATTACCTACAAAATTACTTTCTATCTAGTCATCTATGTCTAATTCTTCAATTTGACACATGCATGTTACTAGCACAAGCTGCATTTTAAAGGCAGCAGGAAGGTCTTTTACTATCATTAGAAGTTAACTTTAAGGATTGAGCAGGCACGATACAGCATAGATTGTTTCGTGTGCTATATAGTAAGGTCAATATTCTTGCTCCTTCTACAAATAAAAAAAAGTTCCACAGAATAACAAGTACAGGTGGAGTTCCCAACGGAAATGCAGGTACTGAATACAACCAACTGCAACTGTTTCTCTGCTCCTCAATCCTGCTGGCGTAGTACGCGAGCTGCCGACGTCCCCCAACCCACCAGGTAAGCCGGCCGCTCCTGTCCCTAGGCTGTGAGGGGTTCAGAGGTAAGACCTTCGGTGTATTCACTTAGCTCCCTACGGAAAACTTCGAGAAGAAGGCGACTGAGATCGGTTAGCACTTAAATCCCTTTCAAAGCCCCGGCTCCCATCGCCCCTCCTATGGCCTCCTACCTGCAGAGAAGCAAAGCAGGTACACCCAGTGCCTTAGGCGGGCCAAGCCTAGCACTGTGGGAGCAAAAAACATGGCTTCATCGTCAGGGTGCGCTATGACCAGCAGGGTCCGGCTTTCGGCTCCCAGCCGTCCTCCCTGCTCCCGACTCTTCATTCGTTCTGAGGAGTCCCAAACCCAGAGGAAGCCCCATGCCAAGACCGCCAACGCCACACACAGGAGCCACATTGCTTCCATGATGGGTAAGCAGCACTGAGCCTGCGCAGTAGGAAAGGCTGCCTCTGACCCTGACTCCGGCTGGAAAACTTCACCGGGGAATGTTGGGTTCCGCTGTTAAGTCCCTCCCGCCGACATGCTCCGGAAGCTTGAGGTTTTAACGTTAAGGGTTCTCTTGTGTTTTAACACAGAAGTCTCCATGCCGTCCAGTTTCCTACCCTAGTCCTACCACACTGTACAATCGGTTTAAAAGGAAGCGTCTTATATATAAGCTCCCACTTATAGGAAGAGTTCCTTCCTCTTCATTTTCGAATTCATTTCTTAAAACTCGGGCCTTTCTCGTAATTATAGGGTTAGACAGCCCGTTATCCGTATGACAGTTTTCCAAAATAGCCAGTTACACCAACTTTGTTATTCCTTCTCACTTTTGGATGGCTTTCTTTACCTTTTTTTTTTTTTTTGAGAGGCTCTGTCGCCCAGGCTGGAGTGCAGTGGAGCGATCTCGGCTCACTGCAACCTCTGTCTCCCGGGTTCAAGCGACTCTTCTGCCTCAGCCTCCCGAGTAGCTGGGACTATAGGCGCGCGCCACCACGCCCAGCTAATTTTTGTATTTTTAGTAGAGAGGGGGTTTCACCATGTTAACTAGGCTGGTCTCGAACTCCTGACTTCGTGATCCGCTCGCCTCGGCCTCCCAAAGTGCTGGGATTACAGGCCTGAGCCACCGCGCCCGGCCCTTTCTTTTTTTTTTTTGAAACGGTCTGGCTCCGTCGCCCAGGCTGGAGTGCAGTGGCGCGACCTAGGTTCGCTGCTACCTCAGCCTCCCGCGTTCAAGCAATTCTCCCACTTCGGTCTCCCCAGTAGCTGGGATTACTGGCGCGCGCCACCACGCCCGCTTAATTTTTGTATTTTTAGTAGTGACGGGGTTTCTCCATGTTCGTCAGGCTGGTCTCGAACTCCTGACCTTAAGTGATGGCCCGCCTCGGCCTCCCTAAGTGCTGGGATTACAAGCGTGACCCACTGCGTCCGGTCGGGCCTGGCTTTTCTAAAGGAACGTATGCGTGCGGTTACGAGGAACCGTCGTTTCCCCAGCAGGGTGAGGCTGAGCGTGCACTTAACAGTCGCGAGGGCCACAGGCTCCTCTTGCAAGTAACTTAAGGTTAAGGAGCAACATCGTGGACAAATCGGCCTCGCCCAGCATTTCAGTGAGGGCTTGGTGCGAATTCCAGCCAGAGCCCTAGAAAGTATCTTGGGCAGGTCGAAATGCACCCCTCCAGCTCCCAGCCACGAGGGGACCGGCTTCCCTGTACGCAGCTCCGGCCAGAGGAGGCCGCCGCCGCCCCACCACGCCGCGGAGGGGTTTGCAGGGTCCCTTCCACGGCCTGGAGTTTTTCCTTTTCCCACGCCTGAGGAAGGCCTCGGGCGCGCGGAACAGACGGGCAGGCGGGGGGCGCACAAGCCCAGGGCACGATGGCAGCAGCGCTGGATCCGGCTGGGCGCTGCTCGGCCCCGTATCCGTCCGAGAGGACCGCCGCTGCCAGGCCTAGAGGAGACATGAAGAGACCGGGCGCAGCGCGACCCGGGAAGCTCCGCCGAGGTAGGAGAGGCGCCCGGCCAGCGGAGGGAGTTGGTCTCCCAACTCTCCGGAAGGAGGAGGAGCCGGCGCTGGAGCCGCCTTAGCCGCGGCTCCGCGGGCTGGGGGGAGGGAGAGGGGTTGAGTCAAGATGGCGGCCAAGGTGGCGAAGCAGCAGCCGCGGCGGCGGCGGCGGCTGGAGTGAGCGTCCGACTCGCCGCGCCGAACGAGGTCCCGGTGTAGGGCCGCGCGCCGTGGCCGCGTCCCACTCCTCAGGCCGGGGCGCACGTCGGCTCCCACGCTTAGCCAGCTCCCGGTGAGTAGGCCCTGGCGCCTGCAACCCCGGCCTCCGGGCTCCTGCTAGTCCGGGGGCTTCCGAGGGCTCCCGGGGCAGCAGCCGCTGGGACGGTTTCTCCGCCGGGCGGGGGGTGTCGCAGGCCTGGGCAGGTCGGGACCCGTCCTGGCCGCCTGGCCTCTTCCACTCGGCAGCCCAGGAGAGAGCCGGGCGCGGCGGGGAGCTCGGGCTGGGCTAGCGGAGGCTTATGGAGTTTGGAGGAAGAATGGGCTGTGGCCGGGCCGGGGCTGGCCCCGAGGTGTCCTGTGCGGAGGGGCGTGCGGAGCCTACAGGGCCTGCGAGGGAGAGCGGGCAGCCGGTGCCCCGGGTGGGGCCGGCGCAGGTGGCGGGCCTGGGCTCACTGAGGCGGAGTTGGTGGCCGACTTGGAAGTGTAGAAGGGGCTGCGGAGGTTGACAGCCATGGACAAGTGCGTGCAGAGTAAATTAGTTCACCTTTCTAACAGACCGCTTCAGGGTGTAATGGCGAAGGCTGGGTACTGGTGGAGATGGCAAAGATCCGAACACTATACCTTCTGCCGTTTATTGTTGGTGTTTTCTTAAGCGAAGTCCGTAAGTGCACCCCTTTTTGGGGAGAGAGGAATTTGAGAAACTGTAGTTGTGAAATCAGCCTTTATGGAGAGGAGACTGAATTCTTCAAATTAACTGGATCAGGAATAGTCATGTATTAAAGGAATGGATGGGAATAAGTGATATGGACGAAAACTATTTGCTCAGGAAGTGTCAGTTTTCTTTATGTGATGTTGCATGCTGCGGTGCCTCTTCCACAGAGTTAACCTTGGAGAGTAGTAGTATAGGTAATTCTAATCTTTGGGATTAGTATGTAAACCTGCATCAGATTTGCTTCTCTAATTATATCCTAATTATATTGAAATTTACATTCCTTGTGTGCACCCTGGTGAGGCAGTGATGGAAGGCTGAACATGGCACTGTGCAAGGAGCAACAGGCCCGGGATTTAAAAATGCCTACAAAGATTCATTCATTCGTTCAATATATCTTGATCAATAGCTGCTGATGCTGGGTCACATGTGATTGTCCTGTGGATAACTGAAGAGTTGATGGCATCGTTTAATTTTTAATAGCTTTTTAAAATGTTTTGATGTACCTTTTCATGAAGATATTTATTGGATGAACCAACTTGTACTTGCCCGGGCTCAGGAGCAGACCAATTTTAGAATGTTATTTAGACAAGGGTAACAATTACAGAAGAAGTAACCGCAAGTTACTGGAGAGAGAAATCTTGTATCTTTTTTTCTTTTTCTGTTAACATCCGGTGGAAGTTTATTTATTTGTTTTAATATTTATAGTACCCAGTTGCTTGGCCTTGCTTTAAGCACACCTGTTAATGGAAATCAAGATTAATTGTATATATGGATATAGCTATGTATAAAATGCTCACAGTAGGAACTGATTACTTACAATACTAAAATACTCTTTCCTTTTACAAAAGGCTTGCCATATGTTGAACTACTCCCCCGGAGAAAATATAATACAAAGTATCTTGATTCTTGCTCTAACTATGTGATTTTGGAACTTGATCAACCTTTCTGTGCTTCAGTTTCCTCATCTTGAATATTAGGTAAACATCTACTCTCCTAGGGTTGGCTGTTGTGAGCCTAAAGGGAGTTAATAGTTATAAAATTGTTTTAAACAGATTGAAGGGGTTATATTTCTGTGAGGTGGTAACAGCTCCCTCTGGGCTCCTGTAATGCTTTTTCTGCACATCTCTCGCGGCATTTACACTTTCTATCTTGTAGGTATTTATGTACCTATTTTATCTCTTGAGAGCAGGATAGGCCCTTCGCTGATTTTATCTTTTTTTTTTTTTTTTTTTTGAGACAGTCTTGCTCTGTCACCCAGGCTGGAGTGCAGTGGCGCAATCTCAGCTCATTGCAACCTCCGCCTCCGGGTTCAAGCAATTCTTCTGCCTCAGCCTCCCGAGTAGCTGGGACTACAGGCGCGTGCCACCATGCCTGGCTAATTTTTTTGTACTTTGAGTAGAGACGGGGTTTCACCGTGTTAGCCAGGATGGTCTCAATCTCCTGACCTCGTGATCCGCCTGCCTTGGCCTCCCAAAGTGCTGGGATTACAGGCGTGAGCCACCGTGCCTGGCTTATTTTTAATTGAATACTTGTTGGATTTAAAAAACAGTAAAATTTGTGTTTTGCCTATCCTCTTAATCAAAAAAGAATGAAATGATGGAAATTAACTTATAGGAAAGATTAGATTAGTTAATAACTTTTTTAAAGCTTTTTTTTTTTTTTTTTGGAGACAGGGTCTCTTTTGCCCAGGCTGAAATACAGTGGCTCGCTGCAGCCTTGACCTCTGGACTCAGGTGATCCTTCCACCTCAGCCTCCCAAGTCGCTGGGACTACAGGCACAGGCCACCACGCCTGGTTAATTTTTTTTTTTGTTTGTAGAGAAAGGGTTTGACCATGTTGTCTAGGCTGGTCTCGAGCTCCTGGGCTCAAGCGATCTGCCTGTCTCAGCCTCCCAAAGTGCTAGGATGATAGGGGTGAGCCACTGCACCCGGCCTTAAAAGCATTAAAAAAAATTGTGTTATGAATTGGTGAAATTTTCTTTTCTTACCTTTGTTATCTGCTGTAGAAGGCAAAGGCCTTTGGATAGACTGGGGGTTGATGTAGGTGAGTGTCAGGCTGTTTGTTTTTTAAAAAATATGTTTTGGTTATTTGGTTTTAATTGTATTCTGTGATCTATCTTAGTTGTAATTTCAAATTCTTCTTGATGCCTGGGAATGATGGAACTCTTGCATATTTAGTTCCATCTGTTCTTTTACTTAAGATACTGGATTTTACTAGACTATGATATAAAACAACTAGTAAAGATTGATCAGAATTTATTGTGTATAGTCTTATTTGTAGATTAGAGATTCATATATTTTTGTTTACTCACTTATATTCAACCAGTATGAGGTGCTTTTTATGTTCTGGCACACTACTAAATACTAGAAAGTTATAAAATATAGTCGAGCAGATCAGTTATATTCACAAATAACTCAGTCTATAGATTATCTTTTTTTTTTCTTTTTTTTTCCTTTGAGACAGGGTCTCGCTCTTGTCACCCAGGCTGGAGGGCAGTGGCGTGATCTCAGGCTCACTGCAACTTCAGCTTCCCAGGTTCAAGTGATTCTCCTGCCTCAGCCTCCTGAGTAGCTGGGATTACAGGCATGCGCCACCATGCCTGGCTAATTTTTGTATTTTTAGTAGAGACGTGTTGGTCAGGCTGGTCTTGAACTCCTGACCTCATGATCTACCCGCCTTGGCCTCCCAAAGTGCTGGGATTACAGGTGTGAGCCACTGTGCCCGGCCCTATAGATTATCTTATATTTGGTCCTTTTCAGGTTTGAGGATGCAAAAAATACATGTATACATGTAAATGGTTAAGAAAACATTTTGTTTCTTTTTCTATTAGCACTTTTTAAGAGCACTGGAAAACTATGAAAAGCTTCTGTAATGTAGTAATAACCGTATGTGGAGCATCTGTTTTTTATTTTGGTTTTCTTGTGGTGGCATTTTTCCTTGAACACTTATACTGTTCTTCTACCATTTTTTTCCTACCCCAGTAGCTTGTGTGGTCAAAATATTACTAGAATAGTCTTCAGATACAACCTATTTTTTTTTTCTTTGCATTTGAAAGTCTGAGACTGTATGAAACACTGCGAATGTTCCTATGGAGTTCTTCAGACAGTTTGCTTCTTCCGTATGTCCTGCTGTTACTTTTATTTAACAGCGATCTCAAAAACAACAAAATTGGTTAAAATAAAATGTTAATGGCAGGGCACAGTGGCTCATGCCTATAATCCTAGTACTTTGGGAGGCTGAGGTGATAGGACCACTTGAGGCCAGGAGTTTGAGACCAACCTGCACAACAGAGCGAGTCCCATCTCTACAAAAAAATTGAAAAATTAGCAGAGTGTGCTTGTGGTCCCAGCTACTTGGGAAGCTGAGCCTGGGAGGTTGAGGTTGCAGTGAGCCATGATCATGCCAGTGCACTCACTTCAGACTGGGTGACAGAGCAAGACTGTCTCTCAAAAAAAAAAATAAATAAAAATAAAATAAAAATAGCTAATTTATAGAATGTAGAGTCAGATTATCTAGTCTTGTTTTACTTTCGATAACACTGAAGGTCGGAGAAGTGAAGTGATTTACCTGCCTAAGTTGCTAAAGTTGGGCAATAGCAGAATCTAAGTCTTTTCGTATCTATTATAGTGTTCACTGTGTTACACTGTATCATCCATGGGATGAATCGATTTGATGATTGACACTTAAAAATCGGCCAGGCGCGGTGGCTCACACCTGTAATCTCAGCACTTTGGGAGGCCGAGGTGGGCGGATCATGAGGTCAGGAGATCGAGACCATCCTGGCCAACATGATGAAACCCTGTCTCTACTAAAAAAATACAAAAAATTAGCCGGGCATGATGGCACGCACCTGTAGTGCCAGCTACTCGGGAGGCTGAGGCAGGAGAATGGCGTGAACCCGGGAGGCGGAGCTTGCAGTAAGCCGAGATTGCGCCACTGCACTCCAGCCTGGGTGACTGAGTGAGACTCTGCCTCAAGAAAAAAAAAAAAAAATTGGAGTGAATAGGAAATGAGAGATTACTTTGGATATTTAGCTTAGGTATTGAATTTAAGATACTTCTTAATATTAAATTTTGGCAATGAAAATATAGTTTGAAAAAATTGATACTGATCTATGTCAGTGTTACAGTGATCACCAGGAATTATTTAGTTTGCTTAATTTTTAATCTGCTTTGATGAATAGCTTCTTAAACAAAAATGTCTTTGAGGTTATCTG
Source organism: Homo sapiens (assembly GCF_000001405.40). NCBI lineage: Eukaryota > Metazoa > Chordata > Mammalia > Primates > Hominidae > Homo > Homo sapiens. The sequence goes on along the minus strand of NC_000017.11, from coordinate 16,210,506 downwards.
GGTCCAGTGACACTTCATGGAATTTAAGTATTAATAGTGATGGAAATTTTATTATGCCAGTGGTTTAAATACCCCTGAGGCCCAAATAAATAGTTTAAATTATTATTATTACTATTATTTTTGAGGCAGCGTTTCACTCTTGTTGCCCAGGCTGGAGTGCAATGGCGCTGTCTCAGGTCACCATAACCTCTGCCTCCTGGGTTCAAGCAATTCTCCTGCGTCAGCCTCCCAAGTAGCTGGGATTACAGGCATGCACCACCACGCCCTGCTAATTTTGTATTTTTTAGTAGAGACAGGGTTTCTCCATATTGGTCAGGCTGATCTCGAACTCCTGACCTCAGGTGATCCTCCCGCCTCAGCCTCCCAAAGTGCTGGGATTACAGGCGTGAGCCACCACACCTGGCCTACAAATAGGTTAAATTATTTTATAAAATTAGCTGTTGCTTGTTTTGCCTACTCTCAGACTTCTGGATTTTTTTTTTAAGTATGAAGGATTTCAATTGTTATATTAATATAAAAGCTTAGATAAATAGCACAAACATGAACATTTTTTTTTTTGACAGAGTCTCACTCTATTGCCCAGGCTGGAGTACAGTGGCACAATCTCAGCTCACTGCAACCTCCACTTCTCAGGTTCAAGTGATTCTCGTTCTCAGCCTCCCAAGTAGCTGGGATTACAGGCATATGCCACCATGCCCCGCTAATTTTTGTGTTTTTAGTAGAGAAAGAGTTTCGCCATGTTGGCCAGGCTGATCTTGAACTCCTGACCTCAAGTGATCTGCCCGCCTTGGCCTCCCAAAGTGTTGGGATTACAGGCGTGAGCCATCGCACTTGGCCGAGTGTATTCTTTATGGTTTTTTTTTTTTTTTACATCCAAAAGCTTATTTGTAATATTCATTTTCTGTATGTATTCATGCTATAAAATTTATTTTATTTTAATTTTTTAAAAATAGAGATGGGGTCTGATTGTTTTGCCCAGCCTGGTCTTGAATTCTGGGCTCAAGTAATCCTCCCACCATGGCCTCCCAAAGTGCTGGGATTACAGGCATGAGCTACCATGCCTGGCCTATAAAATTTATTATAAAGGAAAAGGCATATTCTTATTAAGCTGATAATCTTTACATAAATACTGAAGCATGGCATATTTCTTTATTCTACTTGGGCTATTTTGTGTTGCATTAAGAAGAATTTTTTGTTTTTTTTTCTTGTTACTATGCTTGTTTCTGGAATACTCCTTTCCTCCCTTACTCTTCCAAACTCTACTACATCTAAATTTATCCTATTTTTCAAGGGTTTGATCACATATTACATCATCCAGGAAGTGTCTCTCCTATTCCCTCTTCTCCAAAATGTATATTTTTTATTCTGGGAACTCTTGATCCTTTGCCTCTAGACCGTAAGCCCTTTGTAGGCATGTCTGTATCTGAGTTTTTAAAAAATTTTTTCTTCTTTTCCCACTCCCAGAATAACACCCTGTGCCTAGCTCATAAAAATGAGCTTAGCAGCTAGAGTTAGTGTGGTTGCTGTAGAAGATCTCTGATACACATATGGCAGTTTGATGCTGAATAGTTTTTGGAAATTAAAAAACATGTAGAAATTTCACCAATGTCAGTGACTAACATAGCTGTAATTAGTAAATTATCAAAATATTTCTTTTTTTTTTCTTTTTTACAGAGGGTCTGTCTCTGGAGGCTTCAGGCTGGAGTGTAGTGGTGTGATCATAGTTCAATGCAGCCTCCGAGTCCTGGGCTCACGCGGTTCTTCTGAGTAGCTGGGACTACAGGTGTGTGCCACCACACCTGGTCAATTTTTTTATTTTGTAGAAACAGGGTCTCATTATGTTGCTCAGGCTGACCTCAAATTGCTGGGCTCAAGTGATCCTCCCACCTTGGCCTCCTGAAGTGCTGGGATTATAGGTGCGGGCCACTGAGCCCAGTTAAAAGCATTTCTTTAAAAAAGAAAAAAAAAATTCTGTTTATTGGAATTTTGGGGAGAAAGAGAAAGTAAACATGGGATTGGTTCATCCTAGACAGCACTCATGGTTCTAGATAATATTAGAATGCAATAATGTTTTAATTTTTATATGCAGGGAATTTTGGAGTAGTTTCAATCCTAGGAAAAAACTGTGAGTTAGAAATACAGAACGGTTGGCCAGGCATGGTGGCTCACGCCTGTAATCCCAGCACTTTGGGAGGCCAAGGCAGGTGGATCACGAGGTCAAGAGATCGAGACCATTCTGGCCAACGTGGTGAAACCCCATCTCTACTAAAAATACAAAAAAAAAAAAAAAAAAAAAAAAATAGCTGGGCATGGTGGCACGCGCCTGTAGTCCCAGCTACTCAGGAGGCTGAGGCAGGAGAATCGCTTGAACCTGGGAGGCAGAGGTTGCAGTGAACCGAGATTGCGCCACTACATTCCAGCCTAGCGACAGAGCGAGACTCCGTCTCAAAAAAAAAAAAAAAAAAAAAAAAGAAAGAAATATGGAACGGTTGGTTGATAGGATTATAATAGAATTCAGGACTCCCTTTGAAAGAATAATATCGACTAGTTTTATATAAAAAATTAAGTAGATTAGTCAGGAGTAAAGGAAAAGTCAAGAATCCTAACTTATTTGGATTTCTTTCCCCCATTACAGTGTACTCGAGGAACAAAATTTGGGCTGTTTGGCTGTTTTTATTCTTTGTTATACACAAATAAGCTGATATCAAAACCAAATATATTGAGGTTACATTTTTCTTTTCTTTTCTTTTCTTTTTTTTTTTTTTTTGGAGATGGAGTCTCGCTCTCACCCAGGCTGGAGTGCAGTGGCGCGGTCTCGGCTCATTGCAAGCTCCACCTCCCAGGTTCACACCATTCTCCTGCCTCAGCCTCCAGAGTAGCTGGGACTACAGGCGTCTGCCACCACGCCTGGCTAATTTTTTGTATTTTTAGTAGAGATGGGGTTTCACTGTGTTAGCCAGGATGGTCTCGATCTCCTGACCTCGTGATCCGCCTGCCTCGGCCTCCCAAAGTGCTGGGATTACAGGCGTGAGCCACTGCGCCCCGCCAAGATTACATTTTTCTAGGAAATTTTGACTCTTAGATTTATGATGAGAGTCACCTTTATGCTTATAGATTGCCCCTTTACCCCATACTTTGTTGAACTGACAGACATTCTTCTTGCCATTATCACTGTCATACACAGTTCACATTCAGAGTAATTTGTTTTAGGCAATTCATTTCCCCTGGCAATAACATAGAGATTTATGTAATTTTGAAAATGTTTGTTTTAAGTAGTCATCATCATGACTTTGAGTTTCTGTTCAAAGATGTTTAACTTTGCGTTACTTTTAAGATTTTTAAATTCATTTTTAATTACAATAACTTTTATGTATTTGGAGGTATTTGGAATGAAATCAAAACTTGTGCTATCTAGGAGTTATAACCTAAAATATGCAGAACGTAAATATACCTGATGTAAGAGTATATACATTCTGTTGGGGGGGAGGAAGAAGTTACTTTATATTCACACAAAATCATTATAATGCATGAAGGAGGATATGCTATTTTAAAATCTTATCTTTCACTAATTATAAGTAATACATTATTTTATATATATACCGAAATTGAAAGAACCACTTCTTGGATGTAATCTACTGAGTTTGTTGCATATTCTTCCAGTTTTCTTTTCTGTGTTTGTCTAATTTTCTATATTATGGGATCATAATGTACTATTCTTTTATATACTACTGTTCCAAGTTTGTCTATTTATTTCAGTTACCTCTATCAATCATTAACAGCAACTTAATATCCCATTTCTAGTACATGAAGATACCATAATTTGCCAGGCATGGTGACTCATGCCTGTTATCCCAGTACTTTGGGAGGCCGAGGCAGGTAGATCACCGGAGGTCAGGACTTCAAGACCAGCCTGGCCAACATGGTGAAACCCTATCTCTACTAAAAATACAAAAATTAGCCAGCCATGGTGGCATGTGCCTGTAATCCCAGCTACTCGGGAGGCTGAGGCAGGAGAATCACTTGAAACTGGGAGGTGGAGGTTGCAGTGAGCTGAGATCATGCCACTGGACTCCAGCCTGGGCGACAGAGTGAGACTCCGTTTCAAAAAAGAAAAGAAAATACTGTAATTTGCTTAATCAACTTACGGTCACTAGATTTTTTTTTTTTTTGGCCAGAAAAACAAAGCTGTAAACAATTGTGTGTGTGTGTGTGAATATTTATGCACATGTACATATGTATATGCATTTTGTGTACTTGTACAAACAGCTTTGTAGGATAGATTCCTAGAAGTGGAGTTGCTGAATCAAAAGATGTGAATAATGTAGATATGGATAGATATTTATACATTTTCCTTCCAAAAGATTGTTGTACCAATTTGTAAAGCTACCAGTAGTATTCAGGTATGCCCCATACTCTGGCCAATACTAGATATTACAGTTTAAAACATTTTGACAATTTAGGAACTGAAAAAATGTGATTCTGATTGGCCTTTTATCCATCAAGATTGAGGCTAAACATTTTTTACTATGGGGAGAGTTGTATTTCTTTCTTTCTTTTTTTTTTTTTTTTGAGACGGAGTATCGCTCTTGTTGCCCAGGCTAGAGTGCAATGGCTTGATCTCAGCTCACCACAACCTCTGCCTCCTGGGTTCAAGCGATTCTCCTGCCTCAGCCTCCCTAGTAGCTGGGATTACAGGCATGCACCACCACTCCCAGCTAATTTTGTATTTTTAGTAGAGACAGGGTTTCTCTGTGTTGGCCAGGCTGGTCTCGAACTCTCGACCTCAGGTGATCCACCCACCTTGGCCTCCCAAAGTGCTGGGATTACAGGCATGAGCCACTGCGCCCAACCTTTTTTTTTTTTCTTCTTTTCTTTTCTTTTCTTTTAGACAGAGCCTCGCTCTTGTTGCCCAGGCTGGAGTGCAGTGGCACAATCTCAGCTCACTGCAACCTCCGCCTCCCAGGTTCAAGCGATTCCCCTGCCTCAGCCTTCCAAGTAGCTGGGATTACAGGCGTCTGCCACCACGCCTGGCTAATTTATATATTTAGTAGAGATGGGGTTTCACCATGTTAGTCAGGCTGGTCTCGAACTCCTGACCTCACGTGATCCACCCACCTCGGCCTCCCGAAGTGCTGGGATTACAGGCATGCATCACTGAGCCCGGCCATGTGTCTTTTATAAATTGCCTACTTTTGTTCTTTGGTTATTTCCTGATGGGGTTATTGCGTTTTAACAGGTTAAAAAGTTCTCTACATACTCACTTTTTTCTTTCTTTTTTTTTTTTGTGAGACAGAGTTTTGCTCTTGTTGCACAGGCTGGATTGCAATGGCAGGATTTCAGCTCACCTCAATCTCTGCCTCCTGGGTTCAAGTGATTCTCCTGCCTTAGCCTCCTGAGTAGCTGGGATTACAGGCCTGCACCACCATGCCTGGCTAATTTTGTATTTTTACTACAGATGGGGTTTCTCCTTGTTGGTCAGGCTGGTCTGAAACTCCCGACTTCAGGTGATCCACCCGCCTGGGCCTCCCAAAGCGTTGGGATCACAGGCGTGAGCCAACGCGCCTGGCCTCACTCACTTTATTCATGTGTGTGCACATATCCCCCTAGCTATTCTTTTGTAATGTTATGTAGTCAGATATATCCAAACCCAGCACCATGCTGCTGTGGGACCTTGGGCACATTATTTAATCTCTGTACACCTTAATTTCCTTATTTGTAAAATGGAGATAATGTAAATAGCATTAGGCATAGTGGCTGGCACAAAGTAAGTAAATAATAAATGTTAGCTGTGACTCTTATTAGTCTATTTATGTGACTTTTGTGTTTTGTGCTCTACTTAAGACTTTCCTTACTCCAAAATGTAAAATATTCACCTATCTACTAAACTAGAAAAACAAAGCGAGGAACATTATATGCCTCTATGTGTCTTTGCTTTAAAGATGAAAAACAATGTATACATGTTTGCTTGTATATCGCAGGATATATGATACTTGGAAACATTGGTTGTCATAGTAAGAAGAATGAGTGAGAGGAAGACTTTTTAACTGCATGCCTTTTTGTATTTTTAAAACAAAGGAGTCCCCAGGTTGTAATTTAATACTTCAGTGGTTTCTTTTTCTCCTTTTCCTTCTCTTTTTAAAACTTCTAATTCTTTGATCCATCTGGAATTTATTTCTGGTATAAGAAGTGAGACATATTTTGGGGGATAAAATTGTGTGTGAATTCTACCCTAACTAGCTAGTTGTGTCAGCACCATTTAGTGAATAATCTGTTTTTTGCCCCACTATTAGAATTGCAGCTTTTGTCATTTACTAAATGTGTTTGGGACTATTTCTGATTGGTCTTGTTATTTTATTTTGATCTCTTGTGTATTATTTTATTTTGATCTCTTATTATTTTATTTTGATCTCTTTGATTACCATATACTTTAAATTACTATCATTTTATAATTTTAATACAGATGGGGTTAGTTACCTGTTCATTACTCTTTTTTTCAGACTTTGACAATTCTGGTCTATGTGTTCTTCTAGATGAACTTTAGAATCATTCTGTGACATTCAAAAAGAAATCATAGAGATTTTTATTGAATGCTGAATATTGATTGGGAATACTGAAATTGTAGGTGAAGTTTGGGGAAATTGACATCTTTATATACTTTCTGTCCTGTGTTCAAATAGATTTTTATGTCCCTCAATAGATTTTCACACTTTGCTTCAAATAAGTCCTGTACAGATAAGTCTCGTATATTCGTATATTTCTTATTTCTTTTAAAAAAATTAGACCCATGAATGGGAGTTTGTTTGTTTATTTTATTCAACAAATATTGTAGAGAATCAAACAGGTAGTTTTTATTCTAGTGAGGGAAGACAGAATATACTTAAATAAAATGAAGTACGTAATCCATTTCAGATTATGATAAACCTATAAAGGAACAAAAAGGGTGATGTGATTGAGAGTAACTTGTGGGAGCTTACCTTATATGTAGCGTGGTTAGAAAGACTCTTCTGAGATGACATTTGAACTGAGACCTTAAGTTTGAGGAGGAGCTAGCCACCTGAATGAGCCAGGAACAGCTTTCCTGGCAGAGAGTAAAGGACAAAGACCCAGTTAGGAAGGACCTGGCAGAGAAGGGCTCCTGAAGAAACTGAAAGGAAACTCATGTTGCTGGGGCCTAGTGAGCAATCTGGAAAGTAAGCAGGCCAAATCAAGTAGGGCCTTGGGTCATCGTAAGTACTTGAGACTTTATTTGCGGTGCGTAGGAAATCCTTGGGGAATCTGAAGCAGGAGAGTGACATGTTCTGATTTAAGGTTTAAAAAGAACACTTGGCTTTTTGAGTTGAGAAAGTATTGAAGTGGGAAGCCCAGTTAGGAGTTTTTTTGCAGCAAGAGGTAAGGATGGTGGTAGTTAGATGGAGAGGCCTGGGAAGCTTCAGAGTGTGTGTGTGTGTGTGTGTGTGTGTGTGTGTAAGGAACAGCTAAACAACTTGCTGTTGGAGTGGGTGTTACTGAGAGCTAAGTACTGCTAGCTGCTGCAGAGGCCATGTAGAGCAGAACAGAGCTGATCTTTACCTTCACAGGTGTTTGATAGTTCTGTTTGTTTCTAAGGTGTGTACCAAAATAAAGTAGGCTAAGAGCATTTGACTTTAAGATTTATGGAGCTCGGGGGTGCTGAGAGGGGTGCAGCAAAAAACAGAGTCTGTTCATAACCCTTGATTAACCTGTAGTCTCTGTTAGTGGGTCAAAGGGGAGGCAGCAGCAGATGATCTTTAAGGTATCTGTCTCTGAGTTAGAAAAACATAGCTTGAGGAAGTTATGTAGCTTTCCTACAGCCTTAGAGATAATAGTGGAACCAGACTTTTAGGTGAGCTCACGCACACACCAAGTCTTAGTACACTGGCTAGTATATATCTAGAGCTCAGTAAATGGTAACTCTTTTAGTAATATCCACTTAGACATTGTTATATCTATTAATTCAGGCCAAATATCTACATTAAAATTGTTCTTATCTCAATTTCTTTGTTCTTCTTTTGTGTTAATCAAGGAGGGAATTGGCATGTAGTCATCCACTTTGGTTGTGAAGTATATTTGTTCTTTTTTTTTTTTTTTGAGATGAAGTCTTGCTCTGTCGTCCAGCCTGGAGTGCAGGGGTGCGATCTCGGCTCACTGCAACCTCTGCCTCCCAGGTTCAAGTGATTCTCGTGTCTCAGCCTCCTGAGTAGCTGGGATTACAGGTGCGCACCACCACGCCTGGCTAATTTTTTGTATTTTTTTTTTTTTTTTTTTGAGATGGAGTCTCGCCCTTTTGCCCAGGCTGGAACGCAGTGGTGCAATCTCTGCTCACTGCAGCCTCTGCCTCCCGGGTTCAAGCGATTCTCCTGCCCCAGCCTCCCAAGTAGCTGGGATTACAGGCGTGCGCCACTACGCCCCGCTAATTTTTGTATTTTTGGTAGAGATGGGGTTTCACATGTTGGTCAGGCTGGTCTTGAACTCTTGACCTCATGATCCTCCTGCCTCAGCCTCCCAAAGTGCTGGAATGACAGGCGTGAGCCACCGCGCCCAGCCGTATTTTTTGTATTTTTAGTAGAGACGAGGTTTTGCCAGGTTGGCCAGACTGGCCTTGAACTCCTGACCTCAAGTGATCCACCTGCCTCTGCCTCCCAAAGTGCTGGGATTACAGACGTGAGCCACCGCGCTTGGCTGGCTTTGAAATATGTTTGTTCTTATAAGTTGAGTGAGTGAGTGAGTGTTGTTCAGTTCAGAGAATTAGTTCAATGTAGTGTCGACATACCACAGAGTTTTCAGTTGGATATTGTTACATTGTACTGCTGTCTTGGGACAGCACTTTTTGTAGAGGTAAAATAGCATCATTTTTCTTTCATTTAAGAATTATGTATTTATTATTATTTTTTGAGATAGAGTCTTGTTCTCTTGCTCAGGCTGGAGTGCAGTGGCATGATCTTGTCTCACTGCAACCTCTGCCTCCTGAGTTCAAGTGATTCTCTTGCTCAGCCTCCTGAGTAGCTGGGATTACAGACATGTGTCACCATGCCCGGTTAGTTTTTGTATTTTTAGTGTAGACGGGGTTTTGTTTTTTTGGCCAGGCTGGTCTCAAACTCTTGGCTTCTAGTGATCCACTTGCCTCGGCCTCCCAAAGTGCTGGGATTACAGGCGTGAGCCACTGTGCCTGGCCAGAATTACTTATTGAGTATGTGTACCCATAGATTTATCAAATAATTATATCCTTATTAAAATTTTTCTTTCAATATCATACTTTATAAGAGGTAGGATAGGTTAACTAAAAAGCTTTTTCTTTAGCTTCTATTTGTTTCTCTGTCTTTAAGTAAGATGTCATGATGTCAAAAGAGGCTGCAAATAAAATACCTTGTTAATGGCATTCTCCCAGATTGGATCTTAACCAAAAGGCTGAGAAGCAGTAGCTTTTTTTTCCCCCCAAAGGGAAGAATGCTTTAGTTTATTTTACAAGAGAAAATTTATTACAGTATAGCACCACTCTGGTCTTGTACAAATTACAGAATTCACTTAGATAATTTCTAGTCTTTCCTCTCCTGCATGCTGGGCTCTGTAATAAGTTTAGGAGGTCGGCTTTCTTTAAATTATCCCCAGGTTGGAGGATTTTGGGTGTTGGGATGCCCAGGGTGGTGGTCCTTCTTAGCTTTGTCTTGCCTAACATACTTTTAGAATTGGTGTAGAGCTGGACAGCTTTGTGGGAACTGGTGTGACCTAATTTTCCTCAGTTTAATAACTAATATTTTAGCATTTGAATGTCATAAAGGCATTGCCCTACCCCATACTTTTGTATCAGTAGGTTTTATTATTTTATCACGTAAAAATTACATATTTTGTGGGATCCTTTTTCTGCTTTGGTGAAATGTAGGCTTCACCTCTATTGTGACGCTTGGTGGATTCATTCTTGCTCATCTGAAGTGGCATCTGCAGTCCTGCCACAGTGAAGTATATTTTTAGCTTTTTTTTTTTTTTTTTTTTTTTTTTGAGATGGAGTCTCGCTCTGTTGTCAAGCTGGAGTGCAGTGGCACGATGCCAGCTCACTACAACCTCCGCTTCCCAGATTCAAGCGATTCCCCTGCCTCAGCCTCTCGAGTAGCTGGGACTATAGGTGTGCACCACCATGTCCGGCTAATTTTTTTTTTTGTGGGTGTGTTTTAGTAGAGATGGAGTTTTACCACGTTGGCCAGGATGGTCTTGATCTCCTGACCTTGTGATCCGCCGGCCTTGGCTTCCCAAAGTGCTGGGATTACAGGTGTGAGCCACTGTGCCTGGCCATTTTTAGCTTTTTTTCCAAGATAGCTTAGGCCACCTTGAACACCTTTGCATAACACATTTTGGTTATGCAAAAATTGTGGGCCAAAAGCCAGGAGTTCCTGCTGAGAGGAAAAATTGCTTTTTTTTTTGGCAGGATAGTATTTGAAATTTTGTTGTTGCAAGATTTTCCTGTTGAGTAAATATGTGTGCGTTTATTTAATATGAGAGGATTTAAAAAGGAACTTAAATAGATCAATTTCATTTTGCAATATTGTATTACCTGTTTGCAATATATAAGAGGCTAGTTCTGGGTTTATCTGTATAATTCAGTTAGAAGTGCTGTTGTCTTTTATGACAGTGACATATAATTATTACTATATTATTCCCATCCTAAAACATTATATGTTGATATTTAAGAGATGAGGAAGTTGCTTATAAAATCTCGATCAGATTTCTTAAACAATTCGTAGAATTTTTTCAGTTCATGAGTCAACCATGTAACTACCCTGAGTTAATGAGTTTTGGTGCTAAGAACTGAAATTATAATTTGATACTGCCACTTAAGGTGCTCCCTTCCCCTTCAGTCTGAACTTTAAACTAGATTCTTTTATTTCAGTGGGTTTCAAATGTAAAGTATTCTGCCGAGGTATCTTAGTGAGCCAGGACTAGAGTGAAGGGTGGAGGGAAGGATGGGAAAGGGCAGGGGGAGACTGAAAAGATGAATCCTAGGTCTCCCATTCTTACTAGATCGGAATGTTTCTCCATTGTATCTTTTGTACATTTAGCTTTCATTTAAGACTTTTGAGGAAAACATTCTGGTTAAAAAACAAAATCTGAGCACTGTTGCCGTGTATCTCATGGATAAGTTTTGAGGAAGGAGGTTGTCGTGGTCTCCAGGCTGCAGTTCATGCGAGGACAGGAAGGGCTTGCTTTGACCTGTAAATTTGTATGCTAGTAGGGGCTAATTTCCTGATTTTGCTAGTGTGTGTGTGTGTGTGTGTGTGTGTGTTTTTTTTTTTTTCCTTCTGTATTGGGCGGATAGTACTTTTAAAGAAAACTGACTTTTTTTTTTTTTGAGATAATAAAGTTAAACTTCACTAAAGTCATACCACAAAACGGACAAGGAAGGATTACTGAGATGAGGGAAAAAATGGACAAGTCACTTAACTTGTGACTTTGAGTGACATTGAGTGTAATTGTTGAACTCAGGACTCACCATAGCTGAAAGTTAAACAATGTGCATTAAAAAATTGTACCTCATGGGTTTCTAATCATTTAGGCCACTGTTAGAAAAAAATTGGATGACCCTGGGTTAAAATCTTTTTTTTTGCCTCTTCATTCCATTTATAGCTTTATTTATTTGGGATATCTGAGTTGGGAGGAGAGTGCAGAGATAGATAACTTAAAGCATGTTTTAGGACAGCAGATCAGAATTAGTTGGAAAACTTTTACAAAATGCATGAATGTTCATATAGTGAAATACTCTTTTTTTTTTTTTTTTGACAGAGTTTCACTCTTGTTGCCCAGGCTGGAGTGCAATGGCACGATCTCGGCTCACCGCAACCTCTGCCTCTTGGGTTCAAGCGATTCTCCTGCCTCAGCCTCTCGAGTAGCTGGGATTACAGGCATGTGCCACCACGCCTGGCTAATTTTTATATTTTCAGTAGAGACGGGGTTTCACCATGTTGGTCAGGCTGGTCTCGAACTCTCAACCTCAGGTGATCCACCCGCCTCAGCCTCCCAAAGTGCTGGGATTACAGGTGTGAGCCACCGCACCCGGCCCATATAGAGAAATACTGTTTAGCAATAGAAAGAACCATAAATTGATGAGAATAATTGCCAAGATGTTTTTTTTTTTTTTTTTTTTTGAGACGGAGTCTCACTCTGTTGCCCAGGCTAGAGGGTAGTGGCGCAATCTCGGCTCACTGCAAGCTCTGCCTCCTGGGTTCATGCCATTCTCCCGCCTCAGCCTCCTGAGTAGCTGGAACTACAGGCGCCCGCCACCATGCTTGGCTAATTTTTTTGTATTTTTAGTAGAGATGGGGTTTCACCGTGTTAGCCAGGATGATCTCGATCTCCTGACCTCGTGATCCGCCCGCCTTGGCCTCCCACAGTGCTGGGATTACAGGTGTGAGCCACCGCGCCTGGCCAACCAAGATGTATTAAGTAATAAAAGCAAGATACAGAACAGTGTGTTTCTAGTATGCCACCATTTACATAGGGGAAAAAGTGTGAGTGTATGTATGTGTAGGATATTTCTAAAGGACACTCTAGAAACTAGTAACTTTGGTTGCCTTCTGGGAGTGTAACTGGGTAGCAGCTGGAGAAGAAGGGCGAGGAGATTTTTCGCTTTATATTCTGCGGTACTTTTTCTTAAGTCCTACATATAATATTTATTTCCAAAAAGATCAACCCTCCTCACGATGCCACATGCTGGCTTTTCCCCTTCCACCTGGAGCAGTTGCAGGTGTATGGATGAGGAGAAAGCTCCTCAGGTGGTTTTAATGTGTGCTCTCACTGAACATCTCAGCTCCTCCTAGTTCACTGCTTGCTGAGAAAGCTGCAAAGCATTGCAGAAAACATTAGTTTTTCCCATTTTGCCACAATTTTGTGATATTAGAGGAATTATTGACTTTCTCTGATCTTCAGATTTCTCACCTGTCAAATCAGTGTTAGTTGGGTAATCTCAACCTTACAATCCTTAAGATTTGCTGATCTCCATGCCTCAGGAAGGGAGCAGGGAAAAAACAGGCTGAGGGTCAGCTGGTCAGTCTTCTGACTCTTCTCCTGGTCAGCTTTCACAACAGCAGGAAACATGACATCAGGAGGAGGATGGTATATTTATTTAAAATATTTATATATTACATGGTACCACATAGTTTTTAAAGTTCTTTTTTTTTTTTTGGAGACGGAGTCTGGACCCCTCACCCAGGCTGGAGTGCAGTGGTGCCATCTTGGCTCACTGCAACCTCTGCCTCTCAGCTTCAAGTGATTCTCCTGCCTCAGCCTCCCGAGCAGCTGGGTTTACAGGCACGCGCCACCATGCGTGGCTAATTTTTTGTATCTTTAGTAGAGACCAGGTTTCACCATGCTGGCCAGGCTGTCCTTGAACTCCTGACCTCGTGATCTGCCTGCGCTGGCCTCCTAAAGTGCGTGAGCCACCGCGCCCGGCCTTAAAGTTCTTTCTATACGTTTTTCTTTTATTTTTTGAGTCAGAGTTTCATTGTATCACCCAGGCTGGAGTGCAGTGGCACAATCACGGCTCACTGCAGTCTTGACCTCCTGGGCTCAAGTGATCCTCCTGCTTCAGCCTCCCAGGTAGCTGGGACCATGGGTGTGTACCGCCATGCCTGACTAATTATTTTTTTCTTTTTTTTTTCTTTTCTTTTTTTTTTTTTTTTGAGACAGAGTCTTGCTCTGTTGCCCAGGCTGGCATGCAGTGGCCCGATCTTGGCTCACGGCAAGCTCCGCCTCCCGGGTTCACGCCATTCTCCTGCCTCAGTCTCCCCAGTAGCTGGGACTACAGGCACCCGCCACCACGCCCTGCTACTTTTTTGTATTTTTAGTAGAGACAGGGTTTCACCGCGTTAGCCAGGATGGTCTCGATCTCCTGACCTCATGATCCACCCGCCTTGGCCTCCCAAAGTGCTGGGACTACAGGCATGAGCCACCACGCCCAGCCGCCTGACTAATTGTTATTATTATTATTTTAATTTTCTTGTAGACATAGGTCTGGCTTCATTGCCCAGACTGGTCTTGAACGCCTGGCCTTAGGAGATCCTCTGATCTTGACTTCCCAAAGTGCTGGGATTACAGGTGTGAGCCACTGTGGCCAGCCTATAAGTTTTATTTTAAAGTTAGATTGAATGACAATTCCCTAAAAAATTTTATTTTTTAAACCTAACTGGATAAAGAATATATTGATAAAAACTGGGAAATTGATCAAGTTGTCACAGTGAATTATTTTTCGAATTTGCCCTCTTCCCAAATCCCTTGAAATGATGGAAACAAAATTAAAACTTTACTAATAAAATACTAAATGTGTGGAGATTTTATATATATAAAATTATATATGTTATATTTTTATATATACAATTATATAATTTTCATCATATATAAATTCTATTTTTTAAAACCACCCAATTAGGTAATAATAGAACTCCTGTCTTAAAGTAAGAGAGTATGCACACACATGCACGTGTGTATATGTGTATATAAAATTTTTGTCATGGGAGTTTTATATATAATTAAGATAGAAATTATATATTATGGCACACATTTTTATACATATGTAATATTCTCTATCATATGTATGTAAAATACATATTAATTATGTATAACATAAACATTTGTGCTATCCTGAAACATAAACATAGATAATCATGTTTTAGGATGGGAATACTCAGGAGTATAACAGTACCTGTTCTCCCATTAGTCAGTCTGTAAATTCAGTATTTATGTGTTCTCATCCAGAATTCTCTGGGACCTGACAAGCTGACTCTGATGCTTGTGTGTAAGAGGAAATGTGCTAGAATAGCTGGGAAGGCGGTGAAAGTAGCAGCAACAGCAAAGCACAATGAGGTGAAACTTGTCCTGCTGGATATGAAACCTCATAATACTAGAGTAATTTGAAAAGTGTGGCATTGGCACAAGAAAAGACAGATAAATCAAATTAGTCTAGAATTGTGGATAAGTAGGAATATACTTTATAATGAAGATGGCTTTGTTTTTCTTTCTTTCTTTCTTTTTTTTTTTGAGACGGAGTCTTGCTCTGTTGCCCCGGCTGGCGTGCAATGGCGTGATCTCGGCTCACTGCAACCTCCGCCTTCCAGGCTCAAGCGATTCTCCTGCCTCAGCCTCCCAAGTAGCTGGGATTACAGACGCATGTCACCGTGCCCGGCTAATTTTTGTATTTTTAGTAGAAAAGAAGTTTCACCATGTTGGCCAGGCTGGTCTCGAACTTCTGACCTCAAGTGATCCACCTACCTCAGCCTCCCAGAGTGCTGGGATTACAGGAGTAGCCACCGCTCCTGGCCTTCTTTTTCTTTATTTGCTATTTCAGGTCCATAGAAGCATGCAAAGAGTAATATAACAAATGTCCATCTACCTACCATCTGTGATTACAAAACTTAGTATTTTATCATCCTTGCTTCAGAATTATTTAATAAAGACAATACTTCCCTCTGCACAAATGCTTACCTTAAAACTACTCTTGAATTCTTTTCGCAATTGACTTATCAACTCCCAAATTTAAAACCATGTATTTTTGTCTTTATATTTCTCAGACATTTATAGAAAGATATTTACTGAGCAGTTATTATGTGCCAGATCTTATGCTGTTTTTATATACTGTTTTTACTTTATATAACTAATTATATTATTTGTCACATATTAACCTATTTTAAGTATAAAAAGAAATGATGCATTAATGTTTTCAAACCTTGGTAACTTTTATTAAGTAAATACATGAGAGGAAGCTTTTACTGGTAATTGTGGTTTTATTTATGTAGCTATAGTTATAATTTATTAGAAGTACACTTGGTGTTTTAGTTCTTACTAATTCTGTTTTTTTCTCATCCTGTTTAGGTGGTTTCCTAGAAACATGATTGTTTATTGGCATTGATCTCACAGTCTGGTGAGGACTTCTTTACTGATAATGTCAAGTTCAGGTTATCCTCCCAACCAAGGAGCATTCAGCACAGAACAAAGTCGTTATCCTCCTCACTCTGTCCAGTATACATTTCCCAACACCCGCCACCAGCAGGTAAGGAACAGATAGTATGCAAATTGCACATGTTTTTTGTGTTTTTCTTTACTTTTCCTATTTAATACACATGTGGGACAGAAACCACCAAATTTATCTTTTTTTTTTTTAAGTTGCAAGAGCTATTTACAAAGACAAGGAACCAAAGATTGGGAATTAATTATTTCTGTCTTACTGTGGCTTTATGCTGATTTCAGGAGTTGAACTTGTCTTTGCTTTTCATGATAGGAGTTGATGATAAATAGAAAACTTACCAATTCTCTAGAATTTCTGGGGTAAGACCTATATTTATACTCCCAAGTTGTGGCTGAGTTTTAAGCTGGCCAGATAACTTGGCATGTCTTGGGTGAGGGCCAAGATAAAGACCTCTCTCTTTTTAAGAAATTGATGGTAGGAAGATTTGTATAGTAGGTAGGAAGGAAGGGATGGTAGTTAGGAAGGAAGACTTTATCATAGGAAGAGTTTGTAAGAGATTGATTTACCTTGTGAAAAATAAAGTATGAGGTGAAATAATCATATCAGAGTAGACCAAGGTTATGGGTGTAAGAGGTTTAAAGAAAAATAGGAAAGGATGGGATAAAACGGTCCTCTCAGAGACTAAGAAAGCAGATTTGTCATCAGAATGTACTACAGGGTCCTCCTGAGGACTCCTTTGAAGTGCAGTCATGATTACAGAGTTAGAATGGACATTCTTACGTTGTTCCTGTGTAGGGAGGCATTTAGTCTTTCACCATTATTACATGTAATGTTAGTTGCACGTTTTTGTTGATGCCTTTTTTGGTTGAAGAGGTTGCTTTCTGTTCCTAGTTTGAGAATTTCTGTCATGATTGGGTGTTGAATTTTGCTTGTGTTGTCCCCCTACCCCAGTGTTATTCATCCGATTACCAATTTTCTGGATTATTGTTGCTGCTGGTTTTTTAAAAAAATCAGGCCGGGCGCGGTGGCTCATGCCTGTAATCCCAGCATTTTGGGAGGCTGAGGTGGGTGGATCACTTGAGGTCAGGAGTTTGAGACCAGCCTGGCCAACATGGTGAAACCCCATCTCTACTAAAAATACGAAAAAAGTAGCCAGGCATCGTGGCAGGCATCTGTAATCCTAGCCACTCGGGAGGCTGAGGCTGGAGAATCGCTTGAACCTGGGAGGCAGAGGTTGCAGTGAGCCAAAATTGCGCCGTTGCACTCCAGCCTGGGCAACAAGAGTGAAACCCCATCTTAAAAAAAACAAAATTAACTTTGCAGTTTAGTTTATATATATACACATATATCTATATTAGAATGCACTCATTATATGTGTACATTGTAACAAATTTTGACAAAGTCATAAACTCATACAACCATCATGAAAATGAAGATGAACAACATTTCTAACACTCTAGGACGTTCTTTGGCACCCCATCCTCCTTGGCACCCACCCGTGTCAGTCCTCCTCCCCGACTTCCTACTAACCTCAGCTCCTAGGAAACCACTGATCTGCTTTCTATCATAATACATTGTATACGTTCTGAGCTTCATGGGAACTATTCTGTCTATGGCCTCTTTTGCTTCCCATAATACTTCTGTGATCTATCCATGTCTGACATGTCTTAGTTCATTCCTTTTTATTGTTGAGTATGGGTATACCACAATTTGTTTATCCAATCACCTATTCCAGTTTTTGATTATTATAAGTAAAATTACTTAGAAAACATATATCTATATGTTTGTTGTATGTAAATTATTAAAGGAAGTATTGCCTCATTTTCTTAACAGCATCCTTTGGAGAGCGTACATTTTTTATTTTTATCAAGTCCGATATACTTTTTTTTTGAGATGGAGTTTTGCTCTGTCACCCAGGCTGGAGTGCTATGGTGCCATCTGAGCTCACTGCATCCTCTGCCTCCTGGGTTCAAGCAATTCTCCTGTCTCAGCCTCCCGAGTAGCTGGAATTACAGGCGTGTGCCGCCACACCCAGGTAATTTTTGTATTTTTAGTAGAGATGGCGTTTCACCATGTTGGACAGGCTGGTCTTGAACTCCTGACCTCAGGTGATCCACCCTCCTCGGCCTTCCAAAGCGCTGGGATTACAGGCGTGAGCCACTGTGCCCGGCCCCAGCTAATTTTTTGTATTTTTAGTAGGGACAAGTTTTCGCTATGTTGGCCAGGCTGGTCTCGAACTCCTGGCCTCAAGTGATCTGCCTGCCTCGGCGTCCCAAAGTGTGGGGCTTTCAGGTGTGAGCCACTGTGTCTGGTCTCCTCTGGTTACTTTTTAAGAGTTTTCTCTTTATCATTGATTTTCAGCAATTTGGGTATGGGTTTTTTTTTTTTTTTTAAACGAAGATGGTGCCTTGCTATGTTGCCTAGGCTGGAGTGCAGTGGTTTTCATAGGTGCATTCCCACTACTGGTCAGCACAGGAGTTGTGACCTGCTCCATTTTTTTTGTTTTTTTTTTGTAACCTGGGTGGGTTCATCCCTCCTTAGGCAACCTGGTAGTCCTCCTGCTTCTGGGACGTCATCATATAAATGCTGAACTTAGTGTAGACATCTGATTGGCATAGCCCAGAGCTGTAGCCTAGAACTATTGGGCTCAAGGGATCCTCTTGCCTCAGCCTCCCAAGTAGATGGGAATACAGGTGTGAGTCACGACGCCTGGCTGTTGTGCTTTTTGAATGAATACATTATTGTCCCTGGCATTCACCAAGCTTCCTGATTCTGTGGATTTACAATTTTCATAAAATTTGAGCAGTTTGGGGCCATTGTTTTTTTCAAATATTTTTTCCTGTCTCCTTTTCCCCTAGTTTCTGTCTGGGACTCCAATTACTCATGTTGCATGTTATTCCACAGTTCACTGGACCTCTGTTCACTTTTTTTCCCTGTTTTTATTTTATTTTTTTTAAATCCATTAGCTTCATTTTGCTATGGTATCATAGTCAGTGATCCTTTCTTCTGTACTTTTCAACCTGTTGTTAATTTTATCCAGTGACATTTTTATTGCAGATGGATTTCATTTTTGATGAGAATATGAACATTGTGAGTTTCATACTTTTTTTACTGCTGGCCTTTGTTATATTCCTGTAAAGAGAGATGAAGTCCTTCTGGTAGGAAATTAAGTTACTTTTGAGGCTTGTTTTTAAACTGTTAGGGCAGGTCTAGAGTGGTCTTTATTCTAATTTATCCCCCACTTCTAAGCTTGTCTCCTAGGGTTTCTGTTGAATGTCCCGTGTATTCAGTGGGATTTCCTCACTCTTGCTGGAAGAAATTTGAATGAGTTCTTGCCCTGAGTGAGCTCAGGGAATTGTTTGCTTTATAGTTGCTTCTAATTGTTCTATCATCAGAAATTATTTTTAGCCCAGCCTGTGATATTTCTCCTTATTCATTTACAGACTAGAATTCAGGCATAGGCTTAAGGGATCCCAAATTCAGAGTTTAGGAAATCTTTCTCTTTGAAACTAACTTCTGGAAGTTCAGTTCCTATGGCTTATCCAAACCTTGTACGGTTGCTTCTTCAACGACTGTGATTGTGGGACATGATTTAGGTTCCCTTCCCATGGCTGCAGTTTGGAAATTGCCTTTAGGCAGAGGGCCTAGAGTATGGTAGGTAGGGCTTACCTCATTTGCTTCATTTCTCTCAGCGATCAAGCCCTCTGCTGCCTATTATTCAGTTTCTGAAAATAGTTTCTACATTTCTTTGAATTTTTTAGCTGTTGACTGTGGGAAGGTAATTCTGAGCAGTGTTACCTGCTTATACCTGGAAGCTGCAGTACACTGTTGTTACTTTTATTTCACTCCTTACTCTTAATTTTTCTTGCTGGGTACGTCCTTTAGAAATTCTTTCAGGGAGTGTTGGCTGGGCGTGGTAGCTCATGCCTGTAATCCCAGCACTTTGGGAGGCTGAGGCGGGCAGATCATGAGGTCAGGAGATCGAGATCATCTTGGCTAACACGGTGAAACTCCGTCTCTACTAAAAATACAAAAAAAAAAAAAATAGCTGGGTGTGGTGTTGGGCGCCTGTAGTTCCAGCTGCTTGGGAGGCTGAGGCAGGAGAATGGCGTGAACCCGGGAGGCGGAGCTTGCAGTGAGCCTAGATCGTGCCGCTGCACTCCAGCCTGGGCAACAGAGCGAGACTCCTCAAAAAAAAAAAGAAATTCTTTCAGAGAGCGTCTGTGGTTGGTATATTATTTGAGTTCTTAAATTCTCAAAAGTTAGTAGCCTTAAAACTTCAGTGATGGTTTATTTTTTATTTCATTTTATTTTTAGAGACAAGGTTTCACTCTATCACCCAGGCTGAAATGCAGTGACGCAGTCATAGCTCACTGTAACCTTGAGCTCCTGGGCTCAAGTGATCCTCTCACCTCAGCCTCATGAGTAGCTGGGACTATAGGTTTGAACCACCATGCCCAGCTAATTTTTACATTTTTTATAGAGATGGGCTCTCACTGTGTTGCACAGGCTGATATCAAAACCCTGGCCTCAAGCTGTCCTGCCTTGCCCTCCTAAAGTGCTGGGATTATAGGCATGAAGCAGCATGCCCAGCCAAATGATGACTTAGTTATTCAATTTGTAGCTTCAACGTTATTTTCCTCTGAACTTGAAATATGCTATTATTTGCTGTTTGCTTCTATTCAGTGTTGCTAATGAGAAGCCTGCTTTTATTATGATCCTTCTAACTTTGTAGGAAACTTTTTTATTTCATCAAACTTATAATAAAGTTTCACTTTATTCTTGTTTTTTTAATATTTTCATGTGTCCAGTATGGATTAATTTAAAAAATACATCCAGTTTTTTCCTTAAGCCCTTTTAAATCTGAAGACTATGTTTTTTCTAATTTCAGAGAAATGCTGTTCTATTATTTTTCAGAATCCTGTCTCTTGCCTGTGGATATGGGATGTTGGAACTTTTTGCTGTAGCTCCCATTTTTAACTTTTTTCCTGTGGTTTCTATGTCTTTGTGCTTTACTGGGTACTGAGAGAATTCCTCAGTTCTCTCTTAGCTTTCATTTACTTTTCACTTCTGTGTGTTCAACTATTGTTTACCTTCAGTGATTCAGTTTTTAGTTTCTTTGATTCTTTAATAAATTTTTTTTTTATTTTTTGAGACAGAGTCTCACTCTGTTGCCCAGGCTGAAGTACAGTGGCACAATCTTGGCTCATTGCAACCTCCACCTCCTGGGTGCAAGCAATTCTCATGCCTCAGCCTCCTGAGTAGCTGGGACCACAGACATGTGCCACCACGCCTGGCTAATTTTTGTAATTTTAGTACACACGGGGTTTCGCCAAGTTGGCCAGGTTTGTGTGAAGCTCCTGGCCTCAAGCAACCCTCCCACCTTGGCCTCCCAATGTGCTAAGATTACAGGTGTGAGCTACCATGCCCGGCCTGCTATTTGATTCTGTTGTTATTTTTTTTTATTTTTATTTTTAACAAACCCTTGTGATGAGGACTGACTATTTTTTTTTGTTTTTTTGAGACAGAGTCTTGCTCTGTCACCTAGGCTGGAGTGCAGTGGCTTCGTCTAGGCTCACTGCAAACTCCGCCTCCCAGGTTCAAGCGATTCTACTGCCTCAGCCTCTGGAGTAGCTGGGATTACATGTGCCTGCCACCATGCCTGGCTAGTTTTTGTATTTTTAGTAGAGATGGGGTTTCACCATGTTGGCCAGGCTGGTCTCGAAATCCTGACCTCAAGGGATCCGCCTGCCTTGGCCTCCCAAAGTGCTGGGATTACAAGTGTGAGCCATAGCACCTGGCCTATTTGATTCTTTTTGAGGCTATTATTAATATTTTCTAGGTCCTTTTTACTTTTATTTACTGTTTTACCTATTTCCTTGGATGTAAATTCCTTTTTGTTTTGGTGCCTTTGAAAAAAAAATTTTTTTTTTTTGAGATGGAGTCTTGCACTTTTGCTTGGACTAGAGTGCAATGGTACGATCTCAGCTCACTGCACCCTCCCCCTCCTGGGTTCACGTGATTCTCCTGCCTCAGCCTCCTGAGTAGCTGGGATTACAGGAGCACGCCACCACGCCCAGCTAATTTTTTGTGTTTTTAGTGGAGATGGGGTTTCACTGTGTTGGCCAGGCTGTTCTCAAACTCCTGACCTTGTGATCTGCCCGCTTTGGCCTCCCAAAGTGCTGGGATTACAGGCATGAGCCACTGTGCCAGGCTGAAAAAGTTTTTTAAATGGTTTTTTTATGTTTTCAACTTTATATCTGAGATTTCTTCTTAGACTATGAGTTATTTTTTACTCATAACTTATAGAGAAGGGCTCTCAATGGCTTATCTACCCTCTGTTTTATCCTGGACAGCATAATTTTATCTGTTTATGATTTTTAAAACTTTTTGTTGACACAGAATTCATATAACAAAATTTACCATTTTAAAGTATATAATATAGCAGCTTTTAATATATTCATTATATTGTGCAGCTATCACCACTACCTGATTTCAGGACATCTCCATCACCTGCAACGAAACCCCATAACTAATAGCAGTTTCAATTCTCCTCTTCTCCCCATCTTTTGACAACCACCAATTCATTTTCTGTTTCTATGGATTTGTTGCCTTTTCGTTTTTCTTTCTTTTTTTTTTTTTTTTAAAGATGGTGTCTTGCTCTGTCACCCAGGCTGGAGTGCAGTGGCACAATCAGAGCTCACTGCAGCCTCTAACTCTTGGGCTCAAGCAAGCCTCCCACCTTAGCCTACAGAGTAGCCGGGACGTGCCACAATGCCCGGCTAATTTTTAAATTTATTTTTTGTAGAGATGAAGTCTCACTATGTTGCCCAGACTAGTCTTGAATCTGTGGGGTCAAGCAGTCTGCCCACCTTGGCCTCCCCAAAGTGTTGGGATTACAGATGTGAGCCATAGCACCCAGCCTGGATTTGCTTATTATAGACATTTTATATAAATGGAATCATAATATGTGGCCTTTTGTGCCTGACCTTTTTTTTTTTTTTTAAACTTAGTATAATGTTTTCTATGTTTGTCTGTGTTCTAGCATCTCTCCTTTTTTAAGGCTGAATGATATTCAGTTGTATGGTTATACTACATTTTGTTTATTTGTTCATTAGTTGATGGACATTTTGGTTGTTTTTATTTTTTGGCTGTTGTGAATAATGCACCCATGAAAAATTGTGTACTAGGTTTTGTGTGTGGTTTTATATACTTGTAATTCTTTGGGGTATATACCTAGGACTGGAGTTCCTAGCTTATTTAGTAATTCTGTGTTTTTCTGTTTATGATTGAGTTAGCACAATAGATTTGTTTGGAAAAGAAGTTTTTGCCAAAAAAAAAAAAACAACAACCAACAAAGGAAAGGTACAAAAACAAACATAAAAACACTCACCTAGTTTTGATGGGAAAAACTACTACTCTTAACTAGCAGGTTGATTCTCTGTACTTCAGTTTCTTCATTGTAAGTGTGGATGGATTTGATTAGACTTCCATTACCCTTCTTCCAGCTTACTCATTATGAATTTAGTATTGGAATGCTTTTTAGGATTTCATATTGAACACATGAGTTTGAGATTTTACTGATGTGAGTAATACAGATTGGGAGTTATTGTAATTTGTTATTAGAGGAATGAGTCAATATAGATTAAACTTGAAATTTCATTTTGGATTTTTTTAATGATATATAGTTAAAATGTTGATTATTTTAAGGGGAAGAATTAGATCAATGAAGGATTGAAATAGTCATTGCTCTTTCTTTCCATACTTAGTGGCCCATAACTACCTTTATACTTGCTTTGATTTCATGATGTTGTTCAGTTTTTGGTTAATAATTGATTTATGATTATTTTAATACTAGGAGTTCGCAGTCCCTGATTATCGTTCCTCTCATCTTGAAGTGAGTCAGGCATCACAGCTTTTGCAGCAACAGCAGCAGCAACAGCTTCGAAGGCGACCTTCCTTGCTTTCAGAATTTCACCCAGGTTCTGACAGGTAATGAGGTTTCTTTTATGTTTCTATCTAGGATTATAATTGTGAAGTATACAAGTTTGTCATTATTTTATTTTTTTACTTTTTATTAACCAAGCCATGACTGGTCATTTATAGTTTGCATTTTGAGTTCTTTTTTGTTGGTTGGTTGCAATAGTTAACAAGCTCTTAAAACTTGTTTCCATAGTTTGGCATTAATATTATTTAGTAGAAAGGCAGTAAACCACCTGGTCACCTGTGTGTCCTTGGTTATGTTCTATAGACTTGGGCTGCACATTAGAACCCCTTGGGATGCCCAAGCCTCATCACAAAACACTTAAATCAATCTCTGGAGTTGGGCCCAGGCTTTATTTTATCGCCGAAGTTTTTCCGGTAATTCTGATTTGCAGCTAGGGTTGCCAGTCACTGATCTCAACTCTTCAAGCTTTAGTTTTCCCTCCTATAAAAATGGAGATAATAGTGGCATTGTCCTCAACTGATAGTAAATATTCTGTCAGATAATGTAGGTCCTGTACATGCATGGTGGGTTCTCTTTTTCCTGAGTGTCCTTACCATCTCTGCTTTCTTTTACTTCATTCTCATTCTGAAAGTTTTGTTTGTTTTTTCTTGTTTTTTGGAGACAGGATCTTTCTAGCTCTGTTGCCCAGGCTGGAGTGCAGTGGCATGATCATGGCTCATTGCAGCCTCAACCTCCTGGGCTCAAGTGATTCTCCCACCTTAGTCTCCCAGTCCTGGCTAATTTTTTGTATTTTTTGTAGAGATAGGATTTCGCCATGTTGCCCAGGCTAGTCTTGAACTCCTGAGCTCAAGTGATCCACCCACCCCTACCTCCCAAAATAGTTAATTCTTTTTTTTTTTTTTTTTTTTTTTTTTGAGAAAGAGTCTCACTCTTGTCACCCAGGCTGGAGTGCAGTGGCATGATCTCAGCTCACTGCAACCTCCGTCTCCAGGGTTCAAGTGATTCTCATGCCTCAGCCTCCTAAATAGCTGGGATTACAGGCATACACACCACACCCAGCTAACTTTTGTGTTTTTAGTAGAGATGGGGTTTTGCCGTGTTGACCAGGCTGGTCTTGAATTCTGGGCCTCAAGTGATCTGCCCGCTTTGGCCTCTCAAAGTGTTGGGATCATAGGCATGAGCCACTGCACCTCGCCAGAATTTTTTTTTTTAAATTGTGTGTATTTAAGGCATACAACATGATGTTATGGGATACGTATAGATAATAAAAAGGTCACTATGGTGAAGCAAATTAGCATATCCATCATCTCACAAAGTTATTTATTTTTGCTTTTGTTTTTATTTTTGCTTTTGTGGCTGGACCGACTAAAATCTACTCATTTATCATGAATCCCAGATACAGCACTATATTATTATCTGTAGTCCTCATGTTGTACATAAGAAATCTAGACTTTTTCATTCTATGTGTCTGCTACTTTACATCCTCTGACTTTCGTCTCCCCATTTTCTTTCCACCCCCTGCCCCTGGTAACCACTGTTAGCACTGTTTTGTTCTCTTTGTATAGTTCCTTTTTTTTTTTTTTTTTTTTGTTTAAGATTCCACATATAAGCGAAATCATGCAATATTTTACTTTCTGTGTCAGGTTTATTTCACATAGCATAATGTCCTTCAGGCTTATCCATGTTGTGGATGGCAAGATCTCATTTTTTTTTAGGGTTGAATAATATTCCATAGTGTATATATACCACAGTTTCTTTATGATTCATTCATTGACAAACACTTAGATTGTTTTTATATCTTGGCTATTGTGAATAATTAGCTGCAATAACATGGGAGTGCATTTACCTTTACAAGATGGTGATTTCATTTCCCTTGGGTATATATCCAGAAGAAGGATTGTGGGGTCATGTGGTAGTTCTATTTTTAATTGCTTTAGGAACTTTCATACTGTTTTCCATAATGGTTGTACTAATTTACGTTACCACCAGCAGTGTACAAGAGTTCTCTTTTCTTCATGCCCTCATTAATATTTGTTATCTTTTGACTTTTTTTGGTAATAGGCATCCTAATGGGTGTGAGAATATCTCATAGTGCTTTTAATATACAGTTCCCTGATGACTAATGATACTGAACATCTTTTCATATACCTGTTGGTGATTTTTACGTTTTCTTTTGAGAAATGTCTATTCAGATCTTCTGCCCATTTTAAAATCAGGTTATTTGTTTTTCTGCTATTGAGTTTTATGAGTTCTTTATAAATTCTGGATATTAATTCCTTAGCAGATGCATAGTTTACAAATATGTTTTCTGTGTCTACAGGCTGCTGACTCATTTTGTTGTTTTCAGAAGCTTTTTAGTTTGATGTAGTCCCATTTATATATTTGTGCTTTTGTGGCCTGACCTCTTGATATGCAAAAAATCATTGCCAAGGTCGGTGTCCCAGAGCTTTTCTCCCTACGTTCTCTTGCAGGACTTTTATAGTTTCTGATCTTATATTTAAGTATTTTATCCATTTTGAGTTGATTTTTGTATATGCTGTAAAACAAGGGTCTAATTTCATTCCTTTGCATCTGGATATCTAGTTTTCCCAGCATTATTGAAGAGACTACCCTTTCCCCACTGTGTTGCTGTGGTTCCCTTGTCAAAAGTTAGGCGGCCATATGTTTAGATTTATTTCTGGGCTTTCTATTCTTTTCTACTGATCAGTGTGTCTATTTTTATGCCAATACCATATTGTTTTGATTACTGTAACTTGGTAGTACAATTTTAAATCAGGAAGTGTGATGTCTCTTTGTTTTTCTTTTTCAGAATTGATTTTGCTATTGGGGGTCTTTTATACTTCCATGTGAATTTTAGGGTTGTTTTTTCTATTTCTGTGAAAAACCCCATTGGGATTTTAATAAGAATTGTGTTGAATCTGTACTGTATATTTCTTTGGGTTGTGTGGACATTTTTGCAACATTCTTTTGATCCATGAGCACAGGATATCTCTTCATTTATTTGTGTCTTCAGTTTTTTAATCAGTGTTTTATAGTTTTCAATATACAGATCTTTCACCTCCTTGGTTAAATTTATTTAACCAAGTAAATTTATTTAAATGTCTTTTAGAACTCTGTCATAAATTGTTTCCTTGATTTCTTTTTCAGTTAGGTTGTTACTTGTATATAAAACTGCTGTTGATTTTGTATCCTGCAACTTTACTGGATTCATTTATTCTAACAGTTTTTTTTTTTAATGTGTAGAATCTTGGGGAACTTTTATACATAGGATTGTGTCATCTGCAAATAAAGATATTTTTACTTTTTCCTTTCTGACTGGATGCCTTTTATTTCTTTTCTTTTTTTTCTTTTCTTTTTTTTTTTTTTTGTTTGATTGCTCTTGCTAGTACTTCTAGTACTATGTTGATTAGAAGTGTTTGCCACTGCTTCTAATCAACATAGTACTAGATGGGAAAAGGATCCGATCCTTACCTTTCATGGTATCTTAGTGGAAAATCTTTCAGTATTTCCCTATTGATTATGATGTTAGTTGTGGAATTTTCACAAATGGCCTTTATTATGTTAAGGAACTTTCCTTCTTTTCCTAAACTGTTGAGTTTTTTAAGTCAAGAAAAGATTTTGGACTTTTTGAATGCTTTTTCTGCATCAGTTAAGATGACGTGTTTTGTTTTTGTTTTTACTTCTCTTCTTTTTACCAGTAGGAAACTTTATATTGTCCTTTTTTTCTCCTTGAATTTTTATTTCTTTTCTTCTCCAGTAAAAATTTTTTGCTAATATGTTTATTCTTAATAGCATTTTACTGATCACTTTCATATATTTCTACTACAAATACATATAGAAATTTTGGGCCGGGCACTGTGGCTCACACCTGTAATCCCAGCACTTTGGGAGGCCAAGGTGGACGGATCACGAGGTCAGGAGATTGAGACCATCCTGGCTAACACGGTGAAACCTCATCTACTAAAAATACAAAACATTAGCCGGGCGTGGTGGTGGGCACCTATAGTCCCAGCTACTCTGGAGGCTGAGGCAGGAGAATGGCATGAACCCGGGAGGCGGAGCTTGCAGTGAGCCAAGATTGTGCCACTGGACTCCATCCTGGGTGACAGAGCGAGACTCCGTCTCAAACAAAAAAAATAAATAAGTAAAATAAAATAAATTTATTTAAGTTTTCTGTGATTTTAGGCCCTGAGTGTTTAAAAGTTTTACTCTGGATTAAGTTATGACAATTAGTAGTAGTAGATCATTGAACAAAAAAGCATAAATATATGTATACATTTTATTACATTATTCTTAAAAGCAAAAAGTAAAATCTTACTGAAAACATACCTTTTAATAAGAAAGGACTGGTTTCCCTTCCCCCAATTATTGTAATTTTTGAGTACTAATTACTGGAAACAGGCAGGCTTCTATGTGAATACTATTCCAATTTTTATTTTTTATAGACTATGAATATTGTTCATCTAAGCAGGTAGAAATGGAATAAATTTTGTAGCTGCAATTTTGCTTAATTCTCTGAGTGCCTTCCAATTTCTAGACCAACAATCACAGTGATCTGATATCTAAAATTATTTTTTTTGATCTTTCAGCTAAAAAATAGTTTCTCCTTTGATACAAAAGTAAAGAATTAGAAACCACTTGGTTTGGAAAAAAAAAAGTTTGTTACCCATACTTTTGCCATTCTCTTTTTTCAGTATTGACATGATCATTTCAAATTGTTCTTTTGTAGCACTAGAGGTTTAGTTTTATTTGTTTGCTGTTTTTCACTTTTTTTATTATCTAGGACAGAGGTTGCCAAACTAAGGCTAGTTGGTACTGACCATATCCTGTCTGTCCTGTTTTTGTAGAGCCCTCAAGTTAAGAATGATTTTTACATTTACATATTAAAATAAATTTTATTATGTATATTTGAGGTTTACATGGTGTTATGGGATACACATAGTTTAGCCAGTGAACATATCTGTCATCTCACATACTTTGTTTTGGTGACGAATAGCTAAAATCTACCCATTTAGCAAAAATCCCTAATATAATACAATTGTATTAACTTTAGTCCTCATGTTATACATTAGATCTCTAGACTTGTTCATCCCACACATCTGCTATTTTGTATCCTTTGACCTCCATCTCCTTATTTCTCTATCCCCAACCAGTGAACCACTGTTTCATTCTCTATCCCTGTGTATTTGAGTGCTTTTTTTTTTTTTAATATTCCATATATAGGGGAGATCATGCAATATTTTTATTTTTGTGCCTGGCTTATTTCAGCGTGGTTTCAGCATGGTCCATCCATGTTATGGTATGAAAGGATTTTTTTCTTTTTTAAAGTTGAATAATATTTATACACACACACACACACACACACACACACACACACACACACACATACATATATATGTATACACACACACATCACATTTTCTTTCTTTCTTTTTTTTTTAGACAGAGTCTCACTCTGTCACCCAAGCTGGAGTGCAATGGCACAACCTTGGTTCACTGCAACCTCCACCTCCTGGGTTCAAGCAGTTCTCCTGCCTCAGCCTCTGGAGTAGCTGGGACTACAGGCGTGTGCCACCATGCCCAGCTACTTTTTGTATTTTTAGTAGAGACAGGGTTTCGCCATGTTGGCCAGGCTGGTCTTGAACTCCAGACCTCAAGTAATCCGCCCACCTCAGCCTCCCAAAGTGCTGGGATTACAGGAGTGAGCCACTGTGCCTGGCCTGCACATTTTCTTAATCCATTCATCTGTCAGTGGGCATCTAGGTTGTTTCTATATATGAACTATTGTGAATGATGCTGCCATGAATATGGGAGTGTAGGTATCTGGTTGTTGTTTTATTCTTTTTTTTTGAGATAGGGTCTTGCTCTGCCACTCAGGCTGGAGTACAGTGGCATGATCATGGCTCACTGCAGCCTGGACCTCCCAGGCTCAAATGATCCTCCCACTGCAGCCTCCCGGGTAGCTGGCACCACAGGTGCATGCCACTGTGCCTGGCTGATTTTTGTATTTTTTGTAGAGATAGGGTCTCACTATATCCAGGCTGGTCTCCAACTCCTGGCCTCAAGCGATCCTTCTGCCTCAGCCTCCCAAAGTGCTAGGATTATAAGCATGAACCACTGAGCCCACCCCAGATATCTTTATGAGGTGGTGATTTCATTCCTTTTGAGTATACAACCAGAAGAGGGATTGCTGGGTCTATAGTAGTTGTATTTTTAATTTCTTTGGGGCCTTCCATACTGTTTTCTATAATGGCTATAACAATCTACATTCCCACCAACAAAATACTAGGGTTCCCTTTTCTCCATACCCTCGCCAACATTTGTTGTCTTTTGGAGAATAGCCATCCTTACAGGTGTGAGGTGAGATCTCATTGTAGTTTTAATTTGCATTTCCATTGTGATTAGTGATATTGAGCACCATTTCATATATCTCTTGGCCATTTTTATGTTTTCTTTGGAGAAATGTCCGTTCACTTCTCTTAATATGATATATCCCATTGATTGATTTGTGTATGTTAAACCAGCCTTGCATGCCAGGGATATGTCCCACTTGCTAGTGGTTTGTAATCTTCGTGATGTGTTGTTGAATTCAGTTTGTTAATATTTTATTGAGGTTTGTTTTTTTTTTTTTTTTTTTTTTGAGACAGAGTCTCGCTCTGTTGCCCAGGCTGGAGTGCAGTGGCACGATCTTGGCTCACTGCAAGCTCTGCCTCCCGGCTTCACGCCCGGCTAATTTTTGTACTTTTAGTAGAGACACGGTTTCACTGTGTTAGCCAGGATGGTCTCGATCTCCTGACCTCGTGATCCGCCCGCCTGGGCCTCCCAAAGTGCTGGGATTACAGGCGTGAGCCACCACGCCCGGCCTTTATTGAGGATTTTTGCATCAGTGTTCATTAGAGAGATTGGCCTCTAGTTTTGTTTTCTTGTGATGTCCTTGACTTAGATATCAACTTAAATGCCTTTGAGTTAAGTTTCTCTCATATAATGTGTTGGGAAATAGTCCCTCTAGCTCTATTTTTTGGAAGAGTTTAGGAGGAGTTGGTATATATTTTTCTTTGACTATTCAGTAGAATTCTGCCATGAAGCCTTCAGATACTGGAGTTTTCTTTGTTGAGAAGTTTTTGATTACTTCTTCAGCCTCTTCATTTGTTGTTCGTTTGTTCAGGCTTTCTACTTCTGCTTAACTCAATCTTGGTAGGTTGTGTTTTTCTAGGAATTTATCCATTTCCTCTAGGTTATCCAATTTATTGACATATAATGGTTCATATAGTTCCTTATGATCCTTTTTATTTCTGAGGCATCTGTTGTAATTTCTTCGTTTTCATTTTTATTTTATTTATATGAATTCTAAGTTATTTTGAAATATAATTACCTTTATAAATTTCCTTTCTGATTTCAGCAATTTTATAAGGTACCTGATTTCCCATTTCAAAAATGTGCTCACTGTTTAGGTTTTAAGTTGATCAAAGATTTGAAATATAATATTATTTTGTTTGAGGTGGAGTCTCACTCTGATGCACAGGCTGGGGTGCAGTGACATGATCTTGACTCACTGCAACCTCTGCCTCTCATGTTCAAACGATTCTTCTGCCTCAGCCTCCGATTAGCTGGAACTGCAGGCACTACAAAAAAAAAATAACTTTTTTTGTAGTTTTAGTAGAAGCAGGGTCTCACCGTGTTGGCCAACCTGGTCTCAAACTCCTGACCTCAGGTGATCCACCTGCATCGGCCTCCCAAAGTGCTAGGATTATAGGCGTGAGCCACCACTCCCAGCCTAAAATTATTATATAATACATTTCTTGGTTAAGTTTGGAGAGAGAATTCAGCTTACTTGTCCCCTAATATCTAAAAAATGAACAAAAACATATTTTTCAAACAGGCTAAAAATTTACCCTTTTATAAATAAGAAAAGACATACAGCTATTGTCAAAAACTTAGAAAAGTGGGATTCACGGAAAGAATTACAAGTATCTTGAATGACTTGGCCTCCTATTTTCTATTGTTAAAGTAGCATTATTGTTTTATGAGTCAAGGAACATGAGTTTTTATTTTATTTCATTTTATTTTATTCTATTCTTTTTTTTTTTTTTTTTTTTTTTGAGACGGAGTCTTGCTCTGTTGCCCAGGCTGGAGTGCAGTGGCGTGATCTCGGCTCACTGCAACCTCTGCCTCCTGGGTTCAAGCAATTCTCCTGCCTTAGCCTCCCGAGTAGCTGGGACTACAGGCTCATGCCACCATGCCCGGCTGATTCTTTGTATTTTTAGCAGAAATGGGGTTTCACTGTGTTAGTCAGGATGGTCTCAATCTCCTGACCTTGGGATTTGCCTGCCTCAGCCTCCCAAAGTGCTGGGATTACAGGCATGAGCCACCACAACTGGCCTATTTTATTTTTTTGAGACAGAGTTTTGCTCTTTTTGCCCAAACTGGAGTGCAGTGGCGCAATCTTGGCTCACCTCTGCCTCCCGGGTTGAAGGGATTCTCATGCCTCAGCCTCTAGAGTAGCTGGGATTACAGATGCCTGCCTCCATGACTGGCTAATTTTATATTTTTGGTAGAGGTGGGGTTTCACCATGTTGGCCAGGCTAGTCTCGAACTCCTGACCTCAGGTGATCCGCCCGCCTCAGCCTCCCAAAATGCTGGGATTACAGGCGTGAGCCACTGTGCCTGGCGGAACATGAGTTTTTTAAAAAGAAAATTAAAAAAAAGCAGTATCGAAGAAAGTAAGTTAGTGAAATCCTAGGATTTCTCATGAATATTCTTTGATTGGAGAAAATTTCAATTGGTGGTGGTGAATGGTTTGCTTGAGAATTCCCATTATGCCATCCTGGTTTCTCAACAGCTGCAGAAAGGACAGTTGGGATGTGCCATTCTGTAAAGTGATGAGCCAGAACCCTCTGGAGTGGTCTACATGTCTGGCTGGTAGAGGGGGCCAGAGTCCTTAGCAGAGGCAGTTACAGCCCTAACCAAGATTTTTCTTCCTTTGCCCCACTTACATGTTCCCTCGGGCCATAGAACAGTATTTAGAAAGCCATACCTATTCTTCCATTTGCAGAGAAGATGACTACATGCCAGAAAAAGTGGGAACAATCAAGGAGAACCCACCCAGACTATCCCACGCCAAAGAGAAAGGCTGCCACAATGTACCTGAGCAGGAGGGTGGGGAATGGCACAAATGAGGCGAATATATTCCTGGAAAAGAAAATTAAAGCAACATAGTATGCCAAAAATAAAATCGCCACGTGTAAGAAACATAAAGAGCATGCCTCGTAAGTGCTATGCACTATAAAAGAACTTAATAATATAAATAAGTTCTATATTTCTATATTTCTTCTATAAAAGAACTTAAATAATGAAGTATTCAAAAACAAAATGATAAGACAGCCAGATGGGCTAAATGTAGTTCAGACATTTGAGTGCCCTGAAGATATAAAATTAGAAAGAAAAGGAATAAAGTAGATGTGGCTTAAGGTAAACCTTGTCTTAGAACAAAGTCTTGATATAATTAGAGTGAGTGCAGAAGAAAAGGACAAAGATTAAGACAATTAGAAAGAACTTGTAGGGAGGACAAATAAAGATCATCCAGTATACTATAAGAACATGTTTTTGAGGTGGAAAACCTGGTAAAGGAACAGTAATAATATTCATAATACAGAAATTCCCCATAAAGTTAAGGAAGAATTGATAGATTCTACAGATTGATAAAACATATCTTGTTCCAGGAAAATTTATACAGAAAGAATGATCCATACCAAGACAGATCATGGTTGAGGAATTAAATTTCAAGGATAAGTAAAAGAACTAGGAATTCAGGAAACAAAATAAATGCTCCACAAGGTGGAAGAGTCAGGCTACAAACTTCTACATAGCAGAATTGAGTGACAGAAAATAGTGAAGCAGTAGCTACAAAGTTCTGAGTAAAAGAAATTGATATTCAAGAATATTATACCAGACAGTTTAACAATAAAAACAACAGGCAGATTTTCTTAGACATGAAAGCACTGAGCAATTATAGCATCTAAAACTGAAAGAGGCCGGGCGTGGTGGCTCACACCTGCAGTCCCAGCACTTTGGGAGGCTGAGGCATGCATATCACCTGAGGTCAGGAGTTCGAGACCAGCCTGGCCAACATGGCGAAACCCTGTCTCTACTAAAAATATAAAAATTAACTGGGAGTGGTGGCGCACGTCTATAATCCCAGCTACTCTGGAGTCTGAGGCAGGAGGCTCTCTTGAACCCAGGAGGTGGAGGTGGCAGTGAGGCGAGATCGCACCACTGTACTCTAGCCTGGGAGACAGAGTGACACTCTGTTTCAAACAAAACAAAGCAAAACAAAACAAAAAACCTGAAAGAATTTCTTTTTTTTCTTTTTTCTTTTTTTGAGATGGAGTTTTGCTCTTGTTGTTCAGGCTGGAGTGCAATGATGCGATCTCGGCTCACTGCAACCTCCGCTTCCTGGGTTCAAGTGATTCTCCTACCTCAGCCTCCCAAGTAGCTGGGATTACGGGCATGTGCCCCCATACCTGGCTAATTTTTTTGTATTTTTAGTAGAGATGGGGTTTCTCCATGTTGGCCAGGCTGGTCTCGAACTCCTGACCTCAGGTGATCCACCCACCTTGACCTCCCAAAGTGCTGGGATTACAGGTGTGAACCACCGCACCTGGCCTAAGAATTTCTTGATGACCGAATCCAGCCAAACAAAGAATGGATGCCATGGTAAGAGGATTGGTAGTTAGCCATAAACCCATCTTTTTTTTTTTTTTTTTAAAAGAGACAAAGTCTCTAAACTCCTGGGTTCAAGTGATCCTCCTGCCTCAGTCTTCTGAGTAGCTCAGATTACAGGCGCATGGCATTGTGCCTGACAAATTTTTTATTTTTGTAGAGACAGAGTTGCTATATTGCCTGGACTGGTCTCAAACTCCCAGCATCAAGCGATCCTCCTGCCTTGGCCCCCTAAAGTGATGGGAAACGTGTGAGCCACTACATCCGGCAACCAGGGCACAGGAAAATTAAGAAAAACATTGAGTATGGAATATTCTCTTTTAGCAAGAAATCAGACTGCTTTAAAATTCTTTAAAGTTCGAATGATAAAGTATAGTTATTTAAATGTGTTTTGTAATTTTAATTTGTTTTAAAGATGTTTAAAGATGGTGTTACGAGATGACAAAAGTCAGTAAAATGGGGAACTTTACAAAGTCTGCAAGCCTACAGAGTTTTTTTTTTTTTAAAAGACAAATGAGTCTGGCTCTGTCACCCAGACTGTTGTGTTGTGCAGTGGCGTGATCTTGACTCACTGCAACCTCTGCCTGGGTTCAAGCGATTCTCCTGCCTCAGTTTCCCGAGTAGCTGGGACTACATGCGCGCACCACCACGCCCGCCTAACATTTGTATTTTTTTGTAGAGACGGGCTTTCACCTTGTTGGTCAGGCTGGTCTCGAACTCCTGACCTCAAGTGATGCACTTACTCGGCCTCCCAAAGTCTTGGGATTACAGGCGTGAGCCACGGCATCTTGCCCTACAAAGATTTCTTTATGTGAAAATTTGCTGTTAGGTTTTTTTTTTTTTATACCACAGTTTATTTATCTATTTTTATCAGCTGATGGGTGTTTGGATCATTTTTACTTTTTGACAATTATGAATAATTCTGCTGTGAATATTCGTGTACAAGTTTTTGTTTGTACGTATATTTTCCTTTCTGTTAGTTAGATACCTAGGAGTGGAATTGCTGGGTCATGTGGTAACTCTATTTTATTTAACTATTTGAGAAACTACCAGATCGTTTTCAAAGTATACCATTCTACTGGTGTTAATTTTAAAAGGCAAATACATTAATTTAAATTGGAGATTTCATGCTTAGTTCTACCAGAACTCCTAATATTAAATTGTACTTAGCAAAGATTTTCGTAGTTTATTTAAATTTCTGAGATTTTATACATTAAATTATATATTTATTTATGGCTGAGTAGATTTGTTCTTCTAAAAAGGATTGGCAGGCTGAAATGGGAAGTAGTCTGATTTCTAGATAGAAAAAGAGCATTCCATACTCATTGTTTTCTGAGTTGTCCTGTTCCTTGGTACCTTAGTTTCTTCTCCAGTACTGGGTATGGTATGCCTCACCTTCTGGCTTTGATAAATCTCAGAGGCAGAGTTGCTGGAAATGAAATGTAATACTTGAAAATTATGCTTTTGTAGGTTATGTTCTAGCTGAGGGGGCAACTGAGGGCAGAAGTCCAGCTAAGGCATTACTTGGGTAGATTACCTCTGGCCTTAGTGGAGGATGAATCTTTTGATTATAATAGCTTTGTAGTAAGCTTTAAAAGGTGAAGTGTGAGTTTTCCAACTTTGTTCTTTTCCAAGATTGTTTGGCTGTTTGTAATCCTTTGAGATTCCATATGAATTTTCTGATGAGTTTTTCTATTTCTGCAAAAAAGCCAATGGCATTTGATAGAGATTACATTGAATCCACAGGTTGCTTTGTGTAGTATTGTCATTTAATGACATTATCTTCCAACATATGAATTTGAGATTTCTTACTATGTATTAAGTCTTTTATTTCTTCGAGCAATGTTTTGTGGTTTTCAGTGTTTAAAGTCATAAGCCTCCTTGGTCATATTTATTCCTAGCTATGTTCTTTTGGGTGCTCTTATAAATGTATTGCTTTTTTTTTTTGAGATGGAGTTTCGCTCTTGTTGCCCCTGCAGGAGTATAATGGCATGATCTCGGGTCACCTCAACGTCTGCCTCCTGGGTTCAAGCGATTCTTCCGCCTCAGCCTCCCGAGTAGCTGGGATTGCAGGCGAGCACCACCATGTCTGACTAATTTTGTATTTTTTAGTAGAGATGGGTTTTTCTCCATGTTGGTCAGGCTGGTCTCGAACTCCTGACCTCAGATGATCCACACGCCCCGGCCTCCCAAACTGCTGGGATGACAGGTGTGAGCCACCGCACCCAGCATAAATGTATTGTTTTTTAAGTTTCATGTTTGGATTGTTTAATGCTAGTGTATAGAATACAACTGAGTTTTGTGTGTTGATTTTGTATCCTCCAACTTCGATGTATTTATTTGTTAGCTCTAATAGTTTTTTTTTTGCCAATTCTTTAGGGTGCCACATATGGAATCATGTTGTCTTGAATAAAAATGCTTATTTCTTTTTAAATTTGGATACCTTTTATTTCTTTTTCTTTCCTAGTGCTCTGAAAGTAATTTCCAATACCATATTGAATATAAATGGTGAATGCAGTCATCTTTGTCTTGTTCCTGAAGTTTCCCATTCCTGAAGTTTTTTGTGATGTCACTCTGAATTTTAAGATAATGGAATTCTATGTGTTGAATGAGATTTAAAATTTTGAAGTATAATAATTTTACAGAATTTAGCATTCAGGCCAGGTGCGGTGGCTCACACCTGTAATCTCAGCACTTTGGGAGGCTGAGGCAGGTGGATTGCTTAGCTCAGGAGTTCGAGACCAGCCTAGGCAATATAGCAAGACCTCATCTCTACAAAAATTAGCCTGGCATGGTGGCTCGCGCCTGTAATCCCAGCTACCGGGGAGGCTGAGGCAGGAGAATCACTTGAATCCGGGAGGTGGAGGTTGCAGTGAGCCGAGATGGGGCACTCCAGTCTGGGCCTCAAAAAAGAAATAAACAAACAAAAAAAGAATTTAGCATTCATTTCATTGTCTGTCCTCAATATGAAACCCAGCAATTCTGTTTTCAATGAAATATTGCTTTGCAAAGCATTAGTTTACAGGTTGGCCATGAGATACAATATCACCTCTGTAAACACCTGGTAGAAAATGAAAAGTCAACTTAATGAGCACTCACGAGCAGGACTCAACAATACATCCTGTAAAGAAATGAAAGATTCTGATCTTCAAGTCATGTATTTAGGGAAGCTAGACAGAATACATGTTTTTGGGGCCAGGATGATGTTTTAGAAGCAATGTTGGATTTCTCCTCAAGAGACTTGTCTTTAAGACTGAATGGTACCTCATAAGTGAAGTCATTTCTCTTTCTTTGTAGCAATAGCTGGGAGATTTTTATTTCTTGCTTGTTTTTATTATTGGTTGAAAAATGGTGGCTCTTCTGGTTTATATTATCCCAAATTTAATTATTATGGCATTTTAACATTTAAAAATATTAGTTTATAGATATTCTTCAGCAACTAAACTTTCTGCAAATGTTCTGTTTTGTCTTTCACTTCTAGATTAGTTTTTAATCCTCCCCCCAAACCTTTTTTTTTTGTTTTAAGACGGAGTCTCACATTGTTGCCCAGGCTGGAGTGCAGTGGCATGATCTCAGCTCACTGCAACCT
Source organism: Homo sapiens (assembly GCF_000001405.40). Lineage (NCBI taxonomy): Eukaryota > Metazoa > Chordata > Mammalia > Primates > Hominidae > Homo > Homo sapiens. The sequence goes on along the minus strand of NC_000017.11, from coordinate 16,172,289 downwards.
CCACCTCCCAGGTTCAAGCAATTCTCCTGCCTCAGCCTCCCGAGTAGCTGGGATTACAGGCGCCCACTGCCACGCCCAGCTAATTCAAACCTTTTTTAAAAATTAGACTAGAAGTTTAATGGTACTATAGTGAGGTATATATTCTTTGGGGGTGGGAACAGAAGGGGTACGGATTCACTTTGAATGTAAGCATGACTTTTTCATTTGTTATTTCAAAGTCTAACCAGGGATGTTACCAGGGAGTTGTACATCACTTACAAATTTTCAAGTGTTTATTTTCTTTGTATGTATTAGGCCTCAAGAAAGGAGAACTAGTTATGAACCGTTTCATCCAGGCCCATCCCCAGTGGATCATGATTCACTGGAATCGAAGCGACCACGTCTGGAACAGGTTTCTGATTCTCATTTTCAGCGTGTCAGTGCTGCGGTTTTGCCTTTAGTGCACCCGCTGCCAGAAGGGCTGAGGGCTTCTGCAGATGCTAAGAAGGTAAATATTTGTTCTCTTACCCTGTAGAGTTGTAGGTTTGTAATGTTTATTTAGTTATACTCATGCATAGCACCTCAAAGAAAGTCCAGTTACACCAGTCTCTAAAGGTTAGTGGTATGGGAAAGTAAAAATTTTGTTAAACAAAACTAGAAACCACAGATGAGTGCTCCAGACTGCTAAAGTGAGCACTTTTGCCTTTTCGGTAAGTGAAAACAGTCCAAGAAGACTGCTCCCATAAAGAAGAATTTCTATTAAATAATGCTCAAGCATTTTTTTACTGGCTTGCTGGCTATAAAATGTGGTCAGAGGTACTCAAGACTACTAGTTTTGTTAAATCTTAATTAAATTTTAAACAAGTCCCTTAAATTTAGTAGCAGTTTATTAACTGCTATATGGGAGAAAACACATCCAGGTAAGGTTGAATTGTGCATATAAGTTCTATACAAAAGAAAATTGTTCCTAATTTATGTAAGTAATACATACTTATAGAAAACTGGGAAAATAAAGAGGAAAAAAGTTACCTGTAATCCTGTAACTTGGAGATAACGACCCTCCCCCAGTTTTATTGTGGAATAAAAATTGTGTATATTTATGGTGATATTTATATTTATGATGATATTTATACAGTGTGATATTTTGATGTATGTATACATTGGGAAACACATCAAGCTAATTAACATATTCATCACCTCACATAGTTTTTTTTTGGTGGTAAGAACATTTAAAATCCACTCGTAGCAATTTTTAAATATATAATACATATTATTAGCTATAGTTGCCATGCTGTACAAAGATAAGTTTTAATATTTAGCTATATTTTGTGACATTTCAAACAATGCGAGTTCTATTAAGAACTTTCCCCATGCACTTATTTTTATTTACCCATCTTTTGTGAAATGTTTGCTCATGTAGTATGTCCTTGTTTTATTGCTATGTTTACCTTTTTCTTTTTTTTTTTTTTTGAGATGGAGTCTCGCTCTGTACCCCAGGCTGGAGTGCAGTGGCGCGATCTTGGCTCACTGCAATCTCCGCCTCCCGGGTCCTGGTTCAAGCAATTTTCCTGCTTCAGCCTCCCGAGTAGCTGGGATTACAGGGACGCACCACCATGCCCAGCTAATTTTTGTATTTTTAGTAGAGACAGGGTTTCACCGTGTTGGCCAGGCTGGTCTCTTGAACTCCTGACCTCGTGATCTGCCCACCTCGGCCTCCCAAAGTGCTGGGATTACAGGCATGAGCCACTGTGCCGGGCCTATGTTTACCTTTTTCAACTCTGCTTTGCTTATTATTAATTCTGCAGATTAGGAAGTGCCTGACACTTAGTAGATACAGAATAAATATTTGTCATAGAAAGAATAAATTAATTTTAAAAACTCTTAACAGTAAAGTGTTAACCTTTTTACCAACATACGCTAATATTTTTCCCAGTGTCTTTTTGTTTCAGTTTTTCTTTTTTTAAAGCATACTGAAGTTTAAAATGTTTTTACTGCCATCAAATCTTTTTTCTGTGTTTATTAACCTTTATGCCTAATTGCCCTTTCTTCCCTGATACCAGATAAATAAGTACCCACACATTTTCTTTGAGTTTTATGCAATGAAGAGTAATTTAAAAGATAGTAAATGTATCTACAATTTATTTTCAAATAGTTCAGCCAAAATGAAGTTATACACACACACACACACACACACACACACACAGAAAGCAAATATGTTAAAATGTTAACTACTGGTGAATCTAGATGAAGGATAAATGAGTGTCCATTATATTGTTCCTTCAACTTTTAAGTAAATTTGAAATTTTTCAAAATAGTAAGTTGGATGGGGAAAAATTCTTTGCCGTAAGCTAGAAATTAGCTAAGCTTCTAGGTGTTTTGTGACCCACCTTATCATGTGAATCATCTTTATCATACAGTAGTCTGTGGGGTTTATAAGAAATGTTCTGCTGCATTAAAAAAAAGAAATTTAAAAATATAGTGAATAAAGGTCATCTTCCATGGCTGAATACATTACCACAAATGTAATTTGTAACTATAGAATTTTGTTTTTTAGCAGAAAAGTGTCTTAAAAACTCATTCATTAAAATGGGACGTGTTGTGTTGTAGTGTGACCCATTTCCATGTTATAGTTGAGAAACTGGGTGTTCAGAAAAATTAAGTGACCTAGGTTAGTAACTCCTGAGTTGAAATTAACCCAGGACCCCGACTCTAGTCCTGCTTTTTTTCCCCTAAAGTGTAAACCATGACTACTTCTACTAACTAATACTTCTCCTTCCATCTCCCTCTCCCCATTCTCTCCCAACTGCCCACCTCCAGAAGTAAGGATTTAAAAAGAACTAACATTTGTTAGATTTTTTGTTAAATGTTAAGCCTAGGTATATCATTTATAGAAGAGTTAAATAAGCTTGAAAGAAAAAATTACCTACAGTTTACCATTTAAAAGTTATTAACATTTTCATGTTGATTCTTCCCTATTTGTATGTGTATTATTTTAATTTTAATTTTATTTAATTTTATGGGTTTTTTGTTGTTGTTGTTGTTTTTTTGCTGCTCCTTGTGGAACAGGGCTAACCCATAAGGCAGTGTGTCCAGAGTCAGCCCGTATGAATATTTTAATGTGCCCCCTTTGTACATTCTGTTTAACTTACTTTTGCTTAAATACGTGCTTAGCTTCTTTTTGTGCCAATAGGTTTACAACTGTATTGTTAGTGGCTACTTAGTATTCCACATATGCATAAATAAAGTTCATTGATTAAATAAAATTATTTAATCAATTGTCATACATTTAGGTTACCTGTTTGTTCAGAAGTACGGTGTTGTGACATGCATTGTTTTTTTTTTTTTTTGAGACGGAGTCTCACTTTGTTGCCCAGGCTGGAGTGCAGTGGTGTGATCTTGGCTCACTGCAACCTATACCTCCCAGCAATTCTCCTGCCTCAGCCTCCCGAGTAGCTGGGACTACAGGCGCACGCCACCAAGTTCAGCTAATTTTTGTATTTTTAGTGGAGACGAGGTTTCACCATGTTGGCCAGGCTGGTCTCGAACTCCTGACCTCAGGTGATCTGCCCGCTTTGGCCTCCCAATATGCTGGGATTATAGGCGTGAGCCACTGCAGCTGGCCCATACATTATTTAGGTTGATTTTTTTGTATACATTCTTACTTATTTCCTTAAGGTAGATTTCTTTTAGTATAATTAATTGTAGACCAGGTTGATTTTTAAGGTACGGTGGGTATTTCCAGATTGTCCTGCAAAAGAGTAGGGCCAGTTCTTAACTCCTGACAGCAGTGTATAAAGGTACCCACTTCTTGGCTGGGCGCGGTGGCTCACGCCTGTAATCCCAGCACTTTGGGAGGCCGAGGCGGGCGGATCACCAGAGGTCAGGAGTTCGAGACCAACCTGCCCAGCATGGTGAAACCCCATCTCTACTAAAAATACAAAAATTATCTGGACGTGGTGGCAGGCGCCTGTAATCCCAGCTACTCGGGAGGCTGAGGCAAGAGAATCGCTTGAACCTGGGAGGCGGTGGTTGCAGTGAGCTGAGATTGTGCCATTGCACTCCAGCCTGGGGGACAAGAGTGAGACTTCATCTCAAAAAATAAAAATAAATAAAGGTATCCACTTCTTTTTTATCCTTGCTGACACCACATGTCTATTGTTTAACAAAAAGATTGTTAATTTGATGAATGATTGTTTTTAACTTACACTTATTATTTGTTAGTAAAACTTAACTTTTTTTATTTGTTTATTGGTTATTTTTCCTGTTTTGTAAATTGTTTTTTCGTATATGTTGTCCATTTTTCTGTTGGTTTATTTTACATTGAGTTGTTAGAGTGCATGTTTTGCAAATGGTTTTCCTATTTAATCGTTTGCCTTTTTAATTTGTTATTACTGTTTTGATAAGCAGAAGATTGTGTTTTTGTGTGTGTGGTTTTTTTTTTTTTTTTTTTTGAGATGGAGTCTTCTTCTATCACCCAGGTTGGAGTGCAGTGGTGCCATCTATGCTCACTGCAACCTCCGCCTCCCGGGTTCAAGCCATTCTCCTGCCTCAGCCTCCCAAGTAGCTGGGATTACAGGCTCGCACCACCACACCTGGCTGATTTTTGTAGTTTTAGTAGAGATGGGGTTTTACCATGTTGGCCAGGCTGGTCTCGAACTCCTGACCTCTAGTGATCTGCCCGCCTCGGCCTCCCAAAGTGCTGGGATTACAGGTGTGAGCCATCGTGCCCAGTGGAAGATAGTTTTTTATTTTATCCATCAATCTTTCTTTTTTAAAAACTAATGTCTTTTATATCTTTTGCTTTTGGCCTTCCTGAACCCAAGATAATGTGAATCCTTTATTATTATTTTTTTTTAACTTGAGGCTTTTTGTGATTTGCTAATAAGCCTCTTATAAATGTTTGCTATTACTTGGCTTTTTTTTTTGATGTAAGATATGAGGTAAGAATCTAATTCTTTTTCTTCAGGATTGGTATCTGGCTGTTTCAAGCCAAGATTGTAAGGTTCATGAAGGCAGATATCTTGTCTGTTTTGATCTTATTCCTGTTATGTAAGTAGGCACTTGAGGATGTGGTTTCTTGTTAAATATTTAATATTTAGAAAGGAAGTCAGTGGAAAATATTCATTTGTAATATTAATTCTTTGGGCATGCATCAGAATCACCTGAGGAGCACTTTTGAAGTCTGCTGAATCAAAATATAATCTCTTTTGCTATTATATATGTTTCTGTAACACAAATTTGCTCATATGCATATAGTGGGAGAATGATATTAATGTATCATGAAAGTCCTGGTGGTTCACCAAAGATCTTTCTTTATGCGTTAACATTTCTAAGTTCTCAGGAGTACGCTGTCTCATAATGAAAGAGAAAGGCTTCACAACACATGAAGACTTAAAAATATGTAAACATTCTGCATTTAGTTTTCATTTAGTGCGAGTAGTAGCTGGTTTAGTGAATTTAAGAACTGTTGTGCTTTTCACAGTGTTAGTGAAGATTCGAGCATTGAAAAGACAATGTGAAGACAAATTTTCTTGTATTTTTTTTTTTAATGTTGATAAAGGAGGGAGGGGGAGAAAAAAAGGTTGATAAAGATGGTTATACACCAAATCTGATTTTTTTTTCTTTTTTTTTGAGATGGAGTCTTGCTCTGTCACCCATGCTGGAATGCAGTAGTGCAATCTCAGCTCACTGCAACCTCTGCCTCCTGGGTTCAAGCCATTTTCCTGCCTCAGCCTCCCGAGTAACTGGGACTACAGGTGCCCGCCACCACGCCCAGCTAATTTTTGTATTTTTTAGTAGAGACGGGGTTTCACCATGTTGGTTAGGCTGGTCTGGAACTCCTGACCTTGTGATCTGCCTGCGTCAGCATCCCAAAGTACTGGGATTACAGGCATGAGCCACTGTGCCTGGCCACTGATATTTTATTTAGATGAAACATACTGGTTTATTTTGGAAGCCAATGACCTCAAGGATTTACATCTTAAGAGAGGAATCATAAACTCTAGGGCTTAAAGCTGCCAAAGATTGACTGTATGCCAGATGCAAAGGATACTGGAGCTTTAATTCTATTAAGTCTATTAGAGTTGTTATTGCTTTTATTGGTGTTTTCCTTACAGAATTGTACAGGTTTTAGGGTATAGCCATAATCTTATTTTCCCAGAAGGCCTCTTAGATTCAGCGCATACTATTAGAGAATATGAGGCTTTTCATCAGTGTATATTAGCTGAAATATCTGTACTAAGGTGTTTTGAAGCAACTGTCCAGTTATCTCTTGTATGCATTCTTGACTCAGAACTATTGACTTTTCACAGTTCCTTAATCATTATTTAATACATTTTAGGGTTCTGTAATCCTGTGAACTACCCTCATTGTAGGTTTCTCATAGTCTAAGTAAAATTAGTACTCTAAAATTTATCTGTTTTATAATATTGCTTATGTCTTTACAGCAGACTGGAAATTAATAGGGTGTGTGTGGATGTGTGTTGGAGGGTAGTGGATTTTGGGTGAAGCGGCTTTCATTCTGCTACAGCTCTGCTGATTTGGAGGCACAATGGGATGTTTTTGGCTAAGGAAATGTTATGTATGCTGTAGTGTGGGCTTTATGAAAGTAGGCCTAGAGATAGTAGCAACTGAAGTTCCTAGGTCACTTCTCTGACTTGTGTACCTCAGTTTTGGTTTGGAAAGCCTAAAAACTTTTGATAGGAACACTTGGCCATGTTATAGTTGTTAAGTTGGGTGGACACACAGGTTTTACCTGGAATAATACTATTTCCCAGCCAGTTGTTCAGACCATTTGAAGAGCCGTTGCAAGGAAATGGCTGAGAAGTTGGTATCTTCCTTTGTCATGATTGCATTATTTACCTATAAATTCTCTATAATTTCAGTATTGTTATACTAGAGGCTGATCAACACTAACTCACCTCACTTTGTATAGCTTTTAGGGTCTTCAAAATAGTACATGGTATATCTAAACTATAAAAGTGAGGTGAGAATTTGCATGTATGTGAATATGAAAGTTACTACTAAAAGTTTCATTAGACAAATAGTACACATGGCTCTGCTGTGGTTTAAAACTGACTTTTTCATTTAAGGCAATCTGGACTCTATTAGTGAGAAATAAATTGTTTTTCTTGGTTTTATTCTCTAAAGGATCCAGCATTCGGAGGCAAACATGAAGCTCCATCCTCTCCAATTTCGGGGCAACCATGTGGAGATGATCAAAATGCTTCACCTTCAAAACTCTCAAAGGAAGAGTTAATACAGAGTATGGATCGTGTAGATCGAGAAATTGCAAAAGTAGAACAGCAGATCCTTAAACTGAAAAAGAAACAAGTAAATGTCTTTGCTTAATATATTCTAAGAATGTATGTTTGTCTCCCTACAGTAGATATTTTTGAGTTTTCCATATTTTGAAACTTTACATAAAAGGAATCATGCCTTATATATTCGGACTTGCTGTTTTTTTGCTACTGTTGTGGTTTTCTTACATTCATTCATTTTCCTTGCTGCACTGTCTGATTATATGATTGTAGAGAGTGAAATTTGTTTGTCCATTCTATTTTTGATTTTTTTTTTTCTATTCCATACAATGGTGCTGGTTTTTGGTTCACATGTAGAGATTTTCTAGGGCATGTGCCCAGGAATGGCAGTGCTTGGCCCAAGATTATGTACAGTGAACTATTTAATAGATGATACTAAATTTGCTAAGAAGTAACACCATTTTACATTCCTACTGGCAGCTTATGTGAGTACCGGTTTGTGCACATTTTTGCCTTTGCTTGATATCGTTTTTTCAGTTGGATATGAAATAGTCTTCTCTGTGGTTTGGAAGGAGGCTGAGCTTATTTTCATTTGTTTATGGGTTATTTGGGTTCCTTATGTGCATTGTTCAAGCGTTTTGTCTATAGTCTCCTATTTTGTCATTGAAATTTTTAGGATTTCCTGAAGTCCCTTGTCAGATATGTGTATAGAAGATTTGCCTAGTTTTTGGCCTGTCACTTCACTTTTAGCCCAGTATTCACTCTAAGTGTAGACTAAGTGCATTTTAGTGCATTTTTTTTTTTTTTTCCAGATTTGGAGTCTCACTCTGTCACCGAGGCTGGAGTGCAGTGGTGCGATCTTGGCTCACTGCAACCTCTGTCTCCCAGGTTCAAGTGATTCTCCTGCAACAGCCTCCCGAGTAGCTGGGACTATAGGCACTTTAAGTGCTTTTAATGTATTCATAAAGTTGTACAGCTATCACCACTCTCTAATTCTAGAACATTTTTATCATTTCAAAAAGAAACTCCATACCTACTAGCAGTTACTCCCCATTTCCCCTTTTCCCCAACCCCTGGCAGCCACTAGTCTATTCTCTGTCTCTATGGACTAGCATGTGCCAAATATCAGAAAAAACAGAATCATATGTGACCTTTTGTGTTTGGCTTCATTTATTTAGCATGTTGTCCTGATTCATCCATGTCGTATCTTGTGTCAGCACTTCATTACTTTATATGCCTGAATCCCATTGTGTGAGTTTACTATGTTTTGTTTATCCATTCATTAGTTGATGGATATTTGAGTTGTGTTCATTTTTTGACTATGATTAGTGATGTATTGTGATGAGATTCATGTACTCGTTTTTGTGTGGTCGTATTTTTACAATTTTCTTTATATATCTAGGAGTGGGCATATGGTAAATCTATGTTTAAATTTTTGAAAAACTTCAAAACTGTTTTCCAAAGTCTCTGTACCATTTTATATTCTTACCAGCAGTATATGGAGGTTCCATTTTTTCCTACCTCCTTGCCAACATCTGTTATTTTCCTTTTTTAAAAAAATATAGCCATCCTTGGAGATGTGAAGTGGTATCTAGTTGTAGTTTTCATTTGCATATCCTTAATGACTAATGATGTTGAGCATCTTTTCATGTGCTGATTGGCCATTTGTATATCTTTTTAGATAAATGTTCATTTAGATTGTTTGCTCATTATTTAATTCGGTTGTCTTTTTGTTATTCTAAGAATTCTTTATATATTCTGGACATTAGTTCCTCATCAGATGTATGACTTAATAGATATTTTCTCTCATTCTGTGGGTTCTTTTCACTTTCCTGGTAGTATCCTTTGATGTATAAAAGTTTTGAATTTTGTTGAAGTCCAGTTTGTTTTTTCCTTTTGTCACTCTTACATTTGGTGTTTTATCTAAGACCCATTGCCTAATTCGCGGTCACAGATTTATACCTGTGTTTTCTTCTACACATTTTATAGTTTTACCTCTTATATTTGAGTCTTTGATCCTGATAGTATTTTTTTTGGTGAACAGAATTTGTTTAGGTTTTATATGAAAACCCCCTGGGGTTATTAAGGTAGTTTTACTATATTATTTTTTAGAAGTTTTATAGTTTTGCTTCTCATCTTATTCTTAATCCACTGGAAACTACATGTTGTATAGTCAGTGTTCATTTATGTTTACCCACATATTTGTCTTCTTATGTGCTCACCATTTCTTCTCGCAACTCAAGTCTTCCATCGAAGGGAACACCCTTCTACTGAAGAACATCTCTTAGAATTTCCTTTAGTGAAGGTCTCTTAGTTGGCAAATTCAGTATTTGTTTGGTTTTTATGACTTAAATATTGTCTTATATTTGGCCTGTTTATTAAAAGATATATTTATTAATTTGGTATGTGATTATTTTTTCTTAGTACATTGTCTTCTTGCTTCCATTTTTAAGACATTAGCTCTTGGTCTAAATCCGTATTCTTTCATGGATAGTGTGAATTTTCTCTCAGGTTGTTTTCAGTATATTCTTTTCTTCGGGGTTCTGTTATTTTTATGATGATACATTTAGGTGTTTTTTTTTTTTCCTTTTAAATCTGTCCAACCTGATATTCCTGAATATGAAGGGTGGAGTTTTTCATCACTTTGGGAAAATTCCAAGCCATTATCTTTTTTAGAAAACCTTTCTAACAGTTTCTTGTTCTACTTATGAAATTCCTGTTAGTTGTAACATCTTATCACTCTTGTCTTCCGTGTCTCTTGTTTCTCTTTCTTATTTTTAACTTCTTTGGGCTTCATTCTGAGCAATTTCTTCAGCCTGTCTTCCAGTTTACATTTTCCTTTTCAATTATATGTAATCTGCTGTCAAATCTGTCTTCAATTTCAACAACTATGTTTTTATTGCTGGAATTTCTGTTTGGCTCCTTCTCAAATCTGCCTGGTCATTAAAAAAAATTTTTTTTTTGCTTTCATTGAGTTGTATTAAATTTTTATTATATGCCCAACAATTCTAATTAAGTCTTTACTGGTTTGATTTCGCTGAGTCTCTTTTCTTTTCTTTCTTTTGTCTTTTATTTTCTTTACTTGTACAATGGTAATAATCTAGTAATAACACCAACTAAATCACATGATTGTTTTATGAATTGAGATAATGAATATATTGCATAATATCTGGTACATAGTAAATGTACATGCAATCCACTATAATAATTAGAAATAATGAAATATAATGTATGATTATTATGAAATGTACCAGAGCCACACATTTTATTGAGAGATATAAAAGACAACTAGAGAAAACAAAGAAATATGCCATAGCTGGATGGAAACAGTGATAATAATGTTCTGTGTTCATCTTGGACTAAATCATGTCTCACACAATTTCAATAAAATTTCAATTAAATTTATTTTTAAAACATGGCAAATACATTGTAAAGTTAATGTAAAAGAACAAACAGGGCCAGGCTCGGTGGCTCAACCTGTAATCCCAGCACTTTGGGAGGCCGAGGCAGGCCAGATCACCTGAGGTCAGGAGTTCCAGACCAGCCTGGCCAACATGGCAAAACCCCACCTCTACTAAAAATACAAAAAATTAGCTGAGTGTGGTGGCGGGTGCCTGTAATCCCAGCTACTCTACTTGGGAGACTGAGGTAGGAGAATCACCTGAACCCGGGAGGCAGAGGTTGCAGTGAGCTGAGATTGTGCCACTGCACTCCAGCCTGGGCAAAAAGAGTGAGACTCCATCTCAAAAACAAAAACAAAAACAAAAACAGGTGAGGGAGTGTGTGTGTGTGTGTGTGTGTGTGTGTGTGTGTGTGTGTGTCTGTGTGTGTTTGCTTTTAGCCTTTGAATTATAATGGTTTTGTCCCAGGGCTATTTGGGTACTAAGAACAAAGTGTGATTTGTTTATTCCTTAACAAGGATTCTAAAAGAAGGCCCTCTAAGCAGGAAAGAAAGGGAATCATTGAAGAACCCTTTACCATAAAAATGATCTCAGAATTTCAAATATCTTTCTTTTGCTTGTACAGATAACAGACTGCAAGAGTACTTATAATTCCAAAGTGGAAGTGTTCCTTACAGTTTAGACTCTCCTGGTGGCTATTTATTATTATTTTTTTAAATTTTTTTCGAATTGGGCAGCCTCCTGAGCCAGAATAGGTTCAGAAACTCCCTCTTGGTAGATTTTTATGCTTTCATTTGGGCATGGTCTGATTTACAGTACTGGGAGCTTTGACTGTCACTCTTATTTATTTAGTTTTTTTGAGATGGAGTCTCCCCCTGTCGCCCAGGCTGGAGTGCAATGGTGCGATCTTGGCTCACTGCAACCTCCACCTCCTGGGTTCAAGCGATTCTTCTGCCTCGGCCTCCTGAGTAGCTGGGGTTACAGGCTTGCGCCACTACACCGAGCTAATTTTTTGTATCTTTAATAAAGCAGGAATTTCACCATGTTGGCTAGGCTGGTCTTGAACTCCTGGGCTCAAGTGATCTACCGTCTTGGCCTCCCAAAGTGCTGGGATTACAGGTGTGAGCCATTGCACCCGGCCTATCAGTCTTATTTAGTAGTATAGATAATTTTTGCCTATAGACTATACTAGACTTAACCTTAATTTGTCTTTACCTAATTTTTCTTTTATCATCTTAGGTAGTGGACTTATGCTAAATTTATTCGTGTGGATATTTTTAAAGCATTAACTAGGTGTCAGGCACTGGTTTAGGTGTTGAAAAAAAGCAGCGGACAAAGCAGACAAGTCCCTGCTTGCTTCACTAGTAATACTCGGTAATATTTACAATTTATAATTGTAATATGCTTTATATATACGTTAAGTCATTTAGTCCTTTCAAAAAGCTGTATGATAGGTAGTATTATTATCCCTACCTTATTTATGAGTAGTTTAGGTGTTTGCTTAATATTGAGTTAAGGGAGCCAGGCGTGGTGGCTCACAGCGGTAATCCCGGCACTTTGAGAGGCCAAGGCAGGTGGATCACCTGAGGTCAGGAGTTCGAGACCAGCCTGACCAACATGGTGAATCCCTGTCTCTACTAAAAAAATACAGAAATTAGCCGGGCATGGTGGTGGCCGCCTGTAATCCCAGCTACTCAGGAGGCTGAGGCAGGAGAATCGCTTGAACCCTGGAAGCGGAGGTTGCAGTGAGCGCCATTGCACTCCAGCCTTGGTGACAGAGCAAGACTCCATCTCAAAAAAAAAAAAAAAGATTGACCTAAGGACCCAGAAAGGTTCCTAGGATCACACCACCTGTAAAGGGTGACCCTGAGGCTCAAACCCAGGCACGGTAATACAGTTAGCTTTTTCTTTATACTTGCACACACCAATAGTCTATATTTTTGTAATTTTGTTGATTGCCCTTTGACCGGAGCACTGTAACACATGAAGATTGGGTGTTGAGGGTGGCATGGTGCCATGCTGAGTTAAGGGTTAACCCTTGATCTCCTTTCTACCATATTCTGCCCAGCAAATATTAATGTATACTGTGTATCTATAACATATAAGAGTGTTTTTTCAGTGCTGTCAAAGGTCATTGTGATAGAGGTATGTAGAGTACCTTCATTAAATTTAACTTCTCTTATTATTTTGCTTTAAGTTTGTCAGAATTAAAATCTTTTTTTTTTTTTTTTTTTTTTGAGATAGAGTTTTGCTCTTGTTGCCCAGGCTGGAGTGCAGTGGCGTTATCTCGACTCACTGCAACCTCCACCTCCCGGGTTCAAGTGATTCTCCTGCCTCAGCCTTCTTAGTAGCTGGGATTACAGGCATGCGCCACCATGCCCAGCTAATTTTGTATTTTTAGTAGAGATGGGGTTTCTCCATGTTAGTCAGGCTGGTCTCGAACTCCCGACCTCAGGTGATCCACCTGCCTAGGCCTCCCAAAGTGCTGGGATTACAGGCATGAGCCACTGCACCCGGCCCAGAATTAAAATCTTAAAGGATGCTTCCTCTTAGTTTTTTTTTTTAAACTCTATCTAATGAAAATTTGTGTTGTTTGGTTATGAAATAAATCTGATTAATTCTCTTTGAGCTCTTGGTCCATGAGACCTTCATGGATTAATTGGTTACCCTACAGAATCTGCAAGCAAAGCTTAGTAGCCTGTGTTATCTCCAGTGGTTAATCACTGCTGGGTGTGGTGTGCAGCACATGCTTGACTCTTTCTTTCTGGATCTCTTAGCAACAGCTTGAAGAAGAGGCAGCTAAACCTCCTGAGCCTGAGAAGCCCGTGTCCCCTCCTCCTGTGGAGCAGAAACACCGCAGTATTGTCCAAATTATTTATGATGAGAATCGGGTAAGCTCATACCATCTCTGGCAGCACAGGCCTTTAACCCCACTTGACGATGCCCTTTTCAGTTTTGAATGTATCCTGGTATAATTTTAACTTTATTAAAACCTGATTTCTCTTACAATTTTGAATGTTCATAAACTTTGGCTGACTGAAGCTTGGTGTTTTTTTCCTTATCAATTGAAAGAAAGTTTACAGTTGTGCCTTAAATTATGTAATATTTCATTTTACATTATGTATTTTATAAATATTTAATCAGTGAAATTTTGTCAGCTGAGTCTCCTATTATATGAATTCTGGCAAGGAAGCTTGGTAGCATATAATACAAAACAACCATCCTGCAGTTTTTCACTTAATAAATGATGTTTAATGCTGACTACTGATAACATTTCAGTAAAGATAGGTCATTGCATGTGGAAATGAACTTTCTTATCAGCATTAGTTCACAGTCGATAGTTGGGCTATGGTTTGAACTTCAGTTAAAAAGTTCAAGGCGGGGCATGGTGGCTCATGCCCATAATCCCAGTACTTTGGGAGGCCGAGGCGGGTAGATCACTTGAGGTCAGGAGTTCGAGACCAGCCTGGCCAACATGGAGAAACCCTGTCTCTACTAAAAATGCAAAAATTAGCCAGGCGTGGTGGCGCATGCCTGTAGTCCCAGCTACTCGAGAGGCTGAGGCAGGAGAATCGGTTGAACCTGGGAGGTAGAGGTTGTAGTGAGCCGAGATTGAGCCACTTCAGTCCAGTCTAGACAACAGACCAAAACTCAAGTCTCAAAAAAAAAAAAAATCAAAGTTCAAGGTAGATTTTGACCTTTAGGTAGACTTTGCTTTTTTAGGTTTACTCTCATACTCTTAATTAAAAATATTCATGGATTCAGAAACACCAGGCATGAATTCTATGAATCATTTTTGTAGTATCAAAGTTAGTTTTGGCCAGAATATGGCCCAGGAACTAGCAGTTAGAGGGAAACTGATTTTACCTCAACATGAAGAAAGTGTCTGTTTAACAGTGGGCTTCCAGAAGTCCACAGTGCAAAAAATGATAATATGCTTTATACTGTGGGATAGAATAGGGTTTTTAGCTAAAGGCATGATCATCAGGTAAAATTTGGGATTGTTGTTTTGATTGATTTGATTTGTAGTGAGTGGATTCATCTGTCAGTCTATCTTACACATACAGTCTGTAACTTTATAGTAGTCCACAGCCGAAAGGAAATTGACCTTAAATAAAGCAATTGTGAATTAATAAATATTTATGCACATGTACTCCTGAATTTAAAAGTTGAATAAATAAATAAATAAATACACATTTATAGGAATGATCTTGGATTTAGATATACATGTATCAAGTAGATAACTGAGAGTCATCAGAAATATACTTACGGTAATGGTAAGTGTTATGGGCAGGTAAAAATATGGGCAATTAATATTATTTTCTTGGCTGGGTTCAATATTAGTCCAATTTATTGTATGGCCACAGCAGTCTACATGAAGATAAATCCAGTAAAGGAAGGGAAGGAGGTGACCATGCCTAAGATGGGGGCTGTGTTCCAGGATATACAGTTGCTCCCTTGTTTAAGAAAAGCCCAAAATAATGGGGTTTTATGTGAAATCTCTGATTTGTTTTTTTAAAAAAAAAAAGTCCTCTGCATAGCTGCAAAACACTTTTGTGGGCTCATGGGCTCCATGGCCAGTTTGTGACTGTGACCTCAGGGATAAAATAAATAGGAATTAGTGGTGATACAAATGGAGATTTGATAGTTTTTTTTTTTAAGTTTTATAAAATGTTTCTTTTTTAGTATGAATTATTTTTCAAATAAATTGGATTTGGTAATAATTATTAATGGATTTATTAATGAGCCTTGTCTTACAATATTAGTGAATTCTGTGGTTGCCTCACTGGGATTTGAGGACTGAATACTATTGAACAAGATCTGATCTAATAGAGAATTTAATTGGTGTTTAATTTTTATATATAGATGTTTTTATTAATTAGTATAGTGTTTCTTGGTGCACATTAGCAAAACTTGAAAACTCCTTTTGCACCTCTTCTTTCTGTTTGAACATTTCCATATTTGGTTTGTTGTTTATTTTATGAAGAAAACCAAATCTGAAACCTGTTTCAGTGTTAAACTTGCCTTCCTACACTGAAGATTGTTTCTAACCCACAACAACTATAGAAGTCATCTTTCTTTTCCTTTTTTCTTTTTTCTTTCATTTTTCTTCTCCACCCTCTCCTTTCTTTTCTCCCCCTCCTCCTCCCTCTCCTTTCCTTCTTTTCTTTTCTTTTTTTTTTCGCTTTCCTTCTTTTCTTTTCTTTTTTTTTTCGAGACAGAGTTTTGCTTCGTCCCCGAGGTTGGAGTGCTGTGGCGCAATCTCAGCTCACTGCAACCTCCACCTCCCAGGTTCAAGCAATTCTCCTGCCTCAGCCTCCCAAGTAACTGGGATTACAGGTGTGAGCCACCACAGTCAGCTAATTTTTGTATTTTTAGTAGAGATGGGGTTTTACCGTGTTGGCCAGGCTGGTCTTGAACTCCTGGGCTCAAGTCATCTACCCATCTTGGCCTCCCAAAGTGTTGGGATTACAGGCGTCAGCCACTGCACCAGGCCTCTTTTCTTTTATTCCTTCTTTTCTTTCTAACAGACAGTGTCTCATTATGTTGCCCAGGTCTTGAACTGCTGGCTTCAGGCGATCCTCCTGCCTCAGTCTCCCAAAGTATTGAGATTACACGTGTGAGCCCCCATGCCTGGCCTCATCTTTTCTTTCTTATGTATGTTTTATACATGTACCTGTGCAGTTTCAGAATTGTAACAGGGAGCTCCCGGAGGGGAGGAGGAGAGCACAATGGGCCTAGAACCCAGGCTTTCTGATATGTACTCCCCAAGGCTTTTTCTGCCCCAGTATGCTGCCTTTTGAAAGGCCCTCCCTGCCTCTTTTAACATTTTTTAATGAATGAGCTTATCTGTTTCAGCACCATAGGCAAGGAGGAATGGGGTAATTACAGAAGTACACCTCCCTCTTATTTCTTGGGTGGCAGCAGTTACACTAGTTGGAATTAAGCCAAGTGTGGCTTAAGAGATCGAGGGACCATTTCTTTTATTTAGAAAGGTAGTGGGAGGAAAAAAACTGCCCCAACGTGTTAATTTTAAAGTTGACTTCCTGAGAAAAGTTGACTTGCATCATAGTTAAATTTCAGTCTAAGTTTGTTTAGTCTCTAAACAGACTATTTTTAACAGTTCAATTTGATTTTACCCTATCAGTTGTAAGTTCCAAAAATATTTGTAAATATTCTAATTTCAGAAGAATAATACGTATAGAAAAGTGATTATTGTTGGGCTCTACTAGAGAAATTTGCAGAATATCTTTGTGGGTGTGTGTGTGTGTGTGTGTGTATTTTTTTTTTTTTTTTTTTGAGACACAGTCTTGTTCTGTTGCCCAGGCTGGAGTGCAGTGGCACGATCTTGGCTCACTGCAACCTCCACCTCCCGGGTTCAAGTGATTCTCCCGCCTCAGCCTCCCAAGTAGCTGGGATTATAGGCACATGCCACCATGCCTGGCTAATTTTTGCATTTTTAGTAGAGATGGGGTTTCACCATGTTAGCAGGCTGGTCTTGAACTCCTGGACTCAAGTGATCCACCTACCTAGGCCTCCCAAAGTGTTGATATTACAGGCGTGAGCCACCATGACCTGCCTTGTTTATATTTTGACGGGTTGATTTGCAAGAGAATGTGACTTCAGAAGAAAGAAAAGGGTGATGGTAGGAAGTATATTCTGTGCCAGCACCTCTGGTCATCTAGGCCAGCATCCTAGGAATTATCCAGTTCTCTCTCTTTGCCACTTCATGTATGTTGAGGTAATCAGTGAAGAGCGTTAGTCCCACCTCCTAAATATTGGTCTGGTCTTACGCTTCTTTCCTCTACCTTTATCATTAGCTTAATTTGAGCCTTCATCTCCCACATAGTTATTGAGTCTCACGCTTCAGTCCTTTCTTTCTAACCCATCTTTCATATTTTCGTCCCATTTAATGATTCTCCAAATAGAACCTTTTTATGATTTCCCACTTTATACAGAATAGCCGAAGCCTTTATTGATGTTTACATGCTTACCCGCCTGGCCCTTGCCCCATACTCTTTTCTTAGTAATATCCCACCAGAAGAGGTTTTGGATGTTCCCTTGTTAGCAATATCTTTACCCCGCTATGTTGCCCCTGCTGTCAGGTGGCCCCGTGTTTTGTCTTTTCTGCCAAGCACACTGTTACCTCAAGCCCCAGTTCAAGTATCATTTTCTCTAGGAAGACTTTCAAGACCCCTCATCTTCCTGTGGTGGGAAGGCTTATCTTATTCATTATTTTCTTAGTGTCTAGTGAGTGCTTGGCACATAGAACATACCGAACATATGTTGAAGAATTATTTACTTCTATCTGTAGACTTAGAATACAAATTGTATTACGAACATATGAGGGTCTTAAGTTAAAATTTTTGTTGCCAAAATATTGATAGATTAATCTTAGCAAGGGAAGATTTTTGCTAGGTAACACTTTGGTCTGGATTATTTTACTTTTGAAAATAGCAACTGGGTGCTGTGGCTCACACCTGTAATCCCAGAGCTTTGGGAGACTGAGATGGGGGCATTATTTGAGTCCAGGAAGTTGAGGCTGCAGTGAGCTATGATCGTGCCATTGTGTCCCAGCCTGGGCGACAGAGTGAGACCCTGTCTCAAATAAAAAAAAAAAAAAAAAAAAAAAAAGGAAATAGCATATTACAAATACATATAATTCAGCATTTTTTAACTACTGAGCACTTTGAATAATTCAAATTAGCGGTTTTCTTTGTTGTTCAGCTATTACTAAGGATTCCTTGTAACTAGAAAATTAGCTCATTAACAGCTTTTCTTCAAAGAGATCAATGTTGCTCACCATAGTAAAGAGTGGCCATTTTATGGTATTTTATTGCTTTAAGTTTCTATTAAAGATGATATGAGTTAAAGTATGTAGAATGTTTGGGGGATTTATTTCTAATAGTGAATTTTCATTCCCTCTCTCCAGTTTTTTAATATAATTGTTTGCTTTTTTAAAACTTACCTATTATTCAGGCATTGCTTTCAATACAAATGTTAAGTTTTGACTGAATTTGGTGAGGAAAGCTATGACAATACAATTTCAGAGTTTTCTATCATTGTAACTACAAATTAAGAAAAAATAAAAAATAACTGGAGCATATTTCAGCCTGTCATATAGAAGAAGGATATTTGGAAATAAGGATAAGTTCATCTATAGATTAGTCTTAGATAAATATTTCTAAATAATTATTTTGCACTTAGATAATGTAATTTTTAATTATATGATACAACAATGTCTTTATCTCTAGAAAAAAGCAGAAGAAGCTCATAAAATTTTTGAAGGTCTTGGCCCAAAAGTTGAACTGGTAAGTAAATTTTTTCATTTCCAGTGATTTTTTTTTTTAATTTTTGGTGGTAGTTTTTCTTGGGATAAGATGGAATATGATCCATTTATTTTGGGATAAGAGAGATGTAGCTGAGCAGAGATGTAGCTTGAGATGAAGTTTAAAGTAATGATGAGTGAACTTGGTTACCTTTGCAGACCTTTGCAGAAACATCACCCTGAGCTTGTTTTTGCTTGAGCAGCTATTTAATCCTTCCAGGCAGAATGAGAATTAAGAACAGAATTAGAAAGCTCTTTGAATGTTACTGTTAAAATAGTGACAATGGTTAATACTCCCTAGTATTAGGGAGTATTAATACTTTGAAATTAAAAATCTGTGCATAAATATACTTATGGGAAACAATGGATTTATAAACTGTATTATGGGAGTGACAGGAGATGGGATTAACAGTTACTCAGGGAATCTAAAAGTTAGGAGGTTTTGCCACAATGAGATACCATCTCATACCAGTTAGAATGGCAATCATTAAAAAGTCAGGAAACAACAGGTGCTGGAGAGGATGTGGAGAAATAGGAATGCTTTTACACTGTTGGTGGGAGTGTAAACTAGTTCAACCATTGTGGAAGACAGTGTGGCAATTCCTCAAGGATCTAGAACTAGAAATACCATTTGACCCAGCGATCCCATTACTGGATATATACCCAAATGATTATAAATCATGCTACTGTAAAGACACATGCACACGTATGTTTGTTGCGGCACTATTCACAATAGCAAAGACTGGGAACCAACCCAAATGTCCATCAATGATAGACTGGATTAAGAAAATGTGGCACATATACACCATGGAATACTATGCAGCCATAAAAAAGGATGAGTTCATGTCCTTTGTAGGGACATGGATGAAGCTGGAAACCATCATTCTGAGCAAACTGTCGCAAGGACAGAAAACCAAACACTGCATGTTCCCACTCATAGATGGGAATTGAACAATGAGAACACTTGGACACAGGGCGGGGAACATCACACACCGGGGCCTGTCAGGGGGTGGGGCATGGGGGAGGGATAGCATTAGGAGAAATACGTAATGTAAGTGATGAGTTAATTGGTGCAGCAAACCAACACAGCACATGTATACATATGTAACAAACCTGCACGTTGTGCACGTGTACCCTAGAACTTAAAGTATAATTTAAAAAAATAAGTAAATAAAAAAATAAAAGTTTGGAGGTTTTGGTAGGGCATGTTATTGTGTAGATCCATTAGTACTTTACCTGTGCTTACATTAAAATTATGTTTCTTTGTCTCTTCATAGACATATGTACAACATTTTATACATAAATATTTGATTTCTTTTATAGCCACTGTATAACCAGCCATCAGATACCAAGGTGTACCATGAGAACATCAAGACGTAAGTATTGATCATCTTTGGAGTTCTTCAATTAAAGACCGTATATTCTATAAAGAGATCATTTTTGTTATCTGCTGACATTATTATAATATATTGTAGGTATGTTTTAGATTTGTGTAATTTGCTGTCGTTTTATTATATGTTATCTTCCTCTGGCTTCTTGGGGGTTGGGGTAACAGCTTTGAGTTTCCGAGGCCAAAAAATGAAATAAATTATTGCATAAAACTAGCTGGTTTTATAATCTGCTAGTAAAAAAGGTGGATACTTAACATTGAAATGGCTTACCTTGAGGCTTGAATTTTTTGCCTCCTGTTTTGTCTTTTTTTCAGTGGAGTACCTGCAAGGCGCATGATGAAGTAAGATAATGAAGCTTTTTCATTTAAGACTAGTGATGACACCGTCCCCCACCAAGCCACATCTGCCATTGCAAAGTAGAAGTGCCACGGATCATTTTATCATTATTCAAAATCCTATTCTAGGGAAATCCCTTCCATGACTCTTGCTAATGACGGTATTTGTAGACCCTTCTGCCATTTAATGTCCTGGTGCCTTGGAAGCGCTCAGTCACCTTGTGGGTGACGAGGCTGCTCCAGAATGTAGTTTGCTTAGCCTTGCTCATCCTAGTACCAGGCCTTTATGGATGCAGATTTTGGAATAAGAAAATAAGTGAAAAGAAAATCTAATTTCTTGATCTGATTGAAGTAAGAGAGGAAGCTAGATAGATATCTTTTTTTTAAAAAAAAAATTATACTTTAAGAGAATTTTAGGTGCATTATTCTTAGTTTGTGACAAAAATGTGATATTTCTACTTTATATGTTTTATTAAGTATAAGCAGAACATAATTATTTACTAGTATGGTTACTAATGAGCACATTGCTATTTATTTTATATATATATATTTATTTTTTTCTTTTTAAAAATTTCTTAACTGAGAGTATGTGCAATTATTGACTACTTTGCAGAACTGGTGGCAAATATAATTTGCATGGTAGTATGCATGAAAACAATTGAATTTGAATAATTTTAACTTTTGTTAAGTAAGTGGTTCATAATAAAAGTTATGTATTTGTCAATTTTTCTGTGAGATGCTACTATGATCTTGAGAACCCTTAGAAGTAAGTTAGTCAAAACTCACATATAATATACCTTGCTTTGGAACTGCTTAGCTGTTTTAACATTTTTAAAGAGTAGAAGAGCAGATAAGATCTAGTTGGCTACTTAATGACTTTTTTTTTTTTTTCCCACAAAGCCTCAGTGTTATGTTTGTGTTGTGTCCTGTTTCTCCTGATACAGTCTGGAGAGCAGCTCTGTCCGATTTATTTCATGTCATCTACATTGCCTATTTAGTGCTCAGCACACTATCCTAGATGGACTACTGACTGGCTGACTTCATTTAAATTCCTAGGAAACATTTAAGATTGTATTTGTTGATTGTCATTTGCTTTTGAGTAACGTATACTTAAAATTATAGCAAACTGAGTATATGGTAATGCTTCCCTGTACGACACCTTTTGGAATATTTCCTCAGCTGCATGCATCTGTATGAGTCATTCAGTAGCTATTCTTTCATCACCGTCATTTGCTTTGTATGAAATAGCAAATGTACATTTTAATAATTCTTTTCATCTCTTGGCTACTTTTTCATATAGCCAGCTCCTGCTTGTCCATACTTATTTGAGTGGAGCCAGTGTCACTGTTAGTCCTGAGTGGCAGATAATCCAAAAAATTACTTCTACTTGCCTTGGCTTTGTATTTATATTTGAATAATCAGCTTGAAATCCTTTCTGGAAGTAGGTGGGGTATAAATATTTATACTTGAACCTGCATGTCATTGTTTTTGAAGGTCACAATGCTTCCAATTTAAAAAGCGATTAAGATATATTAGAAATCTTCCTGTTTTGACACATTGCCCTCCATTACTTCTTAGAGTGGATTGTGTCATTCTGTGACTGAAGAAAATCTTCTGTTTAAAGCAGAAGTCACCTATCTCTACATATGTTGGTATACATTTTCCTCGTAGAAGGGAGGTTAGCACCTGATGTAGGGAGGTAACTGTAAAAATGTTTCCTTCTCTTCTACCTCCCTTCTCCAAAGAGTAAGATGTTTATGTCACCAGAGTTGTTAAGAAGGATAAGTAACTGTAATTTTAATTTGAAAATATTTGCCTTATAATTGGATGTGCTAATTGAAAGTTAACTATTTTGTATTAAGTCTTACTGTAGAATGGGAGGAACTTTAGTCAGTTCTAATTTTTGCAAAAGTTATAAAATCTTATTTTGCAGGGTAAAAAAATTAGGATTAACTTTGTTTACATCATAAATTCTTAAGTGATCTTTGCCTATTTTCCAGTGTCTCTGGAAAAAAAGTGAATGCATTATTAAATTGTGCTTTTTCTTAATGTCATGCAACCATATTTTTCTCTTCTAGAAACCAGGTGATGAGGAAAAAACTCATTTTATTTTTTAAAAGAAGAAATCATGCAAGAAAACAAAGGGTGAGGTCCTATCCTTGTTAACTGAAATTTATACAGCTTTCCCATTCATGCTCATTTAGGCATTCACTTTCCTACTGTTAATGAGAGTGGTCCTTGACTCCATTTGAGGATAAGTGCTGATTTAGAAAGTAACCATATATATATATATATATATATATGACTTAAATCTAATTCTAGTAACATTTTGATACCATACCTTACATTTAATATTATCAAATTAATTTCATTGGTCATCTTTCTAGAACATTTTCATTTAGTCAAAATAAAACGGTGAGTAGTTTAAAAGAATATGAAAGATAATTTAGTTTCTTAAGCCTCAAACAGTTGTAGGTAAGTTGCAGTCATGCTGATGAGACATTACTATTCTTTCTTTTATTAGAAACGGGGTCAGCTAGGGTTCAGCTTTTTCAAATTCAAATGGTTTTCCATATTTTTTTATGACTTGCAGTCCAAAAGTTTTGTGGTTATATAATTTTCATGGGAATTAAATTATAGAAAATATAATGCCAGTGATTTTATTTTCATAATATGTTTATACTAATTTTACAGATACACTGTTAATACATTTAAACTGAAGTGTCTGCTAAATAAATGCTACTCTTTAAATCGACATCAAAAATGAACTTTGTGCCTAAAGTTAATGACCTGACAGTTTGAGTTGTAAAGCTCAAGAGTCAGCAGCTTTATTTGGTGGAAAACGTCTAATGTTCTAATTTGCCAGTCTGATCAGATACTGTCTTAAATTACTGGTCTTGAGTTGTTTTTTTTTTTTTTTTTTTTTTTTTTTGCCAAGAACATATAAATATCAAGTAAGAAATTAGCTCATGTATTTTTTTTTCCTTTCCAAGTAATTTTGTTGTAATTCTGGTACTCACTAAATAAGTTCACTGGTGATGCAAACACTGTAAGGTTTGTATTTTCACCGATTTGCTTAAATATCACTTGGCTGTGTACTCTGTCCCATATATTATTCTGCAAAGGTGAGCAAGATAGCCATATGGTTTTAGTAATTAGGGGGAGCCTAAGGTGATGGAAGTCAGACAGGTCAGTCCTAGTATTGGATCACACCGTGGTCATGGACTACGGATGACTGAGGAGGACACCTAAGGCAGATAGGAATTATGAGGGGACATTTCAGGGGAAAACCAATTCTCTGCAAACTTGTATACGCAGAGGGAGTGGCTTAAGTGAAGGTCTGGGAGCCAGAGGGAGTGTAGACTGAGCTGGCAGTGTGGTGAGAAATGAGGCTGCTGAGGGAAGCCAGAGCCAGGTTGTATACTGTCCTGGAGGTTGCATAATGTTTGGGTTTGCATTTTAAGAGTTTGCATTTAGCGGGGCAGGTGCAATGGCTCACGCCTGTAATCCCAGCACTTTGGAAGGCCAAGGAGGGCAGATCACTTGAGGTCGGGAGTTTGAGACCCGCCTGACCAACATGGAGAAACTCCGTCTCTGCTAAAAATACAAAATTAGCCAGGCGTGGTGGCGCATGCTTGTAAACTCAGCTACTCAGGAGGCTGAGGCAGGAGAATAACTTGAACCCGGGAGGCGGAGGTTGCAGTGAGCGAGATCGCGCCACTGCACTCCAGCCTGGGCAACAAGAGTGAAACTTGGTTCCAAAAAAAAAAGAATTTGCATTTAGCTACAACATTAAGAATGCATGGGAGCTATTGTTTTGATCTAGGTGAGGGATGGTGTTGGCCTGGATTATAAGGGTAGCAGTAGAAAGGAGAAAAGATGAAGGACACAGAAGACATATAGGAGTAATTGAGAAGTGGGAGTGGGGTGTGGTGTGGAATGTGAGAAAGATAATATTCTGTTCTCCAATGCCACTTTCTTAAGATGACCATGTTAGCAGTTTTTCATGAACCCTTCCTCACTTTCCTCTGTCCATGTGTCATCAGATATGTTGACAGTTCTTTGTCCATAATGGAGGGTTCGTCTGTCTTTTCTTCTCTATTTAGAAAATGGTATCATAATTCACTTACTTCTCTAAAAGCATTAATTCTCAATTTCACGTAGTTCACTGGATTTCTGTTTTTTGTTTTGTTTTGTTTTTGTCTGTTGCCCAGGTTGGAGTGCAGTGGTGCGATCTCGGCTCACTGCAACCTCCACCTCCTGGGTTCAAGCGATTCTCCCGCCTCAGCCTCCCAAGTAGCTGGGACTACAGGTGCCCACCACCACGCCTGGCTAATTTTTGTATTTTTAATAGAGACGGGGTTTCACCATATTGGCCAGGCTGGTCTCAAACTCCTGACCTTGTGATCCACCTGCCTTGGCCTCCCAAAGTGCTGGGATTACAAGTGTGAGTCACTGCGCCCAGCCTGGATTTCTTTTTATGATAAAGCACAACCAACCATTTTCTGCCTTTTTCATACTGTCAAAATGTTTGTTATATAGCATTATTTATTATAGCAAAAAATGGCAATCAACCAGAACCTCCAATAATAGATCGGTTAAAGCGTGTGTGTTTTGTTTCGCAGATTGGAAGGATAACAACAAAATGTTCATATGGTTGCCTTTGGGTAATTGGTCAGATTATGAACTATTTACATGTTTGTATTTTTAATTTTCCATTTTTTTGGGACAACAATGACATAATGTTTTAAGCAAAATAAAAGTAACTGGTCAGCTACTACTAGTAGTAGGTGTCAAGTAGTTTATAAATATGCATAGTCTTAATGTTAACTAAAAAATCCAGCCAACCTGTGCTCTATGTGTTGATCTTAGTAGGAAACAGAGCTACCTTTCCTCTCTCCTCTTTGTGCTTTTCGTTCACAGTTGAGTCATAAGCCAAATGTACTTCTGACTTAACCTTAAGAAGTAGCATTTATTTTAAAGTATTAGGTTTGTCAGAATCAGAGTTTAGTTTAATTATTATTAATTTGCTACGGATATTTAATAGGAACAAAAAATCTGCCAGCGTTATGATCAGCTCATGGAGGCATGGGAGAAAAAAGTGGACAGAATAGAAAATAATCCTCGGAGGAAAGCTAAAGAAAGCAAAACAAGGGAATACTATGAAAAGCAGTTTCCAGAAATTCGAAAACAAAGAGAACAGCAAGAAAGATTTCAGCGGTGAGTAGTTTGATGTTTAATGACTGTGATATTTTTCTTCAAATATTTATTGTTTCTTTTTTTTAAAAATTTTTTTAGTATGTATTGATCATTCTTGGGTGTTTCTCGGAGAGGGGGATTTGGCAGGGTCATAGGACAATAGTGGAGGGAAGGTCAGCAGATAAACATGTGAACAAAGGTCTCTGGTTTTCCTAGGCAGAGGACCCTGCGGCCTTCTGCAGTGTTTGTGTCCCTGGGTACTTGAGATTAGGGAGTGGTGATGACTCTTAACGAGCATGCTGCCTTCAAGCATCTGTTTAAGAAAGCACATCTTGCACTGCCCTTAATCCATTTAACCCTTAATGGACCCAGCACATGTTTCAGAGAGCACGGGGTTGGGGGTAAGGTTATAGATTAACAGCATCCCAAGGCAGAAGAATTTTTCTTAGTACAGAACAAAATGGAGTCTCCCATGTCCACCTCCCTCCACACGGACACAGTAACAATCTGATCTCCCTCTACTCTCGCCACATTTCCCCCCCTCTCTAGTCGACAAAACCGCCATCGTCATCCTGGCCGGCTCTCAATGAGCTGTTGGGCACACCTCCCAGACGGGGCAGCGGCCAGGTGGAGGCGCCCCACCCCCCGGATGGGGCGGCTGACTGGGCAGGGGCTGCCCCCCACCTCCCGGACTGGGCGGCTGGCTGGGCGGGGGCTGCCCCCCACCTCCCGGAAGGGGCGGAGACGCTCCTCACTTCCCAGACGGGGCGGCTGCCGGGCAGAGGGGCTCCTCACGTCTCAGACTGGGCAGCCGGGCAGAGACGCTCATCACCTCCCAGACAGGGTGGCGGCGGGGCAGAGACGCTCCTCAGTTCCCAGACGGGGTCGTGGCCGGGCAGAGGCGCTCCTCACATCCCAGACGGGGCGGTGGGGCCGAGGCACTCCCCACATCCCAGACGATGGGCGGCCGGGCAGAGACGCTCCTCACTTCCCAGACTGGGCGGCCAGGCAGAGGCACTCCCCACATCCCAGACGATGGGCGTCCAGGCAGAGACGCTCCTCACTTCCCAGATGGGGTGGTGGCCGGGCAGAGGCTGCAATCTCGGCACTTTGGGAGGCCAAGGCAGGCGGCTGGGAGGTGGAGGTTGTAGCAAGCCTAGATCACGCCACTGCACTGCAGCCTGGGCAACATTGAGCACTGAGTGAGCGAGACTCCGTCTGCAATCCTGGCACTTTGGGAGGCCAAGGTGGGCAGATCACTCGCGGTCAGGAGCTGGAGACCAGCCCGTCCAACACGGCGAAACCCCGTCTCCACCAAAAAATACAAAAACCAGTCAGGCGTGGTGGCGTGCACCTGCAATCCCAGGCACGAGGCAGGAGAATCAGGCAGGGAGGTTGCAGCAAGCGGAGATCATGGCAGTACAGTCCAGCTTCCGCAACAGAGGGAGACGGTGGAAAGCGGGAGAAGGAGAGAGGGAGAGGGAGAGGGGAGACCGTGGAAAGCGGGAGAAGGGGAGAGGGAGGAGATCATGGTGGTACAGTCCAGCTTCGGCAACAGAGGGAGACCGTGGAAAGCGGGAGAAGGAGAGAGGTAGAGGGGAGACCGTGGAAAGCGGGAGGAGAGGGAGAGGGAGATCGTGGAAAGCGGGAGAAGCGGAGAGGGAGAGGAGAGAGAGGGAGAGGGAGAGCTATTGTTTCTTGAAACTGATCATGAAGAAAGTTTATAAAGAATTTTTATGTTGTGGACACATAGGGGGAACAACACATACTGGGGCCTATTAGAAGGTGGAGGGTGGAGGATGGAAGGAGGGAGAGGGTTCAGGAAAAATAGCTAGTGGGTACTAGGTTTAATAGCAGAGTGATGAAATAATCTGTACGACAAATCCCCATGACACAGGTTTACCTATATAACAAACTTGCACATGTACCCACTAACTTAAAAGTTAAAAGAACTTTTATGTTGAAAAGAAAACTTTATTATCAACCAGTAAACATTATGTCTTAGTAAATTTAATTTTTATATTATCCTGTTGAATCTAAATGTAAGTGATTATTTTGAAATTAATTCTGAAGTTCCTAAAAGTATTACATCCTTTGGACATGACAGTGAGTAAGAACAGACCTAAATATCCTTTAGTCCTTCGTTACCAACATATTCAAACTATATTCAGCTGATGGCCAATTAAGAAATTCTTTGATAGATTCTGATTTGTTTTACTTTTAGCAAACAGATATTTTACAAAGATTTTAAAAGCTTTAATTTTCTTTTTTATTGTCTCATGTAAGAGTCATGTAAGCCCCTTAACTCACAATTAAATTTTTGTAAGGGATGTTGGTTGAGTTTTTTCTCTCCTTTTAAAAATGTTTCATGTATTTTTCTAAGTCTACTACAGGGCATACAAAGAATGCCATTTGAAATGGAATTGGCATCAATAATTATGACTTTCTAGAAGTTTTCCCTAACTAGTTCCACCATTTGAACATGAACATGTAACCTTCAAATCTCAATCGTAACATTTAAATTGTTATTAATAGGTGACACAGCATATTACTTAAAAGTATATACTCAATAGTATTTTATGTTTCTTCTCTTAACTTGGTTAAAAAGTTCCATTCAGAAAAGTAATCTATAGTTAATTTAATTGATATGTCTTTATATAAGGTCTTTAAATATATTTTTAATTTCTCCCTCATGTTTAGAGTTGGGCAGAGGGGAGCTGGTCTTTCAGCCACCATTGCTAGGAGTGAGCATGAGATTTCTGAAATTATTGATGGGCTCTCTGAGCAGGAGGTAAGAAAATAAATTTAATTCAAGTTAATTCGTTAATTATTAAAGCATTTTAACTCTGTAGGAGCTAAGGGTTTTTTTGTATGTAAATGTGGGAACTTAATTGAGTGCTAGAGTTTAGACTGTCAAAGATTTGAGTGTCTGTTAAAGGGTTTTTAAACGAGGCAGTCACACGATCATACTGGAATTTTACAAAGATGGCTTTGGCAGCAAGGAGACCTGGAGAGAGGTGAGGAGGCTGTTAGGATAAAAATAAGGTTCTGAATCAGGGCAACAGTGGTAGGGATGTATAGGCGAGTGTAATAGAAAGGTAGAATGGACAGGCCAAGATGGATGGGATGTGGGAGATGAGAAAGAGGAAGAATAGAATGTGACTCCCTTGTTTCTAGGTTAGAGGAGTAAGCTGGTGGTGCCGTTTCCTAAAGTAGCAAAGGAGCATGTATTTTACAAATGGCAGTATGTTCTTCAAAGGGTGTTGTCTAGCAAGTGAACCTGGGAGAGAGTTGAACTGGGGATGGTTAGATATCAGAGTCATCTGTCTGCAGGTGATATAGTCCCAGGTAAGTATGGTAACATGAAGTGAAAGGGGCAGGTGAATGAGAATATAGAGATTAAGTTTATATATGGAGGAGATTCATCTATGAACAAGAACGCCATTTCACTAATTTTTAAGGTGAAGATACTGTGTTGTAGCAAGTGGCATTACTTTGTTTTTCAGGCATTTCCTGCCTGTATAAAGAGCAGAATTAATAAAATTATGAAACAGGTAGTAGAGACCAAGGTATATGTTTGACAAATATATCTTCAGACCCAAAAGCAGTATTTCCTCCCTTGTGAAGCTTCCTCACTCACTTTCCCAAAACAGAACTCAATGTCTAGTCTCAGTTTACATTTATTTCTATTGTGCTTCTCTTTCTGTTTAATAAATATTTATGATCAGCTAAAGTGTCATCTTCATGAGTGCGGTTATTTTAAACCTTTGGGTCAGGCTATCTTTGAGTTCCTGTTGCCTAGTGTTTAATTGGATATTAATAAATAAATGCAGAATAAGAATAAATTTCCATTTCTAACATTGAATCTTTTTAGCCCTGTTCAAACTCTCAAGATTGTTCCAAAAGCCATCTAGTATTGACTGAGTTTTGCTAGTTTTGATTTTATTATATGCCTTTTCTTAAACCTCATCTCAAAATTCTGAGAGTCTTGTTTATTTGAAATAGTGGCCTTAAGTAATGATCAAAGATATTTTTTACCATGCTGTATACTTCAAAATAAATGTTAAGTAGACTTAAATATACAGTTAATACTCGATTTGCAAAATTAGGTGAAGTGGATTTAATCTAAAATGTTCAATGATTTAGAAATAATTTAGATAAGTAAAATTCCTGTTTTCATACTACTTAGCACATTTAGAAGTAAAAAGCAGTGTTATGACTTCCTCTGCTCTACCCTTTACTACTAGTTAACCTAGCCAGTACTTTTTCTCCTTTTTCTATGGGTATTGTTGGTTTAGGTTATGGTGGACTAACTACATCTTTGGTTTTTGAGGAGGGGGAGTTTGAGGGGTAGTTACTACTTAAAATTGCCAATTGTGATAAGCACCTCATATGTATTATTTAAACTGTGAAAATTCTGTGAAATGGAGGCTATAATTAATGGCTGTTTTGCAAGTTAAGAAACTAAAGCCCAGCTGCAGGTTAAATAATTCACCCAAGGTTACAAATTAATAAATAGTGGAGCCAGATACTCAACCCAGGCAGTCTGACTCTGGAACTGTGTGTTCTTTTCCATATCTATATTCAATCAAGTCTATTCTTTCAACAAATATTTATAGCCTATTATGTGCCAAACTTTCCTTTAAGCATTGGGAATACAATGGTAAATTAAACCATCAAGTTGCTTGATCTCATGAAAAATTACTTGTGAGACAGTTGCAGTAAGTTTTTCTCCAGGATGAAAAAATAGCCTCTTTGTACAGAGTTTGTCTTTGTGTTGATATATGTTGTAGGATTCTATCAGTATTTAATTATGATACCCTGTTTTGCATTCATAACTAAATAAAAGTATATAGTATGCTCTTATAAAAGTATATAGTATGCTCTTATAAGTTACTGTGTTTCAGAATTCTAGTTAAACTAGCCCTGGAGGAGGTATAGAACTATATAAACTATATCTCAGAGTTCCTTAAACCATTTTACTTCTCAGATTGTTCTTATACTGATCAAAATAGACTTCTACAGGTGGTTTTTCTTTCCTTTCTTATTTCTGATATTCTCCTTTCCCAAAGAGAGGATTCCAAGGTGATTTTTGGTGCATTGAAATACATAACTCTTTAGGGACAATTACAATATTTAGTCAGAGGTATATCCCACACTCAAGCTTTTCAGTGCATTGTTATATGATTTCAGGATCTTAGCCATTTCTAGAGACACCTTTGAGTTATCAGTGTTCCAGAGCATACCAGCTTCACTGTGCCCAGATTCCCGGAGATGTACTTCTTTTGGAATACATTTATGATGTTATCATTGCTAAATTTTATCTCAAGCCCTAAATACATATTGCACATACTATTGCATAATATCAGGACAAGTGAATTTTCCTTTTTTTTTTTTTTGAGATAGGAGATAGGGTCTTACTCTGTCACCCAGGCTGGAGTGCAATGGTGTGACCTTGGCTTGCTGCATCCTTCACCTCCCGGGCTCAAGTGATCCTCCCACCTCAGTCTCCTGAATAGCTGGGACTACTGGTACACCACTACGCCCGGCTAACTTTTTGTTTGTTTGTTTGTTTGTTTGTTTGAGATGGCGTCTCGCTCTGTCAGCCAGACTGGAATGCAGTGGCACGATCTTGGCTCACTGCAACCTCCGCGTCCCAGGTTCAAGCGATTCTACTCCCTCAGCCTCCCGAGTAGCAGGGACTACAGGCACATGCCAGCACACCCAGCTAATTTTTGTATATTTAGTAGAAACAGGGTTTTGCCATGTTGGCCAAGCTGGTCTCAAACTCCTGACCTCAGGTGATCCACCTGCCTTGGCCTCCCAAAGTGCTGGGATTACAGGTGTGAGCCACCCCACCCAGCCTCTCACTTAGCTAATTTAAAAAAATTATTTTGTAGAGATGGGGTCTCACTATACTGCCCAGATTAGACTTGGACTCCTGGGCTCAAGCAGTCCTTCTGCCTTGGCCTCCAAAAGTGCTGGGATTACAAGCGTGAGCCACTGTGCCCAGCAATTTTTCATTTCTTTTGTAGCAGTATAATCAAGAGCTTTAAAACATAACCACTTACTCTATATTGCTTTTAAAATTACCTCTAAAGTACATGATTGAAATGACATTCAGCCCTTGGAATATGTAGCCATTATTTCTACAATGACGAGTAAATCTCTGTTAAATTTATTTGCTCTTTGACTGATTCCATGAGGAAACATCTGTAAGTACATGATTGAAATGACATTCAGCCCTTGGAATATGTAGCCATTATTTCTACAATGATGAGTAAATCTCTGTTAAATTTCTTTATTTGCTCTTTGACTGATTCCATGAGGAAACATTTGTAAGCATCTAAAATTAGTTTATGTATTGAGGTAATTTCAATCTAATGTGTAATTTCAGTCTAAACACTATAGTGTTCAAACTGATTGAGAGTGTCCCAGGAAATTAGAGACTTTGTAAGGACTTGACTATTAGGCAGTATCCACTTTTATGAGGAAAATTTTTAGGGAAATACCTTTTCTTATATTTGGGTAAATACTTGTAATTTGGGTAAAAGCTTTTAAATAGAAGTTTGTACTTAAAAATTTCCTCAGTTAAACTTTGGGAAAAATAAGTTCTGCACGTGTAACAAAGTTTTAGTTGAAACAAGCTTCATTTCTAAGAATAACAACCTTAAATTTTCAATGGAAAGATGATGTAAAATTAGCAAGAAGCGTTTAATAGTAAAGTGAGTTTAATTTAAAATCGCTGACTTAAATTTTGATGCCTGTTTGCTTATTTTTCTATTTATTGTTCTGTAATATGACGGTAAAAGTTGTTCTATAAAATGATGTTGAGACTTTAAAAAATGAGACTAATATGATAATTAAATGCTCCATAAGGTCACCACTTCAGTGAACTTGACATTACTTTTTATCTTCCAGGTCTAAAATTTTATTATGTTAAGTATCAGCTTAGTTTAAGAAAAGAATTCTTCTCAAAGGAGTAGATTATTTAAAAAACGATATGGATATTCTCTGCCTCTGTAATTCATACAGTGAATATTTATTAGATATATGAGTAATTATTGTATGTTAGATGCTGTGGTATACACTGCTATTGTTATTAAACTGCATACATGGTTTTTTAGTGCACATTAAGAGCATTGGTCCATGGCCCTCCTTAAATTTCTAGTTTATGTTTTATTCTAAGTAAATTGTATTTTTTTTCCAGAATAATGAGAAACAAATGCGGCAGCTCTCTGTGATTCCACCTATGATGTTTGATGCAGAACAAAGACGAGTCAAGTTCATTAACATGAATGGGCTTATGGAGGACCCTATGAAAGTGTATAAAGATAGGCAGTTTATGAATGTTTGGACTGACCATGAAAAGGAGATCTTTAAGGACAAGTAATTTATATTTTAAATTATTCTCTAATAGACATCTACATAAGTTAGTAAAAAGTATTTGGCATTTACTTGTAAATTGAACTGTTTTCACAAAAACTTGGTCCCATTTTGGTGTTTGAATCAATACTGTGAAAAGTAGAGAATATTGATCTTCCTGTAAGTTTATAGGTGGGAAAAGAGGTAACAGATAAGAACTGGGGTTATGGAGTCATGTTAAGAGTGGTTCCCAAACTTGGGTGCTGGCTGAACTTTTGGGGAGCTTTTATAAAGTACAGATTTCTATGTATTACCGTAGACTAATCATTTCCTGGTGTATGGTGCCCAGAAATCTGTGCCCTTTAAAAGTCTCCAGTGATTCTACAATTGTTCCTCAGATTGGCAGTTAGAAAGCCCTATACATAGTATTTCTCTTCTGTTTTTTTTGAGACGGAGTCTCGCTCTGTCGCTTAAGCTGGAGTCCAGTGTTGTGATCTCGGCTCACTGCAACCTCTGCCTCCTGGGTTCAAGCGATTCTCCTGCCTCAGCTTCCTGAGTAGGTGGGACTGCAGGCATGTGCCACCATCCCCAGCTAATTTTTGTATTTTTAGTAGAGATGGGGTTCTGCCATATTGGTCAGGCTGGTCTTGAACTCCTGACCTCAAGTGATCCACCTTCTTCGGCCTCCCAAAGTGCTGGGATTACAGGCATGAGCCACCACGCCCAGCCTATACATAGTCTTTCTTTTCCCAAGTTTTTTTTTTTTTAGTTGTTGAAATATTTGTACGCAAGTGTGTTTTTGTTTTCGTTTTCACTCAGGTTTATCCAGCATCCAAAAAACTTTGGACTAATTGCATCATACTTGGAGAGGAAGGTAAGACATGGTTTGCATTGGGAGTGTTTGTAGGTTTGTGATGGTTGTTACTTTGAAATTCTTGTGCTCTGACACATATAAGTAGTTAACTAGAACCGATTTTAAAAAGACTGCGAAGAGTCTCATGTGATTAATGTAATGATAATTACAATTATTAGAGAAATCGTAACACAGAACACAGAACTAAATGGTTAATGAAAGATGACCTGATGTTTATTTCCCTAAAACACATAGATTACAATGCTTTTGGAGCCTCATTAAATTTCTAATTAAAATATCAGTCTCGTGCTCGCTTCAGCAGCACATAATACTAAAATTGGAACGATGCAGAGATTAGCATGGCCTCTGCGCAAGGATGACAAGCAAATTTGTGAATCATTCCATATTTAATATAAAGTTGATTTTAATGTTTTTGAACAAAATATTTAAAGACATTTTAAAAATTTGCATGTATGTAATCAGAAAGGGAATTTACTTGTTAATAAGAAAATATTTGAATGTTTCTGATAGTTCCTGGCATCTTTCACATAATTTGGATTAACAACTGTAACTGTCTATTAAAATAGTACCTATAATGTAAATAATTTTAGAGCCTAGATATGCCTTAAAATGCTAGCAATGTATGTTGTTCTTTTTCTTTAATTTTACTTTCAGAATACCAGAGATTTTCCTTGGAAGTAATATTTAATTAAAAAATTTCTTTATTTCATTGGATCCTCAAAAATAATTGTTTTATTTCTTACAGAGTGTTCCTGATTGTGTTTTGTATTACTATTTAACCAAGAAAAATGAGAATTATAAAGCCCTCGTCAGAAGGAATTATGGGAAACGCAGAGGCAGAAACCAGGTGTGTTTTCTTACTTGTATGGAAGATATTTCAGGATTGGGGGAAATAGGCAAGCAAAAAGTGTTAAAACAGAAGTCCTGCCCTTAGTGTGTAGTTTAAACATTGATGTTTCTGTTAAATTAGTGAGGATGTTATAATTATTTTGAAGTTATATTTATATATTTAATGTATTAAATCTTGTATTTCAAATATATTTTAAGTTTCTACTATGATAAAATTAATTAGAAAAGTTTTATACCATTCTGTCATCTGAGTCATGCATTTCAGTGTCAGCAATAATCATGTAATTAAATATGAAGCCATTAATACTTTTAATACACTATCTTTAGCCAGTCTGTTTATCTGAGGAGGGGTCAGGTAGAGTAAGGGAGAGAAATACAACATGGTACCTTGATTAGAGATTCTTTACAAAAACCTGGAACCTGATTTTGTTTCATATTAACTTCATTTGTGGAGTTCAGATAGTTTAATTTCTTTCTTTCTTTTTTTTTTTTTTTTTTTTTTGAAACAGAGTCTCGCTCTGTCGCCCAGGCTGGAGTGCAGTGGTGCTATCTTGGCTCACTGCAACCTCCGCCTCCTGGGTTCAATCGATTCTCCTGCCTCAGCCTCCTGAGTAGCTGGGACTACAGGCGCCTGCCACCACGCCCGGCTAAGTTTTTGTATTTTTAGTAGAGATGGGGTTTCACCATGTTGGCCAGGATGGTCTCAATCTCCTGACTTCCATGATCCACCTGCCTTGGCCTCCCAAGGTGCTGGGATTACAGGCATGAGCCACCGCGCCCAGCCTAGATAATTTAATTTCTAAAAAGCACTTTTTCTGTCTGGGTGTAGTGGCTCACACCTGTAATCCCCGTACTTTGGGAGGCTGGGGCCAGAGCATCGCCTGAGCCCAGGAGTTCAAGACCAGCCTAGGCAACATAGCGAGACCCATCCTGTCTTTACAAAATAATAGAAAAAATTAGCCGGGCATGATGGTGCATGCCTGTAGTCCTAGATACATGGGAGGCTGAGGTGGGAGGATGGCTTGAGCCTGGAAAGTCGAGGCTGCAGTGAGCCATGATTGTGCCATTGCACTCCAGCCTGAGTGACAGAGCAAGACCTCTGTCTCCAAAAAATAAAAAAGGCACTTTTACTAAAGGTAGTTTTCCAGAAGTATAAAACTGAAAAAGGTTAGTTTTCACAGTTGCAATTCAGTAATTTCAAAATGATTTTCCCCAAATAACTGATCAGCAGCTGCCATAGCTCACAGGTGCTTACCAGAGAGACTGCTGCGCTACTGCCACCACCACAGTTAATATGGAGGCTTTTGCTGTCTACACCCGGATAGATATTACAATAAGGACTTGCATGCATGAGCTCCGACACTGCAACGATTCATTAGCATTATTAAATCTCTTCTGGTTTTCCCACTCAGCCACCCTTTTGTTGGGGTGGGGTCTTACTCCCTTTCTTCGTTTGATAGCCCCTGGTTACCAGATATAGGTTATTGACCCAGTTCTCTCAGTATTCACAGCTATAACCTTTTTATGTTTTCTGGGTCATTATTTCCCACAGAACACCACCACCCCACATGATGTGATTACATGCTCTTTGGAAACAGTATTTCTTGTTTAAAAAAGTATAGCGAGTGTTTCATGAGTCAACTGTGTAAAATGCTGTTAGAGGTTGAGTAAGCCAAGGTGCCTTAGACGTGGATTTTCAGTGAATTAGTGAGGGGGCAGAAACACGGTTACACAGAGTTGAAGAAGATACAGAAGGTGAGGAAGTGGCATTAGTACAAGTGCAACCTTGTTTTTAAAATTTTTTTATAAAGTGGAATAGTGAAATGGGTCGGTAGGGCTAATGAGGATCAGAGAAGGGAGGATAAAGGGCATACTTGTACACTGATGGGTGCAGTACCGTAAGACAAAGGATGGGTGCTTGCCAAGCTTCATAAAGATGTACTGACAGAAAAGGAATAAATTGAGTGTTGACAGTGAAATAGGAAGCACTATTCCACCAGAGAGAAGAATATTGCCAGGGCTTTTCTTCCTGCTTCCCCTAAAGAATGTGGAATCAAGGTCCTGTAATACCCTTTTAGCTAGAGATCATAGGGACCATCTATGTTTTAAACAAGTTTCAGCTACAGTTTTTTTTTTTTTTTTTTTTTTTTGAGATGGAGTCTCGCTCTGTCGCCCAGGCTGGAGTGCAGTGGTGCGATCTTGGCTCACTGCAAGCTCCACCTCCCGGGTTCATGCCATTCTGCTGCCCCAGCCTCCTGAGTAGCTGGGACTACCGGCACCCGCCACCACATCTGGTTCATTTTTTGTATATTTAGTAGAGACGGGGTTTCACCGTGTTAGTCAGGATGGTCTCGATCTCCTGACCTCGTGATCTGCCCGCCTCGGCCTCCCAAAGTGCTGGGATTACAGGCATGAGCCACGGCGCCCGGCCTCAGCTGCAAATTTCTAACAGTTTTGTTCCTAATTGCCAAATAGTATTTATAACTTTATCTTTAGAAATTATATATGTTACTGTTTAAAATGTTCAGTCCTACATTAACGTAAGAGATAAGGTGATACTTATACAGTGTACCTTAACCTTTGCCAGATTAGCAGCCAGTTGCCCATGATGATAGAGGAGAGAGCTCTAGCAGGAAGTTCTATGGGGCACGGATGTTTGTTATTCTGAAACAGTCGTTTCTTTCCTAAAGTTGTCTGGGACACAGTTTCACTCCTCTCTGTGGCACACCGATCCTTGTTAAGATCCAGCCATGTTGGTGTTCTCTTCTGTACATTCTTGTTGCATGTTTCAAAGTACCTGTCTCAGAATGTATTTGCAGATGTGAGAATTGCCATGTATACCCTCACCTTGACCTGAGCCTTAGGTTGCTTACCCCCAGGTAGGCTCAGTTTTGGGTTGGTCAGCACTTCTGGTAGGCTAGCTCTGCCCTCATTAGCTTTTAAGTTATTGCTTTGAAGATTTTTCCTCCAATTTTACATTT
Organism: Homo sapiens; assembly: GCF_000001405.40. Lineage (NCBI taxonomy): Eukaryota > Metazoa > Chordata > Mammalia > Primates > Hominidae > Homo > Homo sapiens. The sequence continues at coordinate 16,134,327 of NC_000017.11, read as the reverse complement.
CTCTGGTTGTTTCACGGGGAATTTGGGAGAGGTGTGAGTTAAATGAATTTAGACCATCATCTCATGCCACCAGATTTACCATTGTTTCTTAATTGTTTGTATACTTATTCCATTTATTTGTGTCAAAATAGAGGGGCAGCTTTTCAGAAATTAGGTGGTGTTAGTTTAAGGGCTCTCTGTGTAAAACTGAAGGCCTTTTGAGCTGATACCAGGTGAGAGAAGAAGCCACTGGGGTTTTGAGCAAAAGAGGGCTGCCAGATTTCAGTTGTGACATGATTACTCTGGTTGCTCTGTTGAGAATAGTTTGTAAGGAGACAAGAGAAGAAGCAGAGAAACCAGTTAGGAGGTTGTTTTAATAATCCCATTGACTTGGACTAGGCTACAGTGAGGAGGCGGGGAGAACGGATTAGTTTCTGGATGTACTTTTGAAGGTAAAACCACGAGATTTTGCTGATGGATTGATTGTGGGGATGAGGAAAGGACAATAATCAAGGAAAACAAGTTTTGACCTGTGGAGTTGCCATTTGCTGTGACAGGCATGACTGAAGGAGGAGCAGGTTTTGAGGGGAAAATCAGGACATGGCTGAATATGAAATACCTATTAGGTGTCTAAGCAGAGATCCAAATGAGGTCCAAGTAAAGTGGATAGTTAGACATATAAGTCTGGAGTGTAGGAAAAAGATCTGGGTTAAAGATATAGAATTTGCTATATAGAAAAAAGGTTAGAATACTTCTTTTTAAAAACAGAATTGAATTGCAAGGTTAAGATTTTCAAAATCTATGTATCAACTCCCTTGATTTTACCCTGGTGGATACAGAGATCCAACTAATTTGAAAATCACTTTACTTCTCTGCTATGTAACCAAGCTCTAGTCAGGAGGGTTTAGCTCAGGTGATCTCACAGCCATTATGGCATGTTTACTTAAAGATTCTTTAAAGTTCTGCTGAAGTTTATGCTTGATCCTGTCAATATGAGTTTGATTACTCTCCCTATCCTCTACTCCCAGCCTCCTTTTTGTAGGAAGTAATTTTTATTCAGCAGATAAATGTATAGTGTGTGGCTGGGTGCGATGGCTCACGCTTGTGATCTCAACACTTTGGGAGTCCAGGGCGGGTGGATCACTTGAGGTCAGGAATTCGAGACCAGCCTGGGCAACATGCTGAAACCCTGTCTCTATTGAAAATGCAAAAATTAGCCTGGAGTGGTGGTGCACACCTATAATCTCAGCTATTCTGGAGGCTGAGGTAGAAAAATCGCTTGAACCTGGGAAGCAGAGGTTGCAGCGAGCCTAGATCATGCCACTGCACTCCCACCTGGGTGACAGAGCAAGACCCCGTCTGGAAAAAAAAGAAAGAAGAGAGAAAGAGAAAAGGAAGGAAGGGAGGGAGGGAAAAAAGAAGAAGAAGAAGGAAGGGAGGGAGGGAAGGAAGGAGGGAAAGGAAGGAAGGAAAGCAAGAAAAGCCAGACTGGACGTGGTGGCTCATGCCTAGAATCCCAGAGCAAGACTCCATCTCAGGAAAAAAAAAAAAAAAAAAGTGTAGTTTGCTATTGATAGATTCTAAGTTTGCAAAGTTTGATTTTTTAAAACCTGTTGCTATAGGGAAGCTTAGTAGTGTTTACTCTGAAAATGAGTTTTAATCTTAGACTCATAGGAAAATGAGACAGATGTTTATATTTTTGTTAAAATTGTGTTCAGAGGTTATTCTTGGCAGGAATTTTAACTCTTCTCTCCAAATTCTGATAGAGACTACCCCAACCCATTTTTATAGTTCAGCTTGTTACCATTCCATGGAGAGTGAGTGTGGTTCTCTATATGTTTTTGTTGAAGTAATGAATACATATTGGAGATTGGAAGCCAAAAACCACTGTTGAATGTTATTATTTAGGATCTAGGATTATGCCCTACGTAATAGTTTGATTCTATGTACATTGTTCTTGCTAGCAGTAAGAGTTTCTTCCCCTAGTAAATGCTGCATTTTTCCAACATAAACTGCCATCTGGTAAGTCTGTCACTGTGCAGGTAGAATTACTGTGGTACTTGCTAGTTACCTGCAGTAAAGCAAGTCATGTTAGAAACCATATTCTTCATTTCCAAATGCTTGATTACTTTCCACAGGAATTCATGCCCTTCTTTTATGCTAACACCATTTTCCCCTTTATGCCAGTGTGTTTTTATTCCCTAAAGGTATTCAGAAGCATATACTTAGGTAAATATAGCAATTTTGAAATTGGAGGAATTTTCTGACTAAACTGTTAGCTAGTCACTAGATAGAAAGATTATTTTAGACAAGTTAAGAAGTTTATTATATCAGCAAGAACTCTAGCCCCAGAGTGCTCTGCCCAATTGTACCTATGTGACTCTAGGTGGGTCCTTTCACTTGGTGAGCCTTGGTTTCCACATTCATGAGAGTGGGGTCAGTGATACTTAGGTTGCATGGTTAATAAGAACTGGGTATGTGTGTAAAGTCCCTGGAGTGCAGAGTCAGGCACAGAGAGTGCCCAATAAATGGTAGCCACTGTTATCTTTATTGCCATTGCCACAGTGTGTTTTTTGGTGATTGACAGCTTTCACTCTTCAGGAAGTTAGTCTGAAATTCAGTTGGCTTAGGAGCACTAATTGTTAATAAATTTTGATAAGATAGGCTTAAGATATTGTCTGTTTATTTCCCGAAGTATATTTTTAAAGAAAATATTGTCCAGTAGTGAAACGGTATTTCATTTTCTTCCTCGTGTAAATTTTTATTTACAATTGCTGCTTGTTATTAAATTTAGTAATTTCGTTTTTTGGCAACTTATTTTCTGTTGAGTGGGAACTTGTCTGTTTCTCTTTTCTAAAAAAGGTGAACATTTAAAACAAATATAATTAGCACATATATATAGTTAGATATTCATTTATATATAGTAGTAATGAATCTTAGCATAAACTATTATTTGATCTTGCCAAAGGGGACCCATATGAAACTGAATCCTGTTCTTAAATTATGTTGAAATACACTTACCAGGTCAAGCATTGTGGCTTACACTAGTAATCCCAGCACTTTGGGAGGCTGAGGGAGGAGGATTGCTTGAGCCTGGGAGGTTTGAGACCAGCCTGGACAAAAACTTTAAAAATTTATACAAAAAGTTAAAAAACTGAAAAATTTGATTTTCTACAAAAAAATTAAAAAATTAGCCTGGCACAGTGGCGTGCACTGTAGTGTAATCCCAGCTATTCAGGAGGCTGAGGTGGGAGCATCGCTTGAGCCTGGGAGTTGAGGCTGTAGTGATCCGTGATCACGCCACTGCACTCCAGCCTGGGCGACAGAAGGAGATCCAGTCTTAAAAAAAAAAAAAAAAAATTCCAGGTGCGGTGGCTTATGCCTAAAGTCCCAGCACTTTGGGAGGCTGAGGTGGGCAAATCACTTGAGCCTAGGAATTTGAGACCAGCCTGGGCAACATGGTGAAACCTCATCTCTACAAAAAATACAAAAAAAAAATTAGCCAGGTGTGGTGATGTGTGCTGGTAGTCCAAGCTACTCAGGAGGCTGAGGTGGGAGGATCGCTTGAGCCTGGGAGGCATAGGTTGCAGTGAGCCAAGATTGCGCCGCTGTACTCCAGCCTGGGTGACATAGTAAGACCCTGTCTCACAATGAAAATAAAAATAAAAATAAAAAGAAATACACTTAACTTTTACTTTTTTCTTTGAATTTTCATTTTGTTTTATATGTGTTCTAGAATATTCATTCATAGTGAATAGCTTGTTATTTGACAGAAATGTTTCATGTTATATTAACTCCCTGACAGAATTAAACTTGTTTTATTGGCTCTCAAGTATTGAGTTTAAAGAAGGGGAGAAAAGGAAAAACCTGGACAACGAGCCATTGCGAATATTTGTGTCTGTGTAGGGAACTTTTAGAAGGGTTTCTTTTGAAGGGGTGGACCTCTTTTGCTCCAGCCACCCTGTGGAGTTGAGGGATGTAACTTGTAACCTTCATCCTAGACCATGTGGATTGACTGGCACTTCTCTTTACAGATTTGCCTGAAACAAAAGTAGTTCCAAGCATCTCTTGTTTAAATTAGAGGTAATTCCTTACTCTCTTGAATGTCAGTGGCAGTTGTTATGATAGGTCTTTATGCATATTGCACAAAGGTGAGGTCCTCCAGTTGCTGCTGACTGCACTTCCTCTCCGCTCACCACTGCCTGGTCAGTATACAGAGGGGTGAGAGGTTCTGCTGGACAGGTACCAAACACTTCTCTAGACTCTAATGCAGCAACTCTGTCCATTTCTTTGGATCATTTCCACACTATGCAGAGCCAGGAGCTGTTTCCTTCTTTACACTGATTGGTTTAAGCAGGTGCTGCAGTTGTTTCTTATTCCCTAGCACCAGGGAAAGGGGAGTGAAGTTATCTGTTGGTTGGATTTTAGACAGCAGGGAATGCGTGGGATTACTTTGAAGCTCTGATTGGCATTAGAAGCAGAAAAGTATTGGGGAAATAAGATTAGCATGTGTTACCCAACTCTAAGGGGATACTGAATTTCTTTCCTTACGTTCTGCTGAGTTGACATGTCCCCGTCGTATCTTTAGGCCATAAACCGTTTTCTGGGTTACACAGCTCACTTGCTAGGCAAAGGGCATGATTTGTCCTTACTATGCCATCTTACTGGTTCAGAGTGACACATGGATGCTACATTGGTTACAGGGTTAGGTTATTAGCATTTAAACAGGTCTTGTGACCACTGTAGTGTCCCAGGGAGTCAGAGCTGAGTAAAACTTGCCCAATTATAAAGCAGACCTACTCATGGTTTGAAAGTTTAAATTTTAAAATCTCCCTAGTTTATCAGTTTTCTCTAGCAATAAATATCCAGAAGAAAGAGGAACTGGCAGTTAGCCAGGGTGAGAAGTTAGGAAGGTCAGATAAAGCAAGTGAAGGAATCATGGTATTGAAATGCTTTAGCAAGTAGAATAGTAGGTACAGTTCTCACTGGACTGTGAAAATTTGATAGAATAAGGGTTCAAAGGTCACAATGAGGACAAAGCAGGATCAGACACAATGAAGGTGTGCGATGGGTGGTTGTAGTTGGAGAGAAGACTTTCTGATTTTAGGATCTAGGAGGCAAAGCAGTGCCCACTGCTAATGAGGAGGCAATTGTGATTTTGCATGTGGGGAGTTTAATGGCCATGACCTAAAAGTATTTTAACTGTGAGATGTTATGTTGATTGAGTGGCGAGTGTTAGAAAAGCCATTGACATGCATTTTGAAATCTGAAAAATAATGTCAAGGCATAATGAGCCATGTGATGCAATCACTTATATGTTCTAGGGAATATTTAAGAAGTCATTCCATAACACCAAAAGAGAATGTTGATCTAGGGAGATTTTATGAAACGTGAAAAAGGAATTATTTTTAAAATATCACAGTTCAGCAATGTTCTGGAAGTGGACCAAGAAGGATTCATTTTCTTCTTTCCTTGCCCCTTGGATTAGAAGGAGGCATAATGTGGATGGGACTTCTTTTGGGGAGGTGAATAAGGCCTTCATTATCTTAAGGAAAAAGCTAAGTGTTGGTTTTGATGAATAGGTAAAAGACTTTGGAGCGCTATTAAGAAGGGAAATTTTTCTTAAAATTAATTAGTTACTTCCATATTGTCTGGTAAAAACAAGTAAGAGGACAGGTAGAGTTGCTATGAGGCAAGATTGACATTAGCCTGGATCAGAATGAACAGTCGAGATTGGAGGGTAAAAACTTTTCAGATAACTGGAATAAAGGAATTTGATTTTTGTTTTATCCAACATATGCATACACCTATCATCATGGTCCAGACACTCTCCTGGGAGCTGGGGATGCTTAGAGAAGTAAGATTGGATTCTTGTTCTTGATGAGATGATAACACAGAGAGCCAGATGGATGCTGATAAGCAGGCACTAAGCCACCTAGTGACAGTGCTACAAGCAGGTGTGGTCTGTGGTGGAGAGGGAAGGACATGGCCCCAGAGTTCCTCTGTGGAAATCAAGAGAGGCTTCACAGGAGATGTAGCATTTTGACCTGAATTGTAGAGACTATGTGGGACTTTATCAGGAAAGGGAAGGGTAGAAAGCTATGCAAGTGCTGGGCATGTTTAGGTGAGTCCAGAACAGCGAAGATGATGTGGCAGGATGGTGATTGGAGGGAGGTGTGCAAGGGCCAGCCTGCTGTGCTGGAAAGATGTGTTGGAGTTCTGTTTTAATTTGGTTATACAGTTTTGATTTCTGAATTAAATAAAAATGCAGGCCAGTCACAATGGCTCGTGCATGTAATCCCAGCATTCGGGAGACTGAGGTGGGAGAATCACTTGAGGTCAGGAGTTTGAGACCTGTAGCCCCAGCTACCTGAGAGACTGAGGTGGGAGGATTGCATGAGCCTGGGAGTTTGAGGCTGCAGTAAGCTATGATCATGCCACTGTACTGTAGCCTGGGTGACAGAGTGAGATGTTGTCTCTTAAAAGCAAAATAAAGCAGTTCCCCCTTATTCACAGGGGATATGTTCCAACACTCCCAGTGGATGCTTGAAACCACAGATAGTACCGAACCCTAATATACTATGAGAGATATATATATATATCTCCACACATATATACACATATATGTATATATACACACACATATATACATATATGTATATATACACATACACATATATACATATATGTATATATACACATACACATATATACATATATGTATATATACACATACACATATGTATGTATACATACATATATACACATATGTATATATACATACATATATACACATGTGTATATATACATGCAGATATATACACGTGTGTATATACACATATGTATATACATGCACATATACACACGTGTATATATACACATACACGTATATATACATATACACATATATACATACACATATACACATGTATATATACATACACATATACACATGTATATATACATACATATATACATACATGTATATATACATACATATATACATACATGTATATATACATACATATATACATACATGTATATATACATACATACATATATACACGTATATATACATACATATATACACACACATATATACATACATATATGCATACATGTATATATACATACAGATATATACATACATGTATATATACATACAGATATATACATACATGTATATATACATACAGATATATACATACATGTATATATACATACAGATATATACATATACACACACACACCTATGATAAACTTTGATTTGTATATTAGGCACAGTAAGGAATTAACAGTAACAAATAATAAAATAGAGTTATAGCAATATACTGTAATAGAAGTTACATGAGTGTGGTCTTTTTTCAAATATCATACTGTACGCTACTACACTTACCCATTTTCATACTGCAGTTGACTCCAGGTAACTGAAACCACAGAAAGAGAAACTCCTGATATGGTGGGGGCTACTGTAGTAGCATTCATTGCACACTTAGTTTCACTTTTTTCTTTTAGAGTCACAGGTTTTGCAAATGAGACATCAGAGATAAAAGGATTCCTAGTGTGACTGCTTAGCTTAGAAATATTTAAGCATTTTACTTCTTTTCACCTTATTATAGCTTTAGTATTTTTCCAAATTACTTCAGTCTTAGTAACGACCATAGCTGTTTACATATTCCATTAAGTAGACTTTCGCTCAAAAGTATAAATGCATGAAGATGTTTCTTATAGCATTATAGATAGTGATGAAAAAATTGGAAACATATTAAGTATCTAAAACATGATAAATTATGTATGGGTTATCAAATTTTAAGGTAGAATTGGAATGCTTGAGTGACAGATTAAATGTGGAGGTTGCCAAAAAAGGGAACCAACCCCAGATTTCCGAGTAGAATCTTAACATTTTCACTTTCTCGTGGGTCCAAATGCTATGAGCATTTGTGTCTGCGTGTAGGACCCTTCAAGCAGTACATATAGAATACATTAAAAACCTCTAGACTGGTTTTTAACACACGATCACCAGTTACATTGTAAATGACTAACAATCATTTAAAATTTTTTTAGATAGACATAATTTATCACACTATAAGGAGCTATTTCTGTTTGCCTTTGAATTTTACAAATGATGGTTCATTCTAGCAGCAAATTGCTCGACCCTCGCAAGAAGAAAAAGTAGAAGAAAAAGAAGAGGATAAAGCAGAAAAAACAGAAAAAAAAGAAGAAGAAAAGAAAGATGAAGAGGAAAAAGATGAAAAAGAAGACTCCAAGTGAGTTAAATAATTAGTTATATAATAAGTTAAATGTTTATTTTTATTTTATTTTTATTTTTGTAGATATAGGGAGTACAGTTGTCACATGGATATATTGCATAGTAGTGAAGTCTGTGCTTTTAGTGTACCATCGCCCAAATAGTGTACATTATACCCATTATACCTCACCCACCCCCTCGCACCCTCTCACCTGTTTGAATCTCTAGTGTCTCTTATTCCACTCTCTATATCCATGTGTCCACATTATTTAGCTCCCACTTATAAGTGAGAACATGTGATAGTTGACCTTCTGTTTCTGAGTTATTTCACTTAAGATGATAGCCGTTAGTTTGATCCATGTTGCTGCAAAAGTATAGTTTTTTTTTTTTTTTTTTTTTGTGATGGCGTCTCGCTCTGTTGCCCAGGCTGGAGTGCAGTGGCATGATCTCGGCTCACTGCAAGCTCCACTTCCCAGGTTCACGCCATTCTCCTGCCTCAGCCTCCCGAGTAGCTGGGCCTACAGGCATCTGCCACCATGCCCAGCTAATTTTTTGTATTTTTAGTAGAGATGGGGTTTCACTGTTAGCCAGGATGGTCTCCATCTCCTGACCTCGTGATCCATCTGCCTTGGCCTCCCAAAGTGCTGGGATTATAGACGTGAGCCACTGCGCCCAGCCTAGTAATTTTTAAATAATGAAATTTAATCTGCTGAAATTTTATTTTATTTATTTATTTTCGAGACAGAGCCTCAGTCTGTTGCCCAGGCTGGAGTGCAGTGGCGCAATCTTGGCTCACTGCAACCTCTGCCTCCCAAGTTCAAGTGATTCTTGTGCCTCGGCCTCCCAAGTAGGTAGGATTACAGGCACGCGTCACCACGCCCGGCTAATTTTGTGTTTTTAGTAGAGATGGGGTTTCACCATGTTGCCCAGGCTGATCTTGAACTCCTGACCTCAGGTGGTCCAGCTGCCTCAGCCTCCCAAAGTGTTGGGATTACAGGCGTGAGCCACCACGCCTGGCCGAAATTTTAGAAACATCTAATAGTTACATGATTAAGTTGATGTGATTAAGGAATAGAATATTACAGTAAATGTAATTTTTGACTTAATGAACTTATTTGCAAGTCATGAGTTATTATTACTTTTCAGAAGGGATGGGTTATAGTAATATATACTTTCCTCCAGGATATATTGAATGTAATTTAATTTTTGATTTGGAAGATTCCTCAGGTTCTGTTTTTGAGCCTCAGGTAGTATATATTAGTATAAAAATGCTAAGACAGGAAGAGTTCATTTTTATATTTTAGATTCCAGCTTTATTGACTTCGTCATATAAAATGGAGTTTTGGGTTTGTTTGTTGTTACTGCTGTTTTCTTAGTTATAAAATTACATTATAGAAAAACAGGAAAAGAAAAATATAGTGAAAATTAACCTATGATTCTGCCACTCAGGGAGTTATTGTTGATGCTTTTGTGGACATACAGGGGTGTGGTAGGAGTGGGGGCATGACAGTTGGTTTGGTTGTTTTTTTCCCCAAGAACTAGCTTTGTAAATTACATGGAACAAAATTCACCAGTTTGAAATGTGTACATTGATGTGTTTTGACAAGCATATGCACTTGTGTAACTATTATCACAATTGTGATGTAGAATGTTTCCATCACCCCAAACGGTTCCCATATGCTCCTTTGCAGTCAGTTTCTCTTTCCTCATTTCCAGCCTCTGGCCGTCATGTATCTTTTTTGCTTTCTCTAGAATTACATAAAAATTGAAATCATACAGTATGTATGGCTTCTTTTACTTAGCATGAATGCCTTTGAGATTCACTTAGGTTGTTGAATGTATCAGTAGTTTGTTCCTTTTTAATATTTATTATGTTATATCTATAGTCCTTGTGGAACTGTTTAAGATTTACCTAGTTTTGTGGAAGCTAAAGTAGCTAGTCACTTGCCATGTTTTAAAAGAGACAGATATTCTTCTCATTGTAATTTTATACCTGAGGAAGATACCTCTAAGGGAATATATTTTTTTCTTTTAGTTTGGGTTAAACATTTTTTGGGCCATGTAGCCAGTGGTTCTTCTCACATGGAACTCTGTCATAACTTGATTTTATTTTTTTGTTAAAATTTCTAAACTATTTAACAAGCTTTTATTTATTATCTATGTGAGCTAGGTCTTAGGGAGAATGTGAAAATACGTAAGATGTATACTATTCCCAGGTAGTTCATGATTTAGTAGGGGAAAAGTAGGTAAAGTACAAGTATTACTTTAAGAAATAAAAGCCTGGCAGTAAGAAGTCAACAGACGACCAGTTAAGTGCTTTGGCAGATTAAGAAGAGGTCGAGGCTACTTCTCTGTGGATAATTTGGAGGACATTAGCAGATGCTAGTGGTTAATGTGGGTAGGGTAGAGGGAATCACATGAATAGCTAGTGGAAGATAATGATTTCATTAGACTTAACATAGTGTGCATCAAGAAGAGAAGTGGAAGGTGGATTGGAATTAAATTATGTAGAGCTTTAATGAAAGCCAAAAATGGTAGACTTCATTCAGGAGGCTGTGCTGTGTGTCTGTCTGGGAATAGTTAGAAAGGGATTAGAATGGATGGAGTGGTTTATTGCCAAAGCTATCCTGCTAGAATGTTGATTCATTGGCAAGATAAAATGAATAGACTAGAGATATGAATCAGGGAGGCCAGTATGAAAGGCCAGGATTGGGGTACTAAGGTGTTGAGTAAGTGTAGTGGTAGTAGAAATAGAGATGGTAAAATTAGTGAGAGAGGCATTTCTGAGATGAAATAACCAAAACTTGGCATTAGATCACATGTAGGAAGTATGGGAAGAGGGAGACAGCAAAGGATGATATCAAATCTGTAAACCTGAATGATGATGAACATGGTAGGAATGTTAACAACAAATGATTAGAGAGTGACGTGGAGCAAGGAGCAGAGGTGAGGATGAATATGATTTTGGATATGTTCAGTTTCTATTGATGGAAAATCCAGGTGGCCGTTCCAGCAGGTAGTTGGGAAGATAAGCCTGAGTCTTTGGAGTTGGGGTGTGAGTCCAAAGATAGAGATTGGAGTCCTCCCGGTAGAACTTATGAGAATGGGTAACCTTACATAGCTCTAAGGCTCTAGGGGAGAGCCTTGGGAAATCCCCGTATGAAAGGGATGAGAGGAACCCAGCACAGTGGCTCATTCCTGTAATCCCAGCCAAGGTGGGAGAATTGCTTTAGCACAGGAATTCATGACTACCCTGGGCAACATGGTGACACCCTGTCTCTGCAAAAAATACAAAAATTAACCAGGTATGCTGGCACGTGTCTGTAGTCCCAGCTACTCGAGAAGCTGAGGTGGGAGGCTCACTTGAGCCCAAGAGATTGAGGCTGCAGTGAGCTGTGTTCGCGCCACTGCTCTTCAGCCTGGGTGACGGAGTGAGACACTTTCTCAAAGACAAAAAACAGAAACCCAAAAGAAAGGATGAGAGGAGAAAGGTCTGTCCCTTGAAGGAAAGCCAGAGTAGCAGCAGGGATATTTCAAAAGCTGAGTTTCAAGTGATATAAAAAGAAGAATTAACTGCAGCGTCAGTTGTAACAGAAAGACTTGCGGGGAAAATTGAGAAGAGGTCATTTGATTTTGCAGTTTGCAAGTCATTGGTGACTTTTGAGAAAACATCTTTTAACAGGAGGCTTCAGAATAGAAGCCAGCTTTATAAGGGAATAAGTAAGTAAAGGGAAAGGACTATGTTGTACTTCAATTTAGGACTGAAGGGGAGAGAATTATTTTTGAAAAAAATCAGCATCTTCCATTAAGCAAGAATAATTGAGTCTTTGAGTATTGCCATCTATCCATTCATTTGCAAAAATGTACATTGAGTACGTTTCCTTAAATATAACAACCATGGGAGGTAAGTAGTACAGAAAATGGTCTTCCAGTATTACATGTAGTACTGTTGCTATTAATAGGAACCACCATGTTTCTACATGCCTGAGACGATGGTAAGCACTTTATATCCTGAGGGAGTTTTAGCTTGAATAATAGCAAACTGTTACTTGATGCTGACTGTGTTCCAGGCACTGTTCTGGGTACTTTATTTAACTCCTTCAGTCCTGGCAACAGTCCCATGAAATAAACTTTTTCTCATTGTACAGATGAGGAAACTGAGGCCCATGGGGGTGAGGCAGCTTGTCCAGGGTCATCACATGGCTAGTAAATCACAACTGTGGTACAAACCCAGGCAGCCTGGCTCCAGAGGCCGTTTCCTAAGTATTAACCATTACTGCCCAATTTGTACATAATTAGTATCAGACATGATTTAGAGTATTGAGTCTGATTTTATAAAACAATATTGTAGATTATTACTGTAAAACAATATTGTGGATTATTACTATAGAAAAGGCATCTATCATGAAGATCATCTATTTTAGCTTCTTCATTTCATACATGAGGCAACCTAGACTAAAGGCAAATAAAACCCCAGAATTCCTGCCTTTTGGTGTAGGCTGTTGTCTCTGGATTGCAGGTCTAGGGCTTTTCTGCTGTCATTTGTTACTTTCTCATGGAGTAGTTCTGGTTTCTAAATCAGTTGGTTTGAAATGTGTTTAAATTTTAAGTCCATTAGTATGTAAAATAGGTCTTATAAAATATCTTAATTTTAGCTGGTCAAAACTTTTAAAAACTATGGTATGGCAGAATTGTTGATAATTTTTTTTTTTTGAGTGAGAGATTAGGTAGTTTTATTCAATTTCTATTTAGATAATATTCAAAACTAAAACCTTCTTCGATGTATGTATACTTTGGAATCACACAAGTTTTCATTTGCTTTTGTGTCCAGAGAAAATACCAAGGAAAAGGACAAGATAGATGGTACAGCAGAAGAAACTGAGGAAAGAGAGCAAGCCACACCCCGGGGGCGAAAGACTGCCAACAGTCAGGGCCGCCGTAAGGGCCGGATCACCAGGTCCATGACAAACGAAGCTGCAGCTGCCAGTGCTGCAGCCGCAGCGGCTACTGAAGAGCCCCCACCACCTCTGCCACCGCCACCAGAACCCAGTGAGTGGAAACAATTGGCATAAACAGGCCATAATTTTGTTCGGGATTCTGTTTCACTGCTAGGATAGGGTAGAAAGGACTTTTAATATTGACAACCTAGAAATAATCCTGAAGTGTGGTCTTTAAATTTTTTAAACTTTAATGTCAAAGTTTTTTGAAAAAGAACATCACCCAGTCTTGCCACCCCAATATAGCTGTTTTTTATTTAGTTGTTATGCTAGTGTGCCATAAATATTTTCTAATTTCTAATAATTACCATTTTTATTTTTTAATGGCTGTGTAATATTGAGGCATGACTTCTTTAACCATTCTCTTATTGCTGAATGATTAGGTTGTCTGCCCTCTTCCCTGCTTTTAAACCAATGTATATAGCACTGTAATAAAAAAATCTTTATTCACATAGTATTTTATGTTAAATTATTTGTCATGGAATAAATTCTTAGGCAAGGGAATACTGGATCTAATAGTCAAAGCATCTTTCTCTCTCTCATTAAGTATTGTCTCATTAGTTTATAAAAAGGCTAGATTAATGATAGAGTACCACTGTTAATGATTCAGAGGTATCATTGTTACTGAAGTATGAAAGAAAATGCAGTTTAGGGAATGGCAAGAATGAGATAGGGGCACTAACTAGATAGGAGGAGGAAAGATAGGTTGGGGCAGGTCATGATGGGCCTTGTTTGAAATGTATTTTGCTTTGATTATGAAGTGGGGAACTTGCAGAGGTTTTTAAATAGAGGAATGCTGTGATTAGATTTGTGTCTTTGGAAGTTAACTGATAGCAATTGTGGAGGTCAGTTTAGACAGAATAAAGGCTGGAGGCAGAGGGCCCAGCATGTATGCAGTGGCCCAAGCAAGGAGGGGATGGATTCAGAGTTGATGCATGTCATTGGATGTGAGTGGTAAATGGGAGGCAAGATTCAAAAATTAGTCTATCAGTCTAAGGAGCCTATTGGTAACTTGAGTGACTGGGTGAATGCTGGTACTATAAATTGAGAAAGGGAATATGGCAGGAGCTCATATCAGGCCTGATGTTCTCAGGTTTTGTTTTGTTTTGTTTTGTTTTTTTCCTGAAGCAAAAGAGAACATATTCAGTTCATGATCCATCTTTACCCACTGGATGTCAGACACTCGGGGATGAACTAAAGGGGCTCCAGGAGTTTTAGGACAAGATGGAGGCTCAGAGGAGAGGAGAGGGAATTGTGCTTGGACAGGAAGGAGGAGGGTTGCTTCTTCCTTTGACACTGCAGGAGAGGAGAGGTGGAGATCACTAAGTGGGAAGCTACTGGGTGAGGTAGGACTTCTCCAGAAAAAAACAAAATGTTTAAAAATGTAGACATGAAGAGAACTTTTAACAACACTGAAAAAGATCATAATATTGAAGTGTTGACTTGTTTCTTCTAGTTTGGTGGAGGAGAGGTTACTATCCTATTTCTGCAGTTTCTTTCACCAAATGCTTTTACATAGTCTTTTATGTCAGATAAAGAGATATAATTATATGATTGGTTTGAATAAAGGATTTAACTTTGTTTTTCTCTGCCTGATTGGGTTCTCTCTTTATTTTAGTTTCTACAGAGCCTGTGGAGACCTCTCGATGGACAGAAGAAGAAATGGAAGTTGCTAAAAAAGGTAAATTGTAGTAGTTCTGGTTTCTCAGGTTTTTGTTTTGTTTTTTAGGGTTATTAGTAATGAGTGAGATGGAACTAATTGTTTTAATTGGAAAAAAAATTCTTTCAAAAAGGCAAAGAGGACTCAGAAGTGACTTTAAGAGTTCTTTTCTGGTAGTATGGTACCCAATAAAGTACCCCCAGTGTGCCTTGTTTAAGATGCCCAGTTTTAAGGGATTTAAGATTCTCTCTGCAGTTTTATTTTGAATGTCATTTAATTAAAGAACAAGTAGGTCGTTTTCACTTTTTTAGAATAATTATGACTCTATGCTATTGAAATTGTTCTGGAATGAATGTTGATATAAAGTCTATATTTCTATTACCTAAAAGTTGTATTTAATAGGATAGGATGGTAAATACTTTTGTCAGTTTGCATTTGGTAAGTCATGTAATTATAAACCACTAGCAGATTGCTCTGTGATTCAGAGGAAAGAGCATGAAGTTTGTAACCAGGCCAGCGAAGGTTTGAGTCCTGTCTCTGCCACTTTCATAGCTTTGTGGCCTTCCTCTTACTCTGGCACTTTATGGACTTTGTGCTTTTCTGTCGTTGCTTGTTAATGTACTATAATTTGAAATTGAACTAAAATTTCTAATAGGATAAATAATTGGTAATATTGAGAAAGATTAGCTAATTTTTGGTGGTTAAATATTTACCTTGCAGTTGTAAAGATAAATTATTGTAAATAGCTTGACATTTGAGTGACACATTTCATATTTTTTTGTATCACCCCTTATATATGTATACAAATGCATAGATACATATTCTTTGCACGTATGTGTGTGTTTATGTGTGTGCATATATATATTGATTAGAGAAGTGTTAAATTGCATAGGTTTCTGTAATGCATTGTATTACCATAGGATTTTTTTAAATTGGCTAGTATTTTTCTGATGGCATTGCTTGATTGTGAATTGACTGAGGACAAATATGGATTATAAGTGGAGTCATATATATGTCTTTAAATTGTGTTTATCATTTATATATGATTATCTTATTGGCTTGATATATTGTGTCCAGAGATCTAGATGTACCTAATCATTTAGTTTGCAAGTATTTGAGCTATTACTAATGTGTCTAATGTTGTCCTAGCCCTGTGAGAGATACATAGGAAGGACAAGGTTTAGCCCTTCTGTTAATGAGCATGTTTTAAATTTGAGGGGGAAAAATATAGAACTGTAAATGAGTTTTGTTTCAATAAGTATTTTTATAAGTATCAAAGTATATATGATAAGTAATTGAAAGCACACTTCTAGTGTCAATGGTTGTGAATACAGTGATTAAGTTAATTTATTATTTCTCTTGTTTGCTTGATCAGGTGACTGTTCAATTAACATTTGGTCTGTTTTTAAAATGCAGGTCTAGTAGAACATGGTCGTAACTGGGCAGCAATTGCTAAAATGGTGGGAACGAAAAGTGAAGCTCAATGTAAAAACTTCTATTTTAACTATAAAAGGCGACACAATCTTGACAACCTCTTACAGCAGCATAAACAGAAAGTGAGTATATTGGGGTGGTGACTCTTTACTTACTGTTTTTTACTTAGAGTGTTGTTGTTGTTGTTTGAGATGGAGTCTCACTCTATCACCCAGGCTAGAGTGCAGCAGTGCAATCTTGGCTCACTGCAAACTCTTCCTCCCGGATTCAAGCAATTTCCTGCCTCAGCCTCCCGAGTAGCTGGGACTACAGGCGCCCGCCACCATGCCTGGCTAATTTTTGTAGTTTTAGTAGAGACAGTGTTTCACCATGTTGGCCAGGCTGGTCTCGAACTCCAGACCTCAGGTGATCCACCTGTCTCAGCCTCCCAAAGTGCTGGGATTACAGGTGTGAGCCACTGCATCTAGCCTTGATGTTTTTTTTTTTTTTTTTTTTCTGAGCTCCAGAGATTGGTTTTAAGAGAAACCTTTTTGTATCTTATATTTTTATTTATTGCACTTATATGTAAAAGGTATGCTAAATTTTTAGTATAGGCTAGCTGTTTCTCTATTTATTGCTCAAGGAGTAAAGTTTCTATTTGTATTCCTAACAGTCCAAACAAGGCCCATCATGACCTGCCCCAGCTTATCTTTCCTCCTCCGAAGTTTCTATTTGTAGTAAAGGGAATTAAATACTCTTGAATTACTGTAGGCTGGATTTGAAAAATACAAACTTTTTGGAGATTGAATTGAAAACTTTAGTTGGAGGTCTGTTGATAATATCGAGTGAATTGATTTGGTATATTAGACATTTTTTCAGAGAGAAGATTCCATGGTATAAATATTAAAAACCAGAGAGTATAACATTATTGGAAATTCCTTAATAAGTAAGTTCCAGTGTAGTGGTTGTCAAAGACCATAGAGCTTTTTGATGATTCCATGAGGTCAAGACTGTTTTCATAAAAATATCAATCAAATGTTATTTACTTTTTTTCAGTATATGACATTTGCATTTATGGTGTCAAAGCTGTGGTAGATAAAATTGCTGATGCCTAAGCATAAATCTTGGCAGGGAACCAAACGGTGCTAGTACTCAATGTATTTTTCATCGCTGAGCATTTGCAGTTTTTTCTTAAAATGTCACTTAAGAATGTCCTTGATGACGCAGTAAAAGTTAATTTTATTAAATCTCACCCATTGAGTATGTCTTTTTATACTTCGTGTCATGTAATGGGAAGTAAACATAAAGTTCTGCTCTATACCAAAATATGATGGTTCTCTCAGGGAAAAGCACTTTGGCAATTGTTCGAGTTCTAAGTTGCACCAGCCTCCCCTTTTTCATGGAATGTCATTTTAGATTGAAAGAATGACAGACAAACTATGTTTTCAGACTGGGATTTTGGGAGACATTTTCTTGAAAATTAGTGAATGAGGCTGTCTTTGAAATAAAATAACTGATAGTGTTTGTTGCCACTTTAAAATTTTGAGTTTTCAAGCAAAAAATGAGAATTTTGGAAAATATGTTTCTCTAACCATGAGCTTCACACCTTCTCATTACAGATTTTCTGATGAGATCAGTGGTAATAATAGCAAATGCGATAGTTGTTACTGTGTGATGAAATGTATCCAAATTTGAAAAACTTGCTTTAACTCTACTTTCCAAATGGCCATTTCATGATGTTATAATGTGATATGGTTTGGCTTTGTTGCCACCCAAGTCTCATCTTTAATTGTAACTCCTACAATTACCATGTGTCATGGGAGGGACTCAGTGGGAGATAATTGAATCATGGGGCAGGCCTTTTTCTCATGCTATTCTCGTGATAGTGAATAAGTCTCACAAGATCTGATGGTTTTATAAAGAGGAATTTCCCCGCACAAGCTCTCTTTTTTTGCCTGCCCCATCCATGCAAGATGTTACTTGCTCCTCCTTGCTTTCTGCCATGATTGTGAGGCCTCCCCAGTCATGTGGAACTGTAAGCCCTTTAAGCCTCTTTTTCTTCCCAGTCTTGGGTATGTCTTTATAAGCAGCGTGAAAACGGACTAATACAATAAATTGGTACTGGTAGAGTAGGGTGTTGGTGAAAAGATACCTGAAAATATGGAGGCGACTTTGGAACTGGGTAACAGGCAGAGGTTGCAACAGTTTGGAGGGCTCAGAAGAAGACAGGAAAATGTGGAAATGTTTGGAGCTTCCTAGAGACTTGTTGAATGGCTTTGACAAAACTGCTGATAGTGATATGAACAATAAGGTCCAGGCTGAGGTGATCTCAGATGGAAATGAGGAACTTGTTGGGAATTGGAGCAAAGGTGAGTCTTCTTATGTTTTAGCAAAGAGACTGGCAGCATTTTGCCCCTGCCCTAGAGATTTGCAGAACTTTGAACTTGAGAGAGATAATTTAGGTTATCTGGCGGAAGACATTTCTAAGCAGCAAAGCATTCTAGAGGTGACTTGGGTGCTGTTAAAGGCATTCAGTTTTATGAGGGAAGCAGAGCATAAAAGTTTGGAAAATTTGCAGCCTAACAACGTGATAGAAAAGAAAATCCCATTTTCTGAAGAGGAATTCAAGCCTGCTGCAGGAATTTGCATAAGTAATGAGGAGCTGAATATTAAGTTCCAAGACAATGGGGAAAATTTCTTCACAGCATGTCAGAGGTCTTTATGGCAGCCCTTTCCATCATAGGCCTGGAGGCTGAGGAGGAAAAAATGATTTCATGCCCTGGACCCAGGACCCCCTTGCTGTTTGCAGCCCAGGGACTTGGTGCTCTGCACCCCAGCAGCTCTGGCCATGGCTGAAAGGGGCCAAGGTACAGCTTGGGCCGTGGCTTCAGAGGGTGCAAGCCCCAAGCCTTTGCAGCTTCCATATGGTGTTGAGCCTGTGGGTACATAGAAGTCAAGAATTGAGGTTTGGGAACCTCTGCCTAGATTTCAGAGGATGTATGGAAACGCCTGGATGTTCAAGCAGAAGTTTGCTACAGGGGTGGGGCTCTCATGGAGGACCTCTGCTAGGGCAGTGCAGAAGGGAAATGGGGGGTCAGACTCCCTACTAGTGCACTGCCTAATGGAGCTGTAAGAAGAGGGCCACCATCCTCCAGAATGGTAGATCCACCTACAGTTTGCACTGTGTGCCTGGAAAAGCCGCAGACACTCAACGCTACCCTGTGAAAACAGCCAGGAAGGAGGCTGTTCCCTGCAAAGCCACAGGATTGGAGCTGCCCAAGACCGTGGGAACCCACCTCTTGCATCAGCACGACCTGGACGTGAGACATGGAGTCAAAGGAGATCATTTTGGAGCTTTAAGGTTTGACTGCCCTGCTGGATTTTGGACTTGGATAGACCCTATAGCCCCTTTCGTTTGGCCAGTTTCTCCCACTTGGAACAGCTGTATTTACCCAATACCTGTGCCCCCATTGTATCTAGGAAGTAACTAACTTGCTTCTGCTTTCACAGGCTCATAGGGGAAGGGACTTGCCTTGTCTCAGATGAGACTTTGGGCTATGGACTTTTGGGTTAATGCTGAAATTAGTGAAGACTTTGGAGGACTGTTGGGAAGGCATGATTGGTTTTGAAATGTGAAGACATGAGATGTGGGAGGGGCCAGCGGCAGAATGATATGGTATGGCTGTGTCCCCACCCAAATCTCATCTTGAATTGTAGGTCCCACAGTTCCCATGTGTTGTGGGAGGGACCCAGTGGGAGATAATTGAATCATGGGGCAGGTCTTTCTCATGCTATTTTTGTGATAGTGAATAAGTCTTAGGAGATCTACTGGTTTTAGAAAGAGGAGTTCCCCTGCACAAGTTTTTTTTTTTTTTTTTTTTTTTTTTGCCTGCCGCCATCATGTAAGACGTTACTTGCTCCTCCTTCCCTTTTGCCATGATTGTGAAGCCTCCCCAGCCATGTGGAACTGTAAGTCCATTAAACCTCTTTTACTTCCCAGTCTCAAGTATGTCTTTATCAGCAGCGTGAAAATGAACTAATACATAATGGATCATGCATTGATAAAAGATTGATAATGTTTTTTTAATATACCAAACGTAAGATAGGTTACAGATTTTTTTCTTTTTTCTTTTTTTTTGAGATGGAGTCTCACCCTGTTGCCCAGGCTGGAGTGCAGTGGCATGATCTTGGCTTACTGCAACCTCCGCCTCCCAGGTTCAAGCAATTCTCCTGCCTCAGCCTCCTTAGCAGCTGGGATTACAGGCGCACGCCGCTATGCCCAGCTAATTTTTGTATTTTTAGTAGAGATGGGGTTTCACCATGTTGGTCAGGCTGGTCTTCAGCTCCTGGCCTCAAGTGATCTGCCTGCCTCAGCCTTCCAAAGTACTGGGATTACAGGCGTGAGCCACCGCGCCTGGCCAGATTATAGATTTTAACAGAGTATGAAGGGTTCCTTGATATGGTATAAGATTTCATATTGTAACTAACAAATAAGAAGTGACACTTGGTGAGTTTTGGTACAGTATCAAAAAATAGTATGCATAAGTATCTGAAAAATCTGTTAAAATATTCTTCCCTTTTCCAACGACATATCTGTGTGAGGCTACATTGTTTTCTTATACTTCAACCAAAACATTAGATTACTTAATGTAATCCACAGATTAGATCATATGTGGAAGCACCTTGAGAATTGTGCTGTCTCTGTTAGATCAGACATGGAAGAGATTTCCAAAAGGGGAAGGTTGTGCCACTGTTTTAGTAAGTCATTTTTTTTTTTTTGGAAAATGGTTACTTTTCATTAAAAAAATAAATTCTTGGCCAGGCGCGGTGGCTTATGCCTGTAATCCCAGCACTTTGGGAGGCTGAGGAGGGCAGAACACAAGGTCAGGAGATCGAGACCATCCTGGCTAACATGGTGAAACCCCGTCTCTACTAAAAATACAGAAAAAAATGTTAGCCGGCCATGGTGGTGGGTGCCTGTAGTCCCAGCCATTGGGGAGGCTGAGGCAGGAGAATGGTGTGAACCCAGGAGGCAGAGCTTGCAGTGAGCCGAGATCGCACCACTGCACTCCAGCCTAGGCGACAGAGCGAGATTCCATCTCAAAATAAATAAATAAATAATAATTTATGAGTTTATATTGTTTTTAATAATTTAAAATTTTGAAGTTTTCTTAGTTTTAGTTTCTGATATAGTAAGTGTCTATCTGGCTGTCTATATTTCTCCCATAAAGAAAAGCTCTTTGGCCAGGTGCAGTGGCTCACGCCTTTAATCCCAGCACGTTGGGAGGCCGAGGCGGGCAGATCACGAGTTCAAGAGATCAAGACCATCCTGGCCAACGTGGTGAAACCCTGTCTCTACTAAAAATACAAAAATTAGCTGGGTGTGATGGTGTGCACCTTTAATCCCAGCTACTCGGGAGGCCAGTAGAATCACTTGAACCTGGGAGGCGGAGGTTGCAGTGAGCTGAGATCGCGCCACTGTACTCCAGCCGGGCGACAGAGTGAGACTCCGTCTCAAAAGAAAAAAAAGAAAAGTTCTCTGCGGCCTTTAATACTTTTTAAGAGTGTTGCATCCTTAGACCAAAAAATTTGAGAATTATTAAAGTGTGATAGTAAAGCTAATAAGATTTGAATTTATTAAGAGTATACAAAGTATAACATTGACTGATTTAAAAGTGTGTATACAAAGCGGCCTTTAGGTTAATAATAAGAATGTGAGAGTTAAAAATATGCTGTAGCAACCAAAACATGAAAAAGTCTACTGACAAGATAAAGACTTGACTTCAGGAGGTAACATCCAAAATGTTTTGAGAAAAAGTGAAGTAAAAAATGAGTCAGATATGTATTTAAAATATAAATGTTGGCTGGGTGTGGGGACTCACGCCTGTAATCTCAGCACTTTGGGACGTCAAGGTGGGTGGATCATTAGGTCAGGAGATTGAGACCATCCTGGCTAACATGGTGAAACCCCTTCTCTACTAAAAGTACAAAAAATTAGCCGGGCATGGTGGCGGGCACCTGTAGTCCCAGCTACTCGGGAGGCTGAGGCAGGAGAATGGCCTGAACCCGGGAGCCGGAGCTTGCAGTGAGCCGAGATGGCGCCACTGCACTCCAGCCTGGGTGACAGTGCAAGACTCCGTCTGAAAAATAAAAATAAAAATAAATAAATAAATGTATGTTATATTAGTCATGGTCCTCCTCAGAAACACAGTTAACAGGATGTGTGTATGCATATATATAGAAAGAAAGATTGAGATTTAAGGAACTGGCTCCTGTGATTGTGGAGGGTTGGTGAGTCCAGTGTCTAATGGAGTAGGCTGGTTGATTGGAGATTCTGGGAAGAGTTGCAGTTGGACCCCAAAGGCAGTTTTCCTGGCAGAATGTCTTCTTTTTTTTTTTAATTTTAATTTTTATTTAATTTTATTTTTTGAGATGGAGTTTCGCTCTGTCACCAAGGCTGGAGTGCAGTGGCTTGATCTTGGCTCACTGCAACCTCTGCCTCCTGGGCTCAAGCGATACTCCTGCCTCAGTGTCCCAAGTAGCTGGGATTACAGGCACACACCACCATGCCTGACTAATGTTTGTATTTTTAGTAGAGACGGGGTTTCACCATGTTGGCCAGGCTGGTCTTGAACTCCTGGCCTCAAGTTATCTGCCCGCCTTGGCCTCCCAGTGTGCTGGGATTACAGGTCTGAGCCACTGGGTCTGGCCATGAGCCACTGCGCCTGGCCTGTGTTTCTATATATTTGACTTTACATTAAGAATTAGTGAATACTATCATATATTGAAGAAAATGCTTGGCAACGTAGTGAATTATTGCATGTGAACAGAGGGATGTTGTAGTAGGGTAAAAAGTTGTCTCTTCCCTAGTTACTAGTGAAAGGACCAAACAGAATGGGTTGATAGTGGTGAGAGAGGGACATACACTGGGCTCTGGAAAAATCCATATAATAATTTATCTGCTGGGCATGGTAGGTCACACCTGGATTGCTTGAGGCCAGATGTTCCAGACCAGTCTGGGCAACACAGCAACACCTCATATTCAAAAACAAACAAATAAATTAAAAGTAGTTATTATCCTTGAAAATTTACAGAATCTTCTGAAAGCTTTTTAGAAAGTGTAGCCAGTGTGTCTCTGGGATTCTCTTGCATTCCTGCTATGAACTTAGAAATATTAGCCTTGAGAATTGCAACTAATTCTGTGACTCTGATATTAGAAAATGATTGTTTCTCTTGAGTTAATTAATATTTTAGTTGGATCCTAAATATCATCCGCATGAGAATGTTGAGTAGATGTACGGGTAATTTTTAACAGGGCAGTAGTATATTTTCCTCTTCTGAGGAGTCTCACTGGGAGAGGCTGACAGCTCATATGAGGTGAAACGTAGGCTCTGTAAGGGGCACAAGACAGAGGACCATCAGGGCTGGGACTTCCAGAACCCTGGGTCTGCAAACACAGAAGATATTAAGCCTTCTATTTAGTAACATGAAGTTATAAATATAATGTAAATAGCTAACGTCTTATAGTTAAATGTGTACACATGTACTCTTACGTATATGCGACCCCAGTAGAAGAATGAGCAATTTTGCATAAACATACTTTGCAGAAGGGAGCATACAATTTTTTTTAAAAAGGAATTAAAAAAAATTTTTGTTTTTTTGTTTTTTGTTTTTTTTTTGAACGAGTCTCACTGTCACCCAGCCTGGAGTGCAGTGGCATGATCACAGCTCACTGCAGATTCAGCCTTTTGGGCTCAAGCGATCTCCCTGGCTCAGTCTACTGTGTAACTGGGACTACAGGAGAGCACCAGCACACAGAGCTAATTTTTTTATTTTTTGTAGGGACAGGTGTCCAACTTTGTTGCGCAGGCTAATCTCAAACTCCTGAGTTCAAGTGATCCTCCCACCTCAGTCTCCCAAAGTGCTGGGATTATAGACATGAGCTCCTATGCTTAGCTGAATTTGTGCTTTTTTATAGTAAAAGAAATTGAGTGGTATTGGCTGGGTGCGGTGGCTCACGCCTGTAATCCCAGCACTTTGGGAGGCCAAAGCGGGTGGATCACGAGGTCAGGAGTTCAAGACCAGCCTGGCCAAGATGGTGAAACCCCGTCTCTACTAAAAACATGAAAATTAGCTGGGCCTGGTGGCGGGTGCTTGTAATTCCAACTATTCGGGAGGCTGAGGCAGAGAATTGCTTGAACCCAGGAGGTGGAGGTTCCAGTGAGCTGAGATCCTGCCACTGCACTCCAGCCTGGGTGACAGAGCAAGATTCTGTCTCAAAAAAGAAAAATAAATTGAGTGGTAAAAAGAAATTCAGTAGTAATATCAATGATGAGTTGTTGCTTATAAAATTGCGTGATTCTTAATGCTAGTGAAGGAAGTTTCTTGCAGCATTATTTATACCAAAAATTGAAAATTACCAAAATGCCTTAAAATAGGAGAATTTTAATTATATGTCAACATAATATATGTCAGTATTATGTCAACATAATGTTTTCATGGGATCATTAATAACAATAATTAGGAAGAATTTGTAACAGTGATATGTTCTGCTCATGGCTACATTATGTTAAAAAAGTGAATATGTAATTACATAGGGCTTTCCTGGTTGTGTTTACATGTATACATAAATATTTATATTCATGTATATGCCTCTGAAAGATTGAAAGGAAATGTACCGGTATATTTAGGATCTCTTACTGTTGGAATAATGAGCAGTGATTTTTGTAGTGTTATGTCTTCCACATTTCAAGGTATATATTATCTTTAGAAAAAATATATATATATTGTTTTTATTAGATAACATTATCTGGAGTGAGTAAAAAGCATGGAGGTATGTGATTTTTGGCTTTTTATACATGTATAGTGGTGAGTAATTCCAAAAGTGGATCAGATGTAACTTTTGCTTAGTTTGATAAAGGCGAGCCATCTACACAAAATTTGGCCAGTTAGTGATTATGGAGAGGTATTTATCTGCACTTTAACCAGAACTATTGTCAAACATGTGACCTCCTTGTCTGGTGTGTGTGTGTGCTTATCAATGTTCTACATTATTTCAGAAATGAATTTTTTTTTCTTTTTAGTTATTTAAATCAAATAATACTCTTTCCTCCTTTAGACTTCACGAAAACCTCGTGAAGAGCGAGATGTGTCTCAATGTGAAAGTGTCGCTTCCACTGTTTCTGCTCAGGAGGATGAAGATATTGAAGCCTCCAATGAAGAAGAAAATCCAGAAGACAGCGAAGGTATCTCAAAATTTTAAATTTAGTTGTGACATCTGCTATCCAGAATAAATAATTTTTAGTCATTTGACTGTGTAGGAGTTGCTTCATTGAGGAAACAGTGTGCCAGTGTTTTCATGGTGTGGAGACTTCAAACTTGAACATAATGTTTTTATTCATTTAATCAACAAATATTTATGTAGCACCTAGGATGGTCCAGAAGATCTTGGAAATGGCAGTCCTGCTTCAGACATCAAGTGCCAACATCAATAAAATACCTGTGTGTCTGTGTCATTGCCACATTTATTTGTTCAGTTAGTATAGTTGGTTACATTTCTCTTTATTTTATTGGCTTAAGTTTGATTTATTTTCATATTTTTACAGAGATTTATATGTACTGTAGTAATGTTTTTACGTAAAAAGAATTAGTGACCTTAGAAGCACCGATAGAAAAAAAAAACACGAAACTTAAGGAAATTTAAGAAATAATGTATCTTTGTCATTTAAACTAATGACAAGTTCATGGAAAGGTAAATGTTTTCTTGATTTTTTTGGTAAGAAAAAAGATACCTAATTTATTTCAGTTTACACTCTGATTAAAGTTTCTGTGGATTTTTTTTTTTTTTTTTTGGAAATTGCTTCTGATGTGGGGATTTTTATAATGCTTTTAGTAGCTCTTCATATATTATAAATTAAACATGTTCATGTTTTGTATATGCAGATAATTTTTTCCATCATTTTCTTTTTGTTTTCCTTTTCAATTACTTTTGTTTAAAGTTTGTGTAATTAGAGTTGTATCTCTTTTCTGTGTAGGGTCTTTATTTTGTATAAGCTTTAAAAGTTGTACATCCTCCAGGTTTAGTAATATTAGATTCCATGTTTTTTTTTTCCTATAGATTATTCTTGTTGTCTTTTAAACTTAAACTTGTATTGAAATGGGTTTTGGCTTTGAACAACCCCTAACCTTAAACTTGTTTTTGGGAGGGTTTGTGAAAAATGAGGTCATCTTTACAAGAGTAGAGAGAGTATTAGAGAAGTCCCACCCGAGGGTAGGGTAAGAGTGCTGCAAACAGGGAAGGTAGTTTGGTGTGTTAATGGCACTTCTAGAGAGGTTGTCAGAGTCTCTTGGTTTTAATGGGTTTGTTTCTGGTGGCTAGTATTCCCTGGGGTTATAAATGTTAATGAAGGCTGGAGGTTAATAAATCTCCTTGGGCTGCCATAACAAAATACCACAGATTGGGTGGCTGCAGCAACTGAAATTAATTTTCTCACGGTTCTGGAGGCTGTACGTGCAAGGTCAAGGTGCTGGCACAGTTGCTTTCTGATGAGGGCTGTCTTTGTGGCTTGCAGATGGCTAACCGCCTTGTTACTTTGTCCTTACATGGCCTTTCCTTTGGGTGTGCGCACTCCTGGTGTCTCTTCCTCATATGAAGACAACTCCTACTGGATTAGAGCCCACTGTTATAATCTCATTTAACCTTAGTCATCTCCTTAAAGGCCTCGTCTTCAAATACAGTTACATTGGGGGGTAGGGCTCCAACAGAAGAATTTTGGTGGGGAGGGGCACAATGCAGTCCATAACAAAGCCCAAGTCTGGTATTAATATGTCTATCTGGGCCGGGCGCAGTGGCTCATGCCTGTAACCCCAACACTTGGGGAGGCCCAGGAGGGCGGAACACGATGTCAGGAGATTGAGACCATCCTGGCTAACACGGTGAAACCCCGTCTCTACTAAAAATACAAAAAAAAGTTAGCCGGGCATGGTGGCGGGCGCCTGTAGTCCCAGCTACTCGGGAGGCTGAGGCAGGAGAATGGTGTGAACCTGGGAGGCGGAGCTTGCAGTGAGCTGAGATCACGCCACTGCACTCCAGCCTGGGCGACAGAGCGAGACTGTCTCAAAAAAAAAAAAAAAAAAAAAAAAAAAAATATATATATATATATATATATATATATATGTCTGATCAAGTGTAGGGTGGCACCATCACATCTGCTCAATCATCTAGAAGAGTTTCCTATTAAGAGGAAATGATTTTCCCAGTAGAATTGTAGGCTCTCTCTTCCTGTTGACTTAGCTTCATTTGGAAAGTGTCAAGAAGAGAACATAAATGCAGCTCATGTGACCTGTGATCTCATACTTATTCCTAATCTCAATGAGACAGCACAGATGCACTGTTTATTGTGTGGCAAGTCTCTTGCCAATTGAAGAACGAAGGCAGCTGCTGAAGGGAGGGTTCCTCTATCTGTTTTCCTAAAACACATCTGAGTGTTTGAGTATCTTTCATGATTAGAAGAATTAAATCAGACCAAACTTCACCAAAATTTGGATTTGCTCTTGTTCTCTTTTTCTACATCATTCTTTAAGGTTTTTTTTTGTATTTTTAGGAAAAAAAAAGATACTCATGTTTGGCTACTGCTTGGTGAAACATTATGCCTTGGAAACCTTCCTACTCTTTTGTGGCTTGGAAGAAGAAAATTGGAAAAGTGCTTATGTCAAATGATATCATCTGCTGTATAACCACTAACATGTCTTCTAATATTTTGAAGATAAATGCCTTGTTAGTTTGCCCTTGGATTTGGGGCTTTCTACCACTATATAAACAGAAATGAAGGTTAAGTTGGGCTTTTTGTTAGCTTTTCAATGCTTTGGTAGGATCTTTCAGTAATGATAATGGCTGCCGTTTTTGTTTGTTGGTTTGTTTGTTTGTTTTAGAGATGGAGTCTCGCGCTTGTTGCCCAGGCTGGAGTGCAGTGTTGCAATCTCAGCTCACTGTAACCTCTGCTTCCCGGGTTCAAGCAATTCCCCTGCCTCAGCCTCCCGAGTAGCTGGGATTATAGGCACTTGCCACCACGCCCAGCTAATTTTTGTACTTTTAGTAGAGATGGGGTTTCGCTACGTTGGTCAGGCTTGTCTCGAACTCCTGACCTCAGGTGTTCCGCCTGCCTTGGCCTTCCAAAGTGCTGGGATTACAGGCATGAGCCACCGCGCCTGGCCATGGCTGCCATATATTAAAACCTTACTACATGTGAGGTACTCTTCTGAATTATTTGCTTGTCTGTCTTTGTTTGTTTGTTTGTTTGTTTGTTTGTTTTTTGGAGACTTGAACTCTCATGTGAACTCCAGGCTCATATATTTGATCACCTACAGTATTTCCATTTGGATGCCTAAGAGCCATCTTGTTGTTAACAGCCAAAGCAAACTCATGTGTCTCTACCACCACAAGCTGCTTTTCCCTCTGGTCTTTCACTATATCAATAAATTAGGTTTTCTTTAGTCTCTTTAGAATTGGATCCTTGTCTCCATTGCTCCTACCCTGCTTCTGAGGAGCCCTCATTGCAGTAGTTTTTTGATTAGTCTCTTGCTTCTTTTTGTTCCATTCTTTTTATTTATTTTTAGAGATGAGGTCTCGCTGTGTCACCTAGGCTGGAGTGCAGTGGCTCGATCGTGGCTCACTGCAGCCTCAAACTCCCAGGCTCAAGCGATTTTCCCACCTCATCCCCCCAAGTATCTGGGACCATAGGCGTGTACCACCACACCTGACTAATGTACTTTTTTATTTTGTGTAGAGACAAGGTCCATTCTGTTTTTTCTTCCACAGCAGCCCAAGTAATTCTTCCAAAATGTGAATCAAATCATGTTTCTTCTCTAGTCCAAATTCTGTAATACTTTCCCATCTCAGTAAAAATAAAGACCCAAGGCCTTACTGCAATTTATGAGGCTCTGCATGAACTGACCTTTGTACCTCTGTGAACTTTCTGCCAGCTGCTTTTTTGTTGGCCCCCTCTGCTCCAACCACACTGTCCTCTTTGCTGTTCCTGGGCAAACCAACCCCGACTTCAGGAGCCTTTGTGCTTTCTAATCCCTCTACCTGGGATGCTCTTCCCCACCATGTGCCTAGGGCTCATTCTCTCATTTCCTTGAGTCCTCTGTTCAGATATCACTTTTTTCTATAATACCTCCTCACCCACTTCTTTCTCAGTTTTGTCGTTTAGTCACTGCACTGATCACCACCTGATATATCACTTCTTTTGTTTTTTTGAGACAGGGTCTCACTCTGTTAACCCAGCGCTGAAGTGTACCAGCGTGAACACAGCTCACTGCAAGCCTTGACCTCTTGGGCTCAAGTGATTCTCTTGCCTCAGCCTCCCAATAGCTGGGATTACTGGTGTACGCCACCATGACTAGCTAATTTTTTAATTTTTTTGTAGAGATGAGGTCTTACTATGTGGCCCAAGCTGGTCTTGAACTCCTGGCCTCAGGCATTCTTCCTGCCTTAACTTCCCAAAGTGCTGGGATTATAGGCGTGAGCCACCACTCTCAGCCTATATCACATATTTACTGTTGTCTATTTCACGCTAGAATATGGGCTCCATGAGAGCATCTGCTTAGGTTTTCTTAAATTGCTGTGTCCGTGGTACCTCAGACAGCTCCCTGCACATACATAGTTGACACTTCATCATATTTGAAAGGATGAATTTGTAGAAGTTTTTTTTATATTGCTGTCTATTATATACAATTAAAAAATATTTTTTTTTCCCAGACGGTTACTTAGGTTTTCACAACCATTCATGTACTTTATAATCCAGCCAGTATTTGAGTCTACTGTGTACCAGGCTAGTACTTAAGTGATAATCAAAATAAATGATCTCTGTCTTCATGGAGTTTATAGCCTAGTGGAAGAAATAGCCAGAAATCATTCTAGTAAATAAATGTAAGATTGTAACTGTAACTAGTACATGTGGTATCAGAACTATATTAGCAAAATATAACTTTGTTAAGGAAACCATGGAAGGCTTTTTTGGGGGGGTGGGGGTACAGAGTTTCACTCTTGTTGCCCAGGCTGGCATGATCTCGGCTCACCACAACCTCCACTTCCCGGATTCAAGCGATTCTCCTACTTCAGCCTCCCAAGTAGCTGGGAGCACAGGCATGCCACATGTGGCTAATTTTGTATTTTTAGTAGAGACGGGGTTTCACTATGTCGGTCAGGATGGTCTCAAACTCCTCACCTCAGGTGATCCATCCACCTCGGCCTCCCAAAGTGCTGGGATTACAGGCGTGAGCCAGTGCGCCCAGCCCATAGAAGGCTTTTTAAGCATGTGATGTTTGAGTTGATCACCAAAGGAAAAGTAGGTGAAAGAGCCTTTCAGTAAAGGTGAATGGCATGTACAAAGTCTCTGTGGTAGAAGATGCATGAGGCATTGAACAAACTAAATAAAGGCCAGTGTGACTTGAATTCAGAGAGCTGTGTGCAAGCTGGAGAGGCTGGAGGGGGCCCACTGGGCAAGGCCTTGCAGATCATACCAGCAATTTTGGGACTTTATCCTAATAGTAATGGGGGTCCACTGAAAAGTTATGAGAGTGAGAGAGTGAGTTATTGTGGTAAAATCTGGCTTTTAAAAAGACAACTCTATCTTTGTTGTAAAGAATGGTCTGAAGTGGAGTGAAGAGAGTTGGTTTTGGACTAGAGTGCTAGCTGTGAAGTTGAACAGGATTGGATAGATTCAAGAGAAATTTTTAGAGAGAAAATCAGTGAGCCTTGTCAAGGCTGGATATGGGGTAAATGAGAAGAGGGTTTAAAAGATGACTTCTTGGTCTCTGTTTTGTTTAATTGGATAGTAAACCCTAGAAAAGAATCTGATTTGCGAGTGGTTATTACAACTCTAGTACAGGACATACTGAATTTGTGCTGCCTTTGATATATCTAGGTAAAGATGTCAAAAAGCACTGAAAGTCTATTTATAGAACAATATAAACGATTATAGAACAATATAAACGATATGGGGAAAGATCTGTTACAACATTAAATTAAAAATCTGTGAAATAGTATTCTACAGCCTTCTGTCCAGTGTGGTAGCCGCTAGACACTTGTGGCTATTGAGCACTTGAAATTTGGCTAGTTTAAATTTAGATATGCAGGCTGGGTGCGGTGGCCTATGTCTGTAATCCCAGCACTTTGGGAGGCCAAGGCAGGCGGATCACCTGACGTCAGGAGTTCAAGACCAGCCTGGGCAACATGGTGAAACCCCATCTCTACTAAAAATACAAAAATTAGCCGGGCATGGTGCCAGGCACCTATAATCCCAGCTACTCAGGAGGCTGAGGCACAAGAATCGCTGGAACCTGGGAGGCGGAGGCTGCAGTGAGCCAAGAAAGCACCACTGCAGTCCAGCCTGGGTGACAGAGCGAGACTCTGCCTCCAAAAAAAAAAAATTAGATATGCAGAAAATGTAAAATGCACACCAGATTTTGAAGATTTAGTACCCAAAAAAAGGAAAAATAATCTTATGATTTTTTGCTATTGATCACATGTTAAAATGATATTTCACATATACTGGGTTAATTAAATAAATTCTACAAAATTAGCTAGGCATGGTGGCACACACCTGTAAATCCAGCTACTTGGGAGGCTGAGGCAGGAGAATCGCTTGAACCCAGGAGGCGGAGGTTGCAGTGAGCCGAGATCGCACCATTGCACTCCAGCCTGGGTAACAAGAGCAAAACCCCATCTCCAAAAAATTAAAAATTAAAAAAAAAGTTTAAATTATTTGACCAATTTCTTCTTACTTTTTTAATGTGACCATCAGAAAAATTAAAATTACAGATGTGATTACATTATATGTCTATTGGATGGAGCCGTTCTAGAGTGTCAGTTCAGCTGGGTAAAAGGAAATTCACAGGAAGAGGCTTCTAGAAATACACCAGAATGTCATCATTTATAGGAATGTTTTTTGTTTAGTTTTATTGTTCGTTCTTTTTCAATTTCATATAAATTATTTTCAGACATTAAAATCCTTTATGCTTTTAGTTTCAGAAGGTCAAGATAATTTGATCTTTCACTTTTATACTCTGTAGGAAACTTTAGCCTTCTCAATGGCTGTAAATACTTCAATGAGGTCATCAAAGGAGTAGAATTCATCCTAAACAACTACTTTCAAACATGGTTTCTATCACCACCTGAAACATGTTCATTATCAGATTTTTATGCTGTATCATTATCTTTAAGGTGCAGAAAATAGTTCTGATACAGAAAGTGCTCCTTCTCCTTCACCAGTTGAAGCTGTCAAGCCCAGCGAGGACAGTCCTGAAAATGCTACTTCTCGAGGAAACACAGAACCTGCGGTTGAGCTTGAGCCCACCACGGAAACTGCACCCAGTACATCTCCCTCCTTAGCAGTTCCAAGTACAAAACCAGCTGAAGATGAAAGTGTGGAGACCCAGGTGAATGACAGCATCAGTGCTGAGACAGCAGAGCAGATGGATGTAGATCAGCAGGAGCACAGTGCTGAAGAGGGTTCTGTTTGTGATCCCCCACCCGCTACCAAAGCTGACTCTGTGGACGTTGAAGTGAGGGTGCCAGAAAACCATGCATCTAAAGTTGAAGGTGATAATACCAAAGAAAGAGACTTGGATAGAGCCAGTGAGAAGGTGGAACCTAGAGATGAAGATTTGGTGGTAGCTCAGCAAATAAATGCCCAAAGGCCCGAGCCCCAGTCAGACAATGATTCCAGTGCCACGTGCAGCGCTGATGAGGATGTGGATGGAGAGCCAGAGAGGCAGAGGTGAGGCTCGTTCCATAAGTCCTCCCCGTGCTTACTCTGCTGGTTGGTGACTGAATCACAGGGTGGTGCTGGCTGCAGACATGTCTCCTATGTAAATATTGGCACGTTATAGGTAGTCTGTACAATTTTAATATTGGGCTGATACTGTTCTGTTTAAATAACCACAAACTATTGTATGATCATTTTAATGAAACAGATTATACATTTCTCCTATATCTGTCTTGTTACGTGTATTCTGTATGATAGCATAACAGGGAATTTCAACTAATAAAGTTGTGAATAAACCACAGATAACTGTTGTGCCTGAGGAGGGCAGCAGTGGGATGTGGTAGAAGAAGGTGGAGGCTAGAGGCATTGAGGCACTCCCGCTTCTCTAAGGCAGTGCAACCTCAAAACAAGGCCTACCAGCCCCTACTTATTAGGTAGAAGAAAATGCTGAAAAGAGAGACATGTTCAGTGTTCTGAAAATTTTTAGAAAGCATAATTTAAATGCAAAGTAATGATAATTATGACCACTTTTTTGTATCAGTTAACATTTTAGATTGTTCATATTTGTAATTTAAAATATCAGGTATAATGCAGATTAATTTACAAGTTTTTTTTCTTTTTTTGAGACGGAGTCTCGTTCTTCCCCAGGCTGGAGTGCAATGACACGATCTCGGGTCACTGCATCCTCCACCTCTTGAGTTCACGTGATTCTCCTGCCTCAGCCTTCTGAGTAGCTGGGACTACAGGCACACGCCACCATGCTTGGCTAATTTTTGTATTTTTAGTAGAGATGGGGTTTTGCCGTGTTGGCCAGGCTGGTCTCAAACTCCTGACCTCAGGTGATCCACCCATCTCAGCCTCCCAAAGTGCTGGAATTACAGGCATGAGCCACCGCTCCCTGCAGTTTACAGGTAGCTTTAGTCATTAAAGGTTAATTAATTATACAAAAAATGTATCATATCTTTATGGTTTTTGTAAAAATTACAGTAAAAGATATATATTTTACAGGTACAGTTATTACTTTATTTAATATATTTTATTTCCTGGTGTTTCCTTTTCCTTAAAAGACATTGAATCACTTATAATTTTAGTAGAATGATAAATTGGTGCAAATTCTAGAAGTGAATTAGACTGAAACATCACTTAATCCGAACCCAATTAAACCCCACTCCTTTTTTTTCTTTTTAATAAGAATAAAGAGACAAGCTACTCAACAGATAGCTAAATTCTCTTCAAAGTTTATCTTTCAGAGTGTGTCTTGGTGTCACTGTATTTTCAGTTCATATCCAATATATTTTATATCTTATGTACTCCATAATGAGATTTGATACTAGAATAATAATATGGAGCATTATAGTGCTGATTCCTCAGAGTGTTTTATATAGTAGATGCTAGAATTTTCATCAGCATGAATTGAAATAAAATAGGTGTTCTGCTTAAGTGTTGGTTTACCAGAAAATTTGACTATCACTCTTTTTCTTTCACCTCAGAGTAATCTAGATTTTATTTTAATGGTGTCAGTCTTTAACTGCAGTAAACATAAATGGATTCAAGCTGTGTAGTCCCTTTTTAAGCATTCCTTATTGAAACATCTCATCTAAATAAGGATTATCTGTGTTTTGCACTGTTGGTTTTGGTAACTATACGTGAAGGAAAAATTAGGTAGGATGGCAGTAATTTTAAATGGTAAACATCCTAAGAGATGAACATGATAGTAGTTTTGAAATTCAGAAATTCCTTGGAAAAATATGATGGTTTCTTAATGACACACTAAAGTCTACACTGCTCCCAAATGACCGAAATAACACTTTCAATTTCCTATAGCTTTAATATAATCTTTCTTTATATAGTATGTGAATTGTTTTTTTAAATACATTCTGATTTTCTTACCAATTTCTACATTTTTAAATGTTCACCTTCCCCCAGTGACCATGACAACACTGGGAAATATGACCAGGCCCATAAAGCATGACACTAGTACAAAATTTCCTCAAGTTTATATATTGGGCATCCTAAACTTGAGTGTAGGTATGGGCAACATCAGCCGGTGGAGTGTGAGATGGCAGGGACTATGGTGAGCAGAGGAGTGTGTGCTCATGTGAGCGGGGTGGCGGCTGCTGGATGCATGGCAGGTCGCTGCTGTTGGGGAGTGCTGATTTCATGTTGTTGGTTCTTTCCATTTTTCATGAGAAGCCAGAGGTCTGGAATTTTGGATGAAATTTTCAGTTTAAAAATCACAGCAGCTTATTCAAATATTTAAAAAAATACTCTGTGATCCCAATAAAACATCCTCTAACAGGTAACTAGTTTTTAACCCATGTTAGGATATTTGTGGTAAATTAGGACTGAACAGTTTTAAATGGACTTCGTTTAGATTGTTTTGTTGGTTAGATATAGACAATACAGATAAATTTCAACCTGTAAGTCAGTATTAGGTTTCTTTTTTCTTTTCTTTCTAATATAAAATGCTTTGCAAATTTGCATGTTTTTCTTGCACAGGGGCCATGGTAATCTTTGTATCATTTCAATTTTAGTATGTGCGCTGCTGAAGTGAGTACGATATTCAGTTTCTTTATCTGGAAAATCAGCTTTGTAGGTTCCTTTTTCCTTAACTGTCCAAATATTTTATATGGGTTAATATATGTGTGTCCATGTGTCCATGTGTGCATGTGTATGTACATACTAACTTAGAAGAACTTATAGTGATTATATGTTTGAGTCTTAAAAATGTATTCATTTATCTTTTTTTTAAATTGCAATTGCAGAATGTTTCCTATGGACTCAAAGCCTTCACTGTTAAACCCCACTGGATCTATACTCGTCTCATCTCCGTTAAAACCAAATCCACTGGATCTGCCACAGCTTCAGCATCGAGCTGCTGTTATCCCACCAATGGTAAGTTTTTATTGTGAGGAAGAAAACTAAATATGAAAAACTGAGACCTTTATAGACATATTTCTTCTGTTCTTTAATTGGTTCTTGATTAAAAAAATAGTGGTACAAAACATAACATGAAATTAATAATCGTAACCAATTCTAAGTATACAGTTCACTCGTGTTAAGTGTGTTAAGTATATTGACATTGTTTAGAAAATGATCCCCAGGACCTTTTCATCTTTCGAATGCGAAATTAATTAAACAACTCCTCTCTTCCTCCTGCCGCTTGCCACTGGTAACCACTGTTCTGCTTTCTGGTTCTATGAATTTAACACACAGTTTAGATACCAATGAACTGTTCTTTCCCACAATACTTACTATACCAAATGTATGGGCTTTTTCCTCACACCAACGAATTCTCCACCTCTTTGGTCACCAACTAGGTTCCTACAGTTCAGTTCAATTCGGACACCAACTACCTGGCGTAATCATCTAATACCACAAGTGTAAGGGCTCAGTACCACAAGGCTACCCCCATTTCTGATGCCAGTTCTATAGGTATTGGGTCCCCAGGTTACTCACGCTTCTGACTAGGCTGCAGACTGGGGATTCCTCCGACTCTCCTCGTCAGGTTCCATAATTTGCTAAAATGCCTCAGAGAACTTAGGAAAATGCTTTACTTATAATTACTAGTTCATTATAAGGGATATAACTCAGAAACAGCCAAATGGAAGAGATGGATCGGGCAAGGTGTGCAGAAGGGGTGTGGAGCTTCTGTCTCCTATCTAGGTCTGCCTCCCTCCCAGCAACTCCACGTGTTCACCAGCCTGGAAACTCTTAAAACCCCATCATTTGGGGTTTTTATGAAGGCCTCATCACATAGGTATGAATGATTAAATCATTGGCCATTGGTGATGGGTGCATGAACCTTTAGCCCCTCTCCTCTCCCTGGAGGGTTGGGGGTGGGGTGAGCTGGATGGAGCTGAAAGTTCCAGCCCTTGCTGGGCATGGTGGTGCCCAACAGTACTCCCAGCCCTGTATTCCCAGCTATTTGGGAGGCTGAGGCAAGAGGATTGCAAGTTCAAACCCAGTCTGGGCAAAATATTAAGAGACATCCTACCCCAATCCCCAAAGAAGTTCTAGCCTCCTGCCTTGTGGTTTTTTGGGCTGTCAGCCCTTATCCTGAGGCAATCTAGAGGCCCCAGCCAGGAGTCATCTTGTTAGCATACAAAAGACACTCTTACTGCTCTGGAAATTCTAAGGATTTGGAACAAAAAAAGTCTTTGGGAGAAGGACCAAATATTTAATTTTTATTGTGCCACATTATGTCATATAAATGAAATCATACAGTATTTGTCATTTTGTGATAGGCTTATTTCACTCAGCATAATGTCCTCCAGGTATACTTAGCAGGTGCCAGAATTTCTTTATTTTTAAAGGCTGAATAATACTCCATTGTATCTGTATATCACATTTTATTCATTCATCCATTCATAGACATTTGGATTGCTTCCACCTCTGGACTATTGTGACTAGTACCTGTATGGTCAGCCCTTGATTTTAGCACCTTGGTTTTTCTTACATCCTCTTGTGCTGGGCTTGGGTTAGGGAGTGCTAAGACATATGGGAGAGAAGGGTAGGAAGATGCTGAGTCTAACTTTGAGTAAACTCTTTGAGATAACCAAAGGTTATATCCTTAGTACATTGCTTTTTCAAATGACTTGTGATGATTGATTGAAACGGTCATTTCCAGTTAAGAAAAAAAAAGAAATATAATGCTCTAGCCATAAATATTAGTAAGTCCTGTTTTTGTTTGTAACCACAGCACTAAGGAGCCATAAAACAGTAGTAGCATTAAGCATGTAATTAGGTTTTGAATAGTTAGAATAAATTGTAGAGATTATGGCTAACTCCAGTATACAATTTCAAGTCTAGTTTATTTTTATATTTTACCTTAATAATCTACAGATTTCAAGTATATTTTATTTATATTTTACCTTAATAATCTGTAAAATTTGACTCATTTTTGATACTGAATTCCAATCTTGGGTATTGTTCTTTTCTTTATTTTATTTTTTTTTTATTGATCATTCTTGGGTGTTTCTCGCAGAGGGGGATTTGGCAGGGTCATAGGACAACAGCGGAGGGAAGGTCAGCAGACAAACAAGTGAACAAAGGTCTCTGGTTTTCCTAGGCAGAGTGTTTGTGTCCCTGGTACTTGAGATTGGGGAGTGGTGATGACTCTCAACGAGTATGCTGCCTTCAAGCATCTGTTTAACAAAGCACATCTTGCACCACCCTTAATCCATTTAACCCTGAGTGGACACAGCACATGTTTCAGAGAGCACAGGGTTGGGGGTAAGGTCATAGATCAACAGGATCCCAAGGCAGAAGAATTTTTCTTAGTACAGAACAAAATGAAAAGTCTCCCATGTCTACTACTTTCTACACAGACACAGCAACCATCCGATTTCTCAATCTTTTCCCCACCTTGCCCCCTTTTCTATTCCACAAAACCGCCATCGTCATCATGGCCCGTTCTCAATGAGCTGTTGGGTACCTCCTCCCAGACGGGGTGGTGGCCGGGCAGAGGGGCTCCTCACTTCCCAGTAGGGGCAGCCGGGCAGAGGCGCCCCTCACCTCCCAGACGGGGCGGCTGGCCGGGCGGGGGGCTGACTCCCCCACCTCCCTCCCGGACGGGGCGGCTGACCCCCCCCCCCACCTCCCTCCCGGACGGGGCGGCTGGCCGGGCAGAGGGGCTCCTCACTTCCCAGTAGGGGCGGCCGGGCAGAGGCGACCCTCACCTCCTGTACGGGGCGGCTGGCCGGGCGGGGGGCTGACCCCCCAACCTCCCTCCCGGATGGGGCGGCTGGCCGGGCAGGGGGCTGACCCCCCTACCTCCCTCCCGGACGGGGCGGCTGGCCGGGCGGGGGGCTGACCCCCCACCTCCCTCCCGGATGGGGCGGCTGGCCTGGCGGGGGCTGACCCCCCACCTCCCTCCCGGGCGGGGTGGCTGCCGGGCGGAGACGCTCCTCACTTCCCAGACGGGGTGGCAGCCGGGCAGAGGGTCTCCTCACTTCTCAGACGGGGCGGCCGGGCAGAGACGCTCCTCACCTCCCAGACGGGGTCGCGGCCGGGCCGAGGTGCTCCTCACATCCCAGACGGGGCGGCGGGGTAGAGGCGCTCCCCACATCTCAGACGATGGGCGGCCGGGCAGAGACGTTCCTCACTTCCTAGATGGGATGGCGGCCGGGAAGAGGCGCTGCTCACTTCCCAGGTGGGATGGCGGCCGGGCAGAGACGCTCCTCACTTTCCAGACTGGGCAGCCAGGCAGAGGGGCTCCTCACATCCCAGACGGTGGGCGGCCAGGCAGAGACGCTCCTCACTTCCCAGACGGGGTGGCGGCCGGGCAGAGGCTGCAATCTCTGCACTTTGGGGGGCCAAGGCAGGCGGCTGGGAGGTGGAGGTTGTAGCGAGCCGAGATCACGCCACTGCACTCCAGCCTGGGCACCATTGAGCACTGAGTTAACGAGACTCCATCTGCAATCCCGGCACCTCAGAATGCCGAGGCTGGTGGATCACTCGCGGTTAGGAGCTGGAGACCAGCCCAGCCAACACAGCGAAACCCCGTCTCCACCAAAAAAATACGAAAACCAGTCAGGCGTGGCGGCGCGCGCCTGCAATCGCAGGCACTCGGCAGGCTGAGGCAGGAGAATCAGGCAGGGAGGTTGCAGTGAGCCGAGATGGCAGCGGCACAGTCCAGCTTTGGCTCGGCATGAGAGGGAGACCATGGAAAGGGGAGGAGAGAGGGGAGAGGGGAGAGGGGAGGGGAGCCGGAGTCACTCTTGTTTGAACACCTCCAACACTCTCAATTTTTCTTTAGGCACCAGAAAATGACCTTGTTCTTTTCTTTAGTTATTTTCTATTTATTCAAATATTTAAAGCTCTTGCTTTATTCAAAAATGTGTTTTCTATCTCAAATAATAAGTGGTAAAAGTTTTTAATTGTGTACTTACCACAAAAAGATCATTAAACATTTGTTCATTCACTGACTCATTCAAATGGACATTTATTGAGTGATTAGTTTAAGATAATGTTCTTAATATTGTGGAGAGTATTTATATATTATAGCCTCTGATTTCAAAAAACGTATGGACCGGTCTGCATAATAAGGCAAAGAGGCTGGGCGTGGTGGCTCACGCCTGTAATCCCAACACTTTTGGGAGGCCGAGGTGGGTGGATCACTTGACCGCAGGAGTTCCAAGACCAGCTTGGGCAACATAGCGAAACCCTGTCTCTCCAAAAAAAAACAAAAAAAAATTAGCTCCGCATGGTGCCATGCGCCTGTGGTTGGGAGGCTGAGGTGGAAGGATTCCTTGAGCTCGAGAGTTTGAGGTTGTGGTGAGGTGAGATGGCACCACTGCACTCTAGCCTGGGTGAAAAAGCGAGACACTGTCTCAAAAAAAAGGCATTAAAAAAAATTATCGTAAAGGTTAAAATGAATTAAAATGCGATGCTCTATTAGGTTAAAAAATACTATGGATGTTTTGGAGAAGAGGGAGTGTCTTCTTAATTAGACACTTACAGAAGACTGCATAAGAAATAATATTTTCATTGGATCAAAACAGCTCATTTGGCGTTATAGCAAAAGGAGGAAAAGCTATGTTTATATGGAAGACAAAGCACAAAGGCAAGAAAGTTATGGGTTTTAGGATCAGTGAATAATACTACTTACGCTAGGGGAAAAACTATGGAAGTCTTAAGTTACCAGATTCTAAAAAAAAGTCAGACCTCTAGGGCTTTCTAGGGATATTTGTTATTCATGAGGTATTTAATCCTGGACTGTGTTCTGGGCTATTTTTTTAAGTATTGGACAAAACATCTTGGGTTATTTTCTTCATAAAGTCAGAGAGACAGAAAAATAAAACAGTTTCAAACTGGCAAATACTGTGTACTGTGAAAGCAGTGAACAGGCCTCAATGAGAAGGAAAACAGGGAGGGTATCACCATGTTTTATTGGATGGTTATGGATGGCCTATCTTAAGGAACAGTCCATTTCTATCCTAAGGGAATGGCTATGTGAATGAGTTGGTTGTGGGAGAGGAGGAGATTAATTAGTCAAGGATGGCTGCCAGGTTTCTGGCTGAAGCACCTGGGGTTCCATGTCTAAAATGGAGAGCAACTGAAGAAGAATGGAGTTTCAAAAATGGGAAGTTCCCTTTAACATAAGTTCTGAGCTTCCTTGAGATATCCCAAGTGGAGTTGTTAGGTAGGCCATTTTATGTAAGTGTGGAACTTGGAGAAAGTGTCTTGAGGAAGTAGAAAATTTGTGAATCATTAACAAATGGATGACATTTAAATCAACATAAATGGATGTGATCTGCCAGGCACGGTGGCTCATACCTGTAATTCCAGCATTTCGGGAGGCTGAGGTGAGTGGATCACTTGAGGCCAGGAGTTCGAGACCAGCCTGGCCAACATGGCGAAACCCCTTCGCTACTAAAAAAAAAATAGAAAAATTAGTTGGGTGTGGTGGTGCACACCTGTAATCCCAGCTACTTGGGAGGCTGAGGCAGGATAATTGCTTGAACCCGGGAGGTGGACGTTGCAGCGAGCCAAGATTGCACCATTGCACTGCAGCCTGGGCAACAGAGTGAGACTATGTCTTAAAAAAAAAAAAAAAAAAAAATATATATATATATATATATATATATATATATATATATATATATATATAAATGGATCTGATCCCTGGTGAAAGAGAGATGAGGGATGGGACCTAGGGCCACAAGGGACTTGGCTGCCATAAATTAGAATCAGACAGATGTGTTGTAATTTCTGATTTTTGATTTCTGTTATTACAGCTTGTGTGATTTATATTGTGATCAGTTCTGAAAGAAAACTAGGTCTTGCTGTGTTGCCCAGGCTGGAGTGCAGTGGTGCAATCTCAGCCCACTGCAACCTCTGCCTCCCAGGCTCAAGTGATTCTCATGTGTCAGCCTCCCGAGTAGCTGGGACTACAGGCATGCCTCACTGCACCCAGCTAAATTTTTGTATTTTTGGTACAAAGATACAAAATACCAGCCAGGCTGGTCTTGAACTCCCGACCTCAGGTGATCTGCCTGCCTCGGCCTCCCAAAGTGATGGGATTACAGGCATGAGCCACTGCAATGCCTTAAGCATTATTCTTGAAGATAACTTTGATTAAAAAATGATAAAATCAATTCAACCAATAACATGACAGAAATAAGCATTACATTACTTGTTAAGAGATGGCAATTATTACATTGGTTGTTTGCATATTTCGATTTATTTTCTTCCTATAGGTATCCTGCACCCCATGTAACATACCAATTGGAACCCCAGTGAGCGGCTATGCTCTCTACCAGCGACACATTAAAGCAATGCATGAGTCAGCACTCCTGGAGGAGCAGCGGCAGAGACAAGAACAGATAGATTTGGAATGTAGAAGTTCTACAAGTCCATGTGGCACATCCAAGAGTCCAAACAGAGAGTGGGAAGGTAGGTAGATAGAGCTATCACCAAGAGAACTTTTATGAAGGGAAATAAAGCTAAACCCAAAAGCAGTGTCCATTGTGCTTTGTAAGTTGTCAGCCTCCCAACTGATTATTATATTTGTCCTAACAGACACAGTTCCTTAAATTGACCTTAAACTATGAAGAAATGTTAGTATTATTAACTACTAAAGGATGCCAGTAACATTTTTAATAGCATTCTAGTTAATGTGAATTTTCTGATATTCATCTTTGTGCTGGAAGACATTATAAATAAAGTTATGCTTTATGTTCCGTTCATCTGAATTTTCAGAGTGAGAATTGTTGTCCTGTCCTTGAAGCAAATCACCTTCAAGTATTACAGTGTAATATTCACATTCTCTGGTAGATGAGAGACACAACTTTGTGTAGTGGATATTTCCAATCAGACGCTGGCTAAGCCTTCACCTTGGCATTTGCCAGCTGTGTGGCCACAGGCAAGTCACTTAACCTTTCATAGCTTTAGTTTTCTCATCTGTAAAATGAAAATAATAGTACACGTCTACCTTGCTGTGGTTGTAAAGTTAAGGAAGGAGCATTCGGTATTGTTATATAACAGGTGGCTCTGCATTATTTTATGTATAATGTAGCACGTTATTACATATTAATTAGTGTATTAGTACTGTATATACACAGTAGATACTATGGAGGTACCTGTTTTCATTGTTACATCACTGTTTTTATTTCAAGTGATGGATTTGAGTTGGTCCGTTGCTGTTTTAGTTGGTGTGTGATACACTTTTACTTTCTTTAAAAAAAGAAGAAAGGGGTGGTTTTTATGTTTTAATACATTCTTCTGACATGGTTAGAAGAATTGGCACATGTTTCTGGTTAAGAATGAGTTTATAGTCTACTTATATGCTACGATATGCTTAGAATATCAGAATACTGAAATAGTCTGAATGATTCAGAAGATTCTTTACAGTACTTTATTTAGCTAAATAAGAGCTATTAGCTTTACAATGCCATGCATTCCAAGGGTTATTTAATATAAAATAGGAACTGTGGTACTTAACTGATCCTGCTGACTCTGCCCAGATCACACCAATATTGAGTTATTAGTTGCCTAATACACTGAACCTCTTATGTTAGAGTTTTAAATTTAAACTTGTTAATTTTTAAACATAAATCTTGTGCTAGGAAAAATGTGAACCAGAATGATAATATCCACCAAGGAATATAAAAGGCGCTAAATGAATATTTCCTTGAATGAAGGTAGAAATATTGATAACTTTTAGGCTTTTACTCTGTTGGGTCTAGGGAATTCTTAATCGCTAGTTCTGTAATTGACACAACATGTACTCAGTAATTACACCTTAAAGGAATGAATTATAAATGAATGACATAATGGAGATATCCTTATCGTGTTTCACTACAGGGTATTAATGGACATCGCAGGTGTTTGTCTTTTGAACATTCGAATTATGAGGAAATCCGTCAGTGGAAAATGAAACTTTAGAGAATAAAAGTCTCTGGATGTATTCCTTACATTTATTATTTAGGATAGATTTTGTGAAGAAGTAGTAAAAGTTAGAAAAATGACATTCAGATGGTATCATTTGTTGAACTTATGACAAGGCATAACATCATTGTTAGTAATATCTGGGTCATTTAAATATGGATATCATAATTTTAAAGCCTCAATATCTTTTATTGGTCTGCTTTATAAAATGAGTTGTATTTGGGAACTGAAGAAACTGAACCAGGCTGGAGCCCCAAATTCTGAGACTCCAAACTGTGAATTGTATTTCTCTGTGTTAGTCACATTACTACACGTGGTTTAGATCTCAGTGGTATCCTAATTTTT
The DNA here is from genome assembly GCF_000001405.40 of Homo sapiens. Classification (NCBI taxonomy): domain Eukaryota; kingdom Metazoa; phylum Chordata; class Mammalia; order Primates; family Hominidae; genus Homo; species Homo sapiens. The sequence continues at coordinate 16,090,023 of NC_000017.11, read as the reverse complement.
AATCATAATTCAGTCATCTTAAAATCAAATTGTAATTATACTTTTGATTAGTATGACATTAAGAATTTTACAGTTTGGTCGAAGGTGATGCTCTACAAAGTAGGGCAAGTTTATCCAAAGGTTGTTTTGTTTTAGCTAATCTCCCTAGTGTATTCATCCTGTAATTTGTTTAACAAGTACCAGAAGTTTTTCCTTGAGTCTATCCTGTAGTTCAGTGTATAGGATAACCTTTCAAATAACATTTAAATGTTTGCAGTTAAGATGCTTGTGTCTAGAATGTTTGACAAAAATGGTTTAAATTTAACCTCATAGAACAGTTTATAGAATGTGAAGAATAGTGATAGTATGGATTTATGTATAAAGTATCACCAAATATTGGTACAGTCCACCTGAATTAGGGCCATGGTTTTTACTTTTCCCTTCATGGTCTCTTTTAGCAAGTAACAGGCAGCACTTGTTGTCCAACTATTTGGTTGTATTTATTTCTCTTAATGTGAATGGTATAAATAATTACTGTAGGTATGCCTGTTTTAAGTTGCTTAAAGCTTTTCCCATCTGTAGAAAAGGTTGAAAAAAAACCTTAGAGAATTGTTTTCACTTACCAGTAACATTTATACGAGTTGACCTCTGCTTTACTGATAACTTTTAAGCCTCTTTTCTACAGTGAAGGAACTCAAACTTAAGCATATGGAGGTAGAGTTAGAATTGAACTTCTAATGCAAATTTAACAAAATTATCCAATTAAAATAAGAGTTAATGCTTCTATGTAACTGACCCTAGTTTGTTGCATGTTTATTTTGTTGCTGTTGCTGTTTTTCTTTTCCTGCTCTGGGTACATGGTGATGTAGATAGCTGTGTTTAGAACCATCCAATTTCCATCATTTAAAAAAAAAAAAAAACCACTACTATGACCAGTGGATTTTTTTTTTTAAACATAGTTATAAACTTACTGGAAATGGTAAAATAATCAGACATTGGATTTTTAATACATTATCATATTAAATTATCTAGGAAAGTGATTTTCTTTTGGAGTTGGTTATTTCATAAATCTGTTTTCTCAGTATTAGGACACTTACTCTAATTCATTATATTAATATGTCAAAGAAGGAAAAAGTACCATCGTCTTGATGGATACACCAGAGACATCTGAAATTCCACACCCAGTCCTTTAGTGAGACACTATTGCACTGTGGTTTAGAGCTAACGGTCCGGAATTATACTGCTTTTAAAAAAATCGCTGGTAGACCTTGATTGGGCAATTAGATGTGATTTTTCTGAGCCTCAGTTTCCTCATCTGTAAAATGGTATTAATAATCACATTGGTCTTGAGGGCTAAATAGATATTGTATGTAATGCACACTGCCTAGCACTTGAATATCAGTTGATATTTTTGTAATTGTTTCTGATTTTTAAAAGCACCTTACAAAAGATAGTGTAGTAAGGAAATAAGAGGTTTAGGTATTTGAAGGGAAAAGACAAATTATTTACAGGATAAGATTATTCACCTAGAAAGCCTAAAAGAATCAACTGAAAAGTTATTAGAGCTAAAAGGAAAGTTCATTAGGTTTTTCAGAAAAAATTATTACACAGAAATCCGCATCTTTCCTGTATGTCTGCAGTAATCAGGTTTATTTATATAAACTCATATATATAAAAGAGATGGTTTTCTTACCAATATGACATATCTAGGAATAATTTTTAACAAGCAAGGGATGGAACTATCTGACAAAAACAAGATTTCTCAACTAGAAAACTCATTATTATAAAATATCATCACCTGTTTATTCATAAATTTAATACAAGTCTAATGAAAATTCTATTTATTCTTTGTTTTGAGAGGAAGTACTCAATGATTTTAAATTTAGATTTACTTGGAAAGATAAATGGATACAACTAGGTAATGAAAATAATAAATAAAATGAGTGGGAATTTATTCTGACAGACATTAAAATGCTACAAATCTAAGTGGTCAGGGTTACAAATGAGTTTTACTTTGTGCTTTTTTGATTTTCAAAAATTACAGATGTTTCATTTTAAAAAGAAACTATATATTTTAAAGTCTTAAATATGACTGCATTTCTGGCGTGCCCTTTAAAATATTTAAAGTTTCTTTATGCTTTATGTGGAGATAACTTACATGAGAAGTAATTTTCATTAGTATTATTGTAGTTATATTCATGGTTTTTATAAGCTTATGTAGGATTTTTGAATTAGTTTGATCTGCATCTTTTGAAAGGCTTCTTCCATTTCTTAATTAAATATATTTCTGTGAATATTAGCAAGGAGTGAGCTTCAACAGGCTAATTATAAGACTTGTGAAATCCTCGCAAAGCTAATAACCTCCAGTCAGGCCAGATTTGAATTAACAGAATTGCTTGATAATCTGATGTTTGCCTGTTGTGATTTTATTGCATGTGAAAACACTTGATTCTCCTTAAGAGGAAAGAGAAGTTCTTTTTCCTTTAAAGGGAAAACTCGTAAATGAATTTTTGAGGATACACAGGAGATTTAGATTTACAGGATTTCTTAACTTCTCTGTGGGTGAATTTTGCCCCCAGGAGTTTTAGACTTTAATGTTATAGTCGGATCAGCCCCTGGATGGTGTGGGCTTGGTCCTTTCACACTTACTATTTTAATTTGGGGTTCTTCCCTTATTTTGATAACTTTAACTTTCATAGGAAAATCAGTCGCCTATATGCCTTATGCTGAGGTCAAACGTGCTCTAGAACAGGAAGCACAGATGCACAATACTGCAGCAAGGTCAGCCTCACCGTGTAGGCTTTCTCCAAGAGAAGTCAGTAAAGCCGCTCCACAGCCTGATATGAGTGCAGCCCGCTATAGTGTCCCGCCAGGTAAATATCACTCCTCTGTGCAGTGGCTGCTGGCCATCCACCCACAGATGTTCCACGTGGGTGGTTTAATCTCGTGAATGAACTGCTCTTCCAGGACGTGTCCTTGCTGTTTCAGAATGACTTTGTTTCTCTGCGTTCCATCATCAGTTGTATTTAGTTGAGTTCACTGGGCCACTGGGAAATTTGTGTTCACACATTTATACTGTGACATTGACTGGCTCTTCCTTTAAGAAGAGTACATGAATTTGTAAAAGTCTTGAGATCTCCCCATCCCCAAAATTCAAGTGTTCTGTGAGAGCCAGAATCAGTAAGTGTTTCTCAATATGCAAGATGCAAAAAGGATGTATAACTGGTTGTCAGTCATGTCTGCGCATTCTCTGAAGTAGTGTTATCAGCTGTTTTTAAGAAGTACCCTAAGAGTGATTGGCGAGAGAGAAAAAATTTTTGAAGACTGATGTTTGCTATGCTAAGCAGAAGTTTGAAATAAGCATCAGCTTGAAAGCTGTGGTTTGAAAGGGAGTTGAATATTTCAACCCCACAAATAGTATTTGTGACAAATATGTATACAGGCTTACGTGAATGAGAAATTTAAAATAGAAATGTTCATTGTTGGTTTCATCTTACATTTTTTAATTAGTGATTTAAAAATTCAGGAATGACTGAGAGAGGTAACATGTTGTAAACTAGGAAATGGACTAGTTTAAAATCATTTTTCTTTCCTTTTAAAAGTCCTTCAGCCTGCTCCACATCAAGTGATAACTAATCTCCCTGAAGGCGTTCGGCTTCCGACAACTCGACCAACCAGGCCACCGCCCCCTCTCATCCCGTCATCCAAAACCACAGTGGCTTCAGAAAAACCATCTTTTATAATGGGAGGCTCCATCTCACAGGTGAAACGACTTCTCTTTACAGTAGATTTCTTGTTGAATATGGCTTTGTTAAAACTTGTCCTCCCTCCTCGCACTGATTTGTCAGAGTTGTAATAAATAATAATCTGTCTGAATATGAAGTTTCAAGAGATAATGACCAGAAGATGCAGCAGTCACTGTACTCTTGCCACAAATCAGAACTTTCAGTGAGTTATGTACCCAGATTGAGTGGTCATAACATACCACCCATTTAATTACACTTGGCACTTGGCATACCACTTGGTTTAATTTACATCACTCTAAACTTACCAAGTTTTAAACTTAGTTTCAAACAGTAGAATATTTGTTCACTAACATATGGTAAAGGCTCAAAATATTAAATTGTAGGTGGTTAGTATTATAATTTATTCTGACTTTGGCCACTAAATCTTTTTTCTGGTTCATTACTTTTTAAAAAATTGAGATATGGTCTGGTCTTCACAGTTCCATCAGTTTTGACTAACTGTACATCAGTGGTCACACCCCTGTCAACTTATTGAACACTTCCATCACTTCAGAAAGTTTTCTCATGTTCCTTCCCAGGCCATCTCCCCTTCCACTGCCTGAAGCAACCACTATTTGATTTCCTGTTGTTGTAGATTAGTTTTGCCTTTTCTAGAACTTCCTGTGAATGGAATCAAACATGGTGTACTCTTTTGTGTCTGTCTTCTTTAACCCAGCATAATGGTTTTAGGGAATTCATCCAGGGTTTTATGTAATCAGTAGTTTCTTCCTTTTTATTGCTGAGTAATACCAGTTTGTTTATCCATTCTCCTGTTGATGAAAACCTGAGCTATTTCCAGTTTTTGGCAGCTATGAATAAAGCTGGTCATTCTTGTAATGGGTTCTTTGTGGACATATGTTTTTATTTTTCTTGTACAATTACCTGGGAGTGGAATTACTAGGTTTGTGTATGTTTTATACTTTTCCAGAATGGTTCTACAATTTTATGCTGCCACTAGCAATGTATGAGACGTGATTGCTCCATTTGCTGTTGTCAAGTCTTGGTCATTTTAGTCATACTTGGTGTGTAGTAATATCTTATTGTGGTTGTATTTTACATTTCCCTGAAAACAAACAATGTTGGGCACTTTTCATGTGCTTATTGGCCATTTGTACACCTATGAAGTGACTATTTAAGTCTGATTATCTGTTTCTACTGGGTCTTTTTGATACTGTGTTGTAGATCTTTATTATGGTTGAAAGTTCTCTGTTAGATATATGTATTACAAATATTTTCTCTGTTTTTTGTCTGTTTATTTTCTTACTGGTATTTTGATGAGAAGTTTCAAATTTTTATATAGTCTAAATATATATACACACTTTTTTCTCCTATGATTAGTTTTATTTTGCTAAGAAATCTTGGCCTGCTCCAAGGTTGTGAGATATTCGCCTGTGTTTTCTTCTGAAAGCTTTATAATTTTGGCTTTTATATTGAGGCATGTGACCAGTCTCAAATTAATTTTTGTGTATAGTATGAGGTCAGGATTAACATTCATCTTTATTTAAATTTCTAGTTGAAAAATAGCACCAGTTGAAACGTCTTTTACTCATTTGATCGCTTCAGTTCCTTTGTTAGAAATCATTTGACAGTATATATGGGTCTGTTTCTGCACTGTCTCCATGCTGTTCCACTGATCTACTTGTTCATCGTTTTGTCAGTACCACAGTCTTGATTACTGTAGCTTTATTGTAAGTCCTGAAATCATGTAGTATAAGTCTTCAGTGTTTTTGTTTTTCAAGATTGTTTTGACTATTTGATGTCTTTTGCATTTTCATATAAATTATATAATCAGCTTATCAATGTCTGTCTCCCCCCTTTTTTTGGTTCCCAAGTTTTATTCAAGAACTCATACAAAACATTCCAGGTAAATGAGTTATAATCCTCATCTTCCTTCTCTTTGTCCTGGTTAATTTGGAAGTAACACAATCCGAAATTCTCTTTGCTATTAGCAGCTACGCACGACCAATCACATAGCTTATTCTTCAGATATTTTTTGATGAGCTATTTCAAATACCCTTTGGAAAAAGGCACCTCAGAAGTTACGGTGCTTGTGTTCTTGCTCCTTTCAATAGTTACTACCCCTCCACCAAGATTCCCAGCTTTTCCATTCACTTTAATTCTGTCTTGGAGAAACTGCTCACAATTGGCAGCATCATCTGCGGGGTAGATCCAGTCAAGGGTATACTTCAGAACCTGCTTTTTTTCTTTTTTTGCCCCCACTTTTTCATGGGCACCTGGCAGCAGCAGAGGCAGAAACAATCTGTTTGTCAGTCTACTTAAAGAAAAAAAATTCTGCTGGGATCTCTTCTCTTCTCTTTTTTTTTCTTTTCTTTCGCCACTTCATTTATTTTATTTGCAGGAGTTGAAACATGTTTTAAGGGTGATGTTTATTTCCCCCCCCAAACATGAATCATTTAAGTAAAACCAACTTAACTGTAGAAATGTAGCAAAGTAAGGGGAAAGTAGCACAAACCACCCAAGAGGCAAAGGTTGTGGGGAAGAGGTGGGTGCAGTGAGCATTTAACATATGCATAAATGCTTTACGATTCACCTGCTCAGCACTGCCTCCCCAGAAGGCGAGCATAGGGAACTATTTTACGAGGATGTTTCCCCCCAAACATCTGAGAATGCTTCAAATTATAGTTTAAGGTTTAAAAGACCAAAAAAAAAAAAAAACCATGAACCACCCATCTGCTGGGATTTTTGTTGGGATTGTATTAAATCTATAGATCAATTTGAGGTAGAAATGGAAATCTTACATCGAATCTTCTAATCTATGAACTTGTATATCTATATCTCTCAGCAGCGCTTTAAAGTTTTCACTTTAGAGATTTGTATGTGTTTTGTTTGATTTATATTTGGCTATTTGATTCCTTTAAATTTTGTTTTTGTTTTTTTTTTTTGGACAAAGTCTTGCTTTGCAGTAGTGTGATCATAGCTCACTGTAGCCTCCAACTCCTGGGCTCAAGCAGTCCTCCCACCTCAGCCTTCCGAGTGGCTAGGAATTTTTTTTTTTTTCCTTTTTTTGAGACAGAGTCTTGCTCTGTTGCCCAGGCTGGAGTGCAGTGACACGATCTCGGCTCACTGCAACCTCCGCCTCCCAGTTTCAAACAATTCTCCAGCCTCAGCCTCCCAAGTAGCTGGGACTACAGGTGCACGCCACCCTGTCTGGCTAATCTTTTTGTATTTTTAGTAGAGACGGGGTTTCACCATGTTGGCCAGGATGGTCTTGATACAGGAATACTGAATAGTGAATTGGTGAACATGGACATGAATTTCTTGTTGCTCATCTTAGAAGGAAGGCATTCAGTATTTTACTGTTAGGCAGAATGTTAAGTTTTTCATGGATGTCTTTCATCAGATTGAAGATGTTTCCTTCCGTTCTTAGTTTGCTGAGACCCACCCCCACCCCTAGTTCTTATATTTTTTTAGCTCCAGAATTTCTATTTTGTTCTTTTTAATGATTTCTTTCTCTTTGTTGGTGTTCTCTATCTGGTGAAGTATCATTCTTGTACTTTCTTCTTTTTTTTTTTCTTTTTCTCTCTCCTAAAACAATTCTGTTGCTCAGGCTGGAGTGCAGTGGCATGATCTTAGCTCACTGTAGCATCAGTCTCCTGGGCTCAGTCAATCCTGCCTCAGCATCCTGAGTAGCTGGAACTACAGGCATGCATCACTATGCCTGGCTTTTAATTTTTTTTTTATTTTTTATAGAGACAGAGTCTTAATATCTTGTTAAGGCTGGTCTCAGACTCTTGGCCTCAAGCGATCCTCCTGCCTGGGTTTCCCAAAGTGTAAGGATTAAAGAAGGCAGGCCACTGCACCTGGCCTCCTTTAATTTAGACATGGTTTATTTTAGTTCTTGGAATACATTTATAATAGCTGATTTAAAGTCTTTATTCCTGAGCCCAAAGCTCAGGAATATTTTCTGTTCCCTGCTCTGTTTCATATGTATGGCTCACACTTTCATGTTTCTTTGCGTATCTTATAATTTTTGGTCAAAAACTGGACATTTTGTATAATGTAGCAACTCTGGAACTTGGATCCCCCCCACCCCCACTTTTCTTTTCAGAGCTTGTTGTTTCTTTTGGCTGTTATTATTTGCTTAGTGACTTTTCTTAACTAATTCTGTAAAGTCTGTATTATTTGTTGTGTGTAGCCACTGAAGTCTGATTAACTTAGTGATCAGCTAATGATTAGACAGACATTTCCTTAAATGTCTAAAATCAGTAAAATCAGCCTTTGCTGAGGGGTGCTCTTTATGTGTTGGGCACTTAACAGCTTTGCCTTAGTCTTTACTTCCTGGCGTGCAGAGCCTTAAGGGCAGCCTAAGTTGAGAGCAGTGGGGCCTTCCCATGTCTTTCCTAGGCATATTCATAGCCTTGCACATGCATGTAGCATTCTAGGTTCTAGGGAATATGTTGGAGTTTTTCAGACCCCATGAACATCTCATTCCCTGGCTTTTCCTTTTAAGTGTTTTGGTTAGCCTGTTGTTTACCCTGGCTGTTATCTACTGTCTCAGGCAGTGGAGAAGTTAATCAGTTGCCTCTGATTGTTTTTGACAAGTCTGCACCTCCTCTCCCACTCCAGTCAGGTCAAATAAAGACAGCTTTGTGAATGGAGTCTCCCAGAGAACCAACAGAGAAGTCAAACAATGACAGTTATCTGGGAATGAGGCTTTTAAGGAGCTCCATCCTTGCTCTTTCCCTTCTAGTGGCTGCCAGGCAGCCACCATAGGTTTGCACTATGATTGAGTGCTTTTGGTTTTCAACACTTCCATAGAGTTTGATCAGGAGAATGAGAATGGAACAAGTTAAAATGCCACAAAGCCCATTGTTTTTACCTGTTTTTACCTAGATTCAGCTTTTTTTTTTTTTTTTAAATAAATATTTCCAGATTTCTACAAGCCTTTGGTTAATTTCCAGGGTTCTTTAAAAGTCGATTCTTACATTGCTTGAGACTGGGAGGCGGAGGTTGCAGTGAGCCGAGATTGCTCCACTGCACTCCAGCCTGGGTGATAGAGCAAATCTCTGTCTCAAAAAAAAAAACAAAAAGAAAACAAAAAAAACAAAAGAAAAGAAAAGAAAAAAAAAGGTTGATTCTTAAAATTTTTCCAGGTTTTCTTGTTGCTTTTATGGAAGAGAGTTTTTGGAAGTCCTTATTACTTTGCTGTATTTGCTGATACCACTCTCCATAGCATTTTTAGTCGGAATGAATATTAATAATAGTAGCTTACATTTTGATTGCAACATATAAGTGCTTTATTTATGTAATTTATTAATAGTAAATACTATTTACATGTAATGTATGGTAATTTTAGAAGACATATCCTACTCCCTTTAAAATTTTTTTTATATTTAAGCAATCTACGATGAAGATTTTCTTGCTTTACAAAAACTATTCTTGGTTTTGGGTAGAAGGGGTATAATTTTTTTTTTTTTTAAACAGAAATGGGAATGCTGACTTTGTGAAATTGACCTTGTGAAAAAAACAATGTTTGCTTAATCTTTAAATTTTTTTTTGTTTTTTTCTTAGGGAACACCAGGCACTTATTTGACTTCTCATAATCAGGCTTCCTACACTCAAGAAACACCCAAGCCGTCAGTGGGATCTATCTCTCTTGGACTGCCACGGCAACAGGAATCTGCCAAATCAGGTCAGTGAGTTAATACAGTCATAATGCATCTACGTTTGTAGCATCACAGCCAGTAATTTAGTACTGGATTGTTTCATGTTTCTCTGCCTTTCCACAGCTACTTTGCCCTACATCAAGCAGGAAGAATTTTCTCCCCGAAGCCAAAACTCACAACCTGAGGGTCTGTTGGTCAGGGCCCAACATGAAGGTGTAGTCAGAGGTAAAATATGCTGGTTGGCAGAAATGTTAAACTTTTGTCCCCAATAAATTTATTAAAGTAAGTTATTAATATATTTTAATGATGGGCTTTTTTAACTATAGTCTTTAAATTCTAAATTTGTTTTCTTTCCATGTAAAAGTCATTTTAAAACCTTGAAGTTCCATGTTTCAGCAGTTCTTTAGTATTATTTTGGAAGTACATTTTAATAAAACAAACATGATGGGTTTTGTGCTGCTTTTTTCTTTTCTTCTTAGTTGAGTACTCTCCCAAGTAGGGGCTGTTTTTTTATGTTTTGGGGCAGGGGCTGGGGGTGTAATTTGCTAATAGCTTTGTTTGTATTCAGGTACCGCAGGAGCCATACAAGAAGGAAGTATAACTCGGGGAACTCCAACCAGCAAAATTTCAGTGGAGAGCATTCCATCCCTACGGGGCTCTATCACTCAGGTTAGTCACGATCATCTCTGATATACTCAACAGAAGCTCAGGAAAAAATGATAAATAATTCTTAGCACTTTGGCTATTTTGTGGCTTAAGTTCATTTTTCTGCATTATGGGACTGGGTCTCATAACCTAGATCTGCAAACTGTCTCCACAGAGACGTTAATGTGATCATTTTGACTACAAGCTATATTATGAATACTTTGGTTCATTTGAAAAGGTCACTTATTTGCAAACTGGAAAAAGAAATATGTTCTAATTGATGCAGCTCTTATTGTCTTCCTGGAAAAGCTTTTACCATGTGTTTAGCCTAAATAGAAATTGAGAAGAAAATCATTACGAATTATTTGCTTACTTTTGCCCTGGTGGAGATGTAGTTGTAGAATCTCAGTATGTGGGCTGCCTTGTTAGAATCTAATGCTAAACCAGGAAATGTGGATGGTATTAACAAAAGCACCAGAAGCCTTCCAATTTTGGGCTAAATACATCACCAATTTTGATTAATAAAATTTCTCTCAGTTAGTTGTTAATTTTAACTTGATACTTAAGAAGTTCTTAGCCTCTTTATGTATATGCATAAGAGGGAAAATTCTGTTTTGGGAAATCATTGTAAACAGAAACCTGTGCCTTGCATTTTCTAAAGTGTTCACTCATTGTCACAAGTTTTTTATTTGTCTAGTTACTATCCTCTAAGACAGTTGTTCTCAAAGTATGATCCCCACACCAGGAGCATCAGAATCACCTAGAAAATTGCTACACATATAAATTTTCAGATCTTACCCCAGATTTACTGAAACCCAACCCTTGTTGGTGGGGACTGGCAGTCTGTGTTTTCCCAAGCCCTTAGCTGATTCAGCTAGGGCTTTGCTGGCCAAGTGTGGTTTGTGCACCAGAGCATTGGCATCACTGGGATGCTTGCTAGAATAATGCAGAAATGTCAGTCCGCACTCTAGATCATGTGAATTAAAATCCCCATTTTACTGAGGTTCCCAGGTGATTTCTTTCTGAAATGTAGTTTACATACTACTTCCTTGTGGTTAAGTTAAAAACAGAAGAAAAGAAAGTTACATACTGACTCTTAAAATCTCTCTTTTTAGGCCAGGCGCGGTGGCTCACGCCTGTAATCCCAGCACTTTGGGAGGCCAAGGAGAGCGGATCACGAGGTCAGGAGTTTGAGACCAGCCTGACCAACATGGTGAAACCCCGTCTCTACTAAAAATACAAAAATTAGGCGGGCATAGTGGTGTGCGCCTGTAATCCCAGCTACTCAGGAGGCTGAGGCAAGAGAATCACTTGAACCTGGGAGGCGGAGGTTGCAGTGAGCTGAGATTGTGCCACTGCACTCCAGCCTGGGTGGCAGAGTGAGACTCCGTCTCAAAAAAAAAAAAAGTCTCCATTTATATTGGGTCAGTGTGTTTCTGTTTTAACAGCAAGCTAATACTTTAATATGGACAGAGGAAAGTAAATGGGCCTGTATGTATTATTCTTTCTCTTCACTCTGGCATCCAAACTGTGGGAAGAAAGAGTATGAACTGGGCCAAAGGAGACTAAATTTTATCTGTTTAAAATCTGTTTGTGCACTTGACATGAGTACTTCTGAAGTGGGCGTTAAGGATTTCTAGACACTTACTAATGAGTTCACTTAATGACTGGACAAGTAAGTGTATGTCTCTTATCGCTTTTCTTAAGCATATGGTATCAGATTGTGCTCTCTAGGGTTTTAGCAGTCCTCAGAGTATAGTGGTGACCCTAAATGTGAGTAAACTCAGTCTAGGCCTCTAACTCCTATTTTACACCAAGCTGCTCTCTCTTGCAAAATGCTCTACGTATTAGATTCTATGAACAATTTTCCTTGAAGGAAGGGCTCGCTGCTTAAAGGAAGGGTAAAAAGAATCATGGTCATTGGCAACTCCAGAGGAGGATTGATGATGGTGAAAATATAGATAACCTGACCTAAACTGAATCAGTGTCAAAACACAGAGGCATCCAAAGGCCTAACAACCTAGTAGTCAGTTTGATATTTGAAAGTTATTTTTCCCTCATATCACAATTTGAGAAAAAGTTGTAGTACTCTAAATTTAAAACTACTTTATCATCTTATTTTTATTAGAAAATTTATATTAGGTTGGTGCAAAGATGTGATTTCGGACTGTGAATTTTAAATCATTATAACTAGGCTCAAACGCATCTTTATCAAAATAGGAACCATTACAATCAACACATTTTTGCCAGTGAGAAATAATCTTGTTCATTCCTGTAGCATAAAAATACATGCTTCGAGATTCAACAAACTCTTAGAAAGCATTTTCTTTCTCTTTTCTTTTCTCTTTTCTTTTCCCTTCCTCCCTTCCTCCCTTCCTTTTCTTTTCCCTCCCTTCTCCCCTCCCCCTCCCCTCCCCCCTCTCCTCCCCTCCCCTATCCTCTCCTCCCCTCTCCTCCCCCTCCTCCCCCCCTCCCCTCTCCTCCCCTCTCCTCCCCTCTCCTCCCCTCTCCTCCCCTCTCCTCCCCTCTCCTCTCCTTCCCTTTCCTTACCTTTCCTTTCCTTCCTTTTTGCTTGCTTGCTTTTTTGACAGAGTCTTGCTCTGTTGCCCAGGCTGGAGCATGGAGTGCAGTGGTGCCATCTCAGCTCACTGCAACCTCTGCCTCCAGGGTTCAAGTGATTCTCCTACCTCAGCCACCCAAGTAGCTGGAATTACAGGTGTGCGCAGCCGTGCCTGGCTAATTTTTGTATTTTTAGTAGAGATGGGGTTTCGCCATGTTGGCCAGGCTGGTCTTGAACCCCTGGCTTCAGGTGATCCGCCCGTCTTGGCCTCCCACAGTGCTGGGATTACAGGCGCAAGCCACCACAGCCAGCCATGGAAAGCATTCTGCTGCTTGTGGAAGAATTTTCCCTGCATAAAGTTGTCGAGATGCTTGAATAAGTGGTAGAGAGAGAGGTCAGGTGAATGTGGCAGATGAGGCAAAACTTCATAGCCCAATTCATTCAATTTTTGAAGCATTGGTTGTGTGACACAGGTGTTGTCGTGGAGAATTGGGCTATTTCTGTTGACCAGTGCTGGCTGCAGGCATTGCAGTTTTCAGTGCATCTCATTCATTTGCTGAGCATACTTGTCATATGTAATGGTTTTGCCGGGATTCGGAAAGCTGTAGTGGCTCAGACTGGCAGCAGACCACCTTTTTTTGGTGCAAGTTTGGCTTTGGGAAGTGTTTTGGAGCTGCTTCTCAGTCCAGCCACTGAGGTGGTTGTCGCTAGTTTTTGTATAAAATCTACTTTTCATCGGATGTCATGATCCAGTTGAGAAATGGTTTGTTGTTGCCTAGAATAAGAGAAGACACTTCAGAAAGACAGTTTTTAAAATTTTCGCTCAGCTCATGGGGCACCCATTTACTGAGCTTTTTCACCTTTCCAGTTTGCTTCAAATGCCAAACAACCGTAGAATGGTTGACGTTGAGTTCTTTGGCAACTTCTCGTGTAGTTGTAAGAGGATCAGCATCAATGATTGCTCTCAATTGGTTGTTGTCAACTTCCGATGGCCGGCCACTATGCTCCTCATCTTCAAGGCTCTTGTTTCCTTTGTAAAACTTCTTGAACCACCACTGCACTGTATGCTTGTTAACAGTTCCTGGGCCAAATGCGTTGTTGATGTTATGAATTGTCTCTGCTGCTTTACAACCCATTTTGAACTTGAATAAGAAAATCACTTGAATTTGCTTTTTGTATAACATAATTTTCATCGTCTAAAATAAATATAAAACACCAAGTAATAAGTCATTAACAAAAAAAGTGACAAATGCACATTAAAATGATATATTGCGTAACTACATTCAGAAGAAAACAAGAACTTAACCACATTTATTTAAGAATGTATTCCAGTATCAAACGGCAAATTTCAACAACGCAAAAACTGCAATTACATTTGCAACAACCTAATAAAAGCTGTTACATTTACTTGATTTTAGTCCTTAAGAGAAACTTCTGAGAGTTAAATCCTGTAATAGAGTCCTCACATGAAGGTGAGAGCAAAGTTGATTCACCTAATGTACGTGTCATAATTTTAAGTGTTATGTGGCTGAGTTGAAGGATGAAGGTACAGGATGTCTTCATGTTGATAAAAATTCAATGTCTAATTTCCTTTCATGTATGTGTGCTTTCTTCTTTGAAGCTATAGATTAGCCTGACTCTGTCATAGGTTAAATTTTCTGAGCATCTTGTGTTTTCCCTAAACTCGAGTGACTCCTCTGCTATTTATGCTTGATTTGATGGCAGGGCACCCCGGCTCTGCCCCAGACTGGCATACCAACAGAGGCTTTGGTGAAGGGGTCCATTTCGAGAATGCCCATTGAAGACAGCAGTCCTGAGAAAGGCAGAGAGGAAGCTGCATCCAAAGGCCATGTTATTTATGAAGGCAAAAGTGGACATATCTTGTCATATGATAGTAAGTATTGTATGTATGCACCAAAGCCAGTATTACAATATGTGCTAAAAACATAGGCTTGGGTTTTCCCGCATTTCTGCTCTCTGGGAGTCAGTTTATCTTTGCTGAGCCTATGTTTTCTCTCAGTAAATGGGGTTAGTAATACTTGTCTCATGAGAATTTTGTGAATAACAGCTTAGTCGATAAAAAGTAATTAACAACGCAGAGCTCATATTAAATGTCCCATAGGTGGTAGCTAAGATTGTCGACTGTGGTCAGTCAGTTTAGCTTAGGTAAAGAGCCTTTGTTGAACTTTAATGGAATACTTTTATTTTGAAGAGATTCATGTTTTATGAATTAAGAATTAGAGGGTAGATAGGCTGGGCGCGGTGGTTCACGCCTATCTACTATCTAATCCCAGTACTTTGGGAGGCCGAGGCAGGCGGATCACAAGGTCAGGAGATCGAGACCATCCTGGCTAACACGGTGAAACCCTGTCTCTACTAAAAATACCAAAAAATTAGCCGGGCATGGTGGCGGGCGCCTGTAGTCCCAGCTACTCGGGAGGCTGAGCCAGGAGAATGGCGTGAACCCGGGAGGCAGAACTTGCAGTGAGCTGAGATTGGGCCACTGCACTCCAGCCTGGGCGACAGAGCGAGAGTCTGTCTCAAACAAACAAACAAAAAGAATTAGAAGGTAGATAATATTCTGATAATCTTGATAATATTAAATACTCCTTAATAAAACTATTTTAATGTCTATGTACATTTTTTTAGATGTATTCTTGTTATATTTTCTCAGTAGTAGTATTTTATAAGAATGACTCAAATGTGATAGAAATATTAGCCAAAGTTTTGAGTGAATTTGAGTTCTTATTTGCACCTGACTCTGTGACCTTGGAGTAGTCATGAGCTATGCTTTCTCTTCCAATACAAAGAAATAAAGTATGTGCGTACATAGTGCCAGATGCTGCAAAATGCTTGATAGCATTCTTATTTCACTCTCCTTTACACGTCTGGCATATTATGATTCACATTTTGTTTTTGGGGTTAAGAAATTAATAATGTACGTTGTCCATATCAGAAGTCTACACACCTCTGTTTCTTTCCACATCCACCAAATCACTAAGCCATTTCTGTTTATTTTCCTAAAGTGTCTAGAATCCATCCATTACTCTGTATTCACCACTGTCACCATCATCTTTAACCCAGCAGCCACCTAACTCATCTCCCTACCTTCAGTCTCACCCATATTCAAAGTGTGTACCACGTCACTCCTTGACTGATTTTTCCATCACCCTGGATATAACTGCAAACCCCTACCTTAGCTTTATAACCCCTCCAGGAGCTGCTTTCAGCTTAGCTCTTCACATTTTTCCCTTCTCACTTTTCCCTTTAGTCCCCTATATTTACCTCCCCCACACTCTTCCTCCCAACTCCACTCTACACATTAGCCGGTTACCACGCTTACGTTCTTTTATTGTACCTTTCTCTGTCTCACCTTGGGGTCTTCGTGTTCACTGTTCACACTGCCTGTACTTTTTCCTCCTATTACCTTTGACTTGAACAACTCTTATTCATCCTTCATTCTCAGCTTACACATTGCTTCCTCTGAGCAGGCTTATCTGAACCTGGAGGTGTTAGGTTTCTCTCCTAGCATTTTCATAGCACATTATACTTCTCCTTTCATAGCTTATTTTACTACATAATCTGTACCTACATTATTGTGTAAGTTTCATGCAGAAAGGGACTTAATTTGTTAATCTTACCTGCAAGCCTAGCTTATGCCTAGCACACAGTAGGCATCAATAAACACATTTGAATGAGTGAAAATATTTTCATGAATCATCTACACATATTTTATTGTAGGTTAAGACAAGTTTTAATATTATTATTTTTATAAGATAGACTATGAAACTAACCTATTTACTGTACATTGTATACCATGTGCTCCGTCTGAGCAAGTCTTGTTTGTGTATTCTGTAGATATTAAGAATGCCCGAGAAGGGACTAGGAGTCCAAGAACAGCTCATGAAATCAGTTTAAAGAGAAGCTATGAATCAGTGGAAGGAAATATAAAGCAAGGGATGTCAATGAGGGAGTCTCCTGTATCAGCACCGTTAGAGGGTAAAGCATTGTTTTCAGAATGTTATTTTGATACATGTTATTTTATATAGTAATTTTGCATTGTTGAATTAAGTTGTATGCAATTTCTGTCATTTCCACCTGAAATGTATATTTATATTAAGTTGTATGCAATTTCTGTCATTTCCACCTGAAATATATATTTATATTAAGTTTATATCTGTATATAAAGTGGCACATAACAATGGAAGGAAGTCAAATTTAAGCGTAATTGGTCATATCATAGGTTACTATTAGAATGTTCATATTTGAATGCTCATACAATTTGCAGATTATTCCTGTTTCAGCTAAGTGAGTTAAAAAAGGTAAAGTTTATTATGAGAACTTCTTTTTGAATTGTGAGACAGATAAAGTGGTGTAATGGATAAAGACATGAATTTAAATTTCAGCTTCACCCTTCCCTGGTAAAATTCCTTTGAGCCTGTTTCTTCCTCTGTAAATTAAGGGATCGTACCTAACACTGTGTGAGGGTTAGAGGCAGGTGTCTGAACTGGTGCTGCTCATGTGATATGGCTTCAGTACATGATCAGTATGATTTTGTTTTGTTAATGGCCCACTTTGTTTAAATCTTAACCTGCCTCAACCAATTTTAAGCTAGATGAAATACTAAAAGCAGGGTAAGTCCTGTGTAATTTTCTAAGAGCTGTATTTTTCTCTATGTTAAAAACACACACTTTTACTGTAAATATGTGTGGTTATTTCTAACCCTTGATTTATATTTATCAGCAACAATAATGTGAAGCTTCTTAGGAGGTTATTTACAACTCTTTCGTTTCAATTTGCATGTTTCATTTAATACATTTTCCCTATTTTTATGGTATCCATATTTCCCGTTTTCCCTTTATCACAAGTATATTTCAAAGCTAAGCAATGGTTTCCAATCCTGTATCTTCTTTCCTCTTGATAAAGAAGTGTTGGGATTTTAGATTTAACTTTGAAGGTATCTTTCCTTTTCAACCTTTCATTAGATGCCTTTGGTGGCCATTTTTTATTTAGGAAAATATTTACAAAGGACTGTGTGATGTCATATTAGGTACTTCTGGATAGTTCACAAACTTAAATTGACATTCCTTCCTTCATAGAGCATTTATCAAAAACATAGACTTTAAGAACAGCATTCAGTATATGTGAGTTGACATATACATTATGTTGAATAATTGAATTGCTTTCTTGTTTTGGAAGGGCTGATATGCCGAGCATTACCCAGGGGGAGTCCTCATTCTGACCTCAAAGAAAGGACTGTATTGTCTGGCTCCATAATGCAGGGTAAACTTTCTGCTTGTTTTGCATTTTTATTTATAACTGCCTCCCTGGCAAAATAGTTTGACATTAATTTACAGTGTATTTCTGCTTTTCAAGTTATTTTCCCTTTTGAAATATTAAAGTCTTGGTTATTACTTTTCTGCCTCTGAGCTACATAATTTATTGGAAGATGATAGTTGCTTAATCTTTTAATATAGAGATATCTTTATTATGCAAGAACCATTCTGTGACTATTATGAATGATGCATTAATATCATATCTCAAGCAACCCTAAAGAAATAATGATTGATAAATACTGATTTGAGGATCTACTGTAAACAGAAAGTTAATTAGAAACTACAAGATGTCAAGGCATTATTTTAAATTATGTTAAAATATATGTAACAAAATTTACCATTTTAACCATTTTTAAGTGCACAGTTCCGTGGCATTGTTGTGCAACCATCAGCATTATTTTAATGTTTCCTGAATTCTTTTTCAAGGGACACCAAGAGCAACAACTGAAAGCTTTGAAGATGGCCTTAAATATCCCAAACAAATTAAAAGGGAAAGTCCTCCCATACGAGCATTTGAAGGTGCCATTACCAAAGGAAAACCATATGATGGCATCACCACCATCAAAGAAATGGGGCGTTCCATTCATGAGATTCCAAGGCAAGATATTTTAACTCAGGAAAGTCGGAAAACTCCAGAAGTGGTCCAGAGCACACGGCCGATAATTGAGGGTTCCATTTCCCAGGTAACTAAGTTTTGGCTCTTTTTGTCAGTAACTGATATTTATGGAACATTTAAAAAAGTGTGACTTAATAATTATAAGTGGTTCTTATGATGTCAGACCTCCTGGAAGTAAACATGAAAGTTTCCTGTACCTTTTTTTTTTTTCCTCTGTGGACCAGGCTGGAGTGCGGTGTGTGATCACAGCTCACTATATAGCCTTGACCTCCTGGGCTCAAGCGATCCTCCCACCTCAGCCTCCCGAGTAGCTAGGACTACAGGCATGTACCTCCACACCCAGAATTTTTGTATTTTTATAGAGACAGGGCTTTGCCATGTTGCCAAGGCTGGTCTCGAACTCCTGAGCTCAAGTGATCTGCCCATCTCAGCATCCCAAAGTGCTGGGATCACAGGCGTGAGCCACTGTGCTTGGCCTTTGTGTAATGGCACGATCTTGGCTCACTGCAACGTCCGCCTCCTGGGTTCAAGCGATTCTCCTGCCCCAGCCTCCCGAGTAGCTGAGATTACAGGTACCTGCCACCACGCCTGGCTAATTTTGTATTTTTAGGAGAGACAGGGTTTCTCCATGTTGGTCAGGCTGGTTTCGAACTCCTGACCTCAGGTGATCTGCCCACCTCAGCCTCCCAAAGCGCTGGGATTACAGGTGTGAACCACCATGCCTGGCCTTGTGTACTTCTTATCATCAGGTTTTCTTATGTCTATAGCATAGAGTGTGGAATGTGGGAAAGTATGCAGCTTGGGATCAGTGGGGTTGTGATTGAGATTTGTAAACAGACCAAAAAAGATCACCACAGTGAACTGTAACTGCCATGGGCCAGACATAGACCTGAGATAGAAAAGTAGCCAGATGACTTTGCTACCTGTAATGTTTGTTTCTTTCCCTTTAGGGCACACCAATAAAGTTTGACAACAACTCAGGTCAATCTGCCATCAAACACAATGTCAAATCCTTAATCACGGGGCCTAGCAAACTATCCCGTGGAATGCCTCCGCTGGAAATTGTGCCAGAGAACATAAAAGTGGTAGAACGGGGAAAATATGAGGATGTGAAAGCAGGCGAGACCGTGCGTTCCCGGCACACGTCAGTGGTAAGCTCTGGCCCCTCCGTTCTTAGGTCCACACTGCATGAAGCTCCCAAAGCACAACTGAGCCCTGGGATTTATGATGACACCAGTGCACGGAGGACCCCTGTGAGTTATCAAAACACCATGTCCAGAGGCTCACCCATGATGAACAGAACTTCTGATGGTATGTTACTTTTGTTGCTTGGTCTGATACTTTTTATTGCATTTAAAAAAAAAAAAAAAAACCTTTGTCAAGTAGTAAATATCAAATTGTCAGCTTTAGAGTATCCCAAGATCTACAGGTCTTGCTTGAGTCTAGGAGTATGGAAGGCTACTAATTTAAAAGTAGGCATAATTTAAGTAAAATACCTGATATTTAAATCAAGTGCAGATTATGATGCAGTCCAGAAATGCTATAGAGTAAGTATATTTTTAGAGTGGATTTTCAGCCAATTGCATAAGGTTTTCTGGAAGTCAGTTTTGACATTGTTCCTTCAGCGGCAGTGTGGTGTGA
This sequence comes from Homo sapiens, assembly GCF_000001405.40. Lineage (NCBI taxonomy): Eukaryota > Metazoa > Chordata > Mammalia > Primates > Hominidae > Homo > Homo sapiens. The sequence goes on along the minus strand of NC_000017.11, from coordinate 16,069,834 downwards.
AAGCTGTAAGTAGCCTCTGGAACAAGACTGCATAAGCTTGAATTAACATTCTTACTGCATCAACTCAGATGAGTTACTTAGTTTTTTTGTAGCTTAGTTTCCTGATCTGTAAAATCATAATGTAACATTAAGACCTACCTCTCTGGATTGTTATGAAGATCAAATAAGGTAGTACATGTAAAGAACTTAGAATGGTGCCGAGTATTTACGAAGGGCTCGATAAATGTGAATTATTCCTGTTGGTGTTACTGTTGTTATTATTGTTGTCACTATAACCCCATGCTACTGGCAGCTACATCAGTTGAGAAGTGATTTTTACCAAGTGGTCCCTATCAACCTGAGGCCCTTAAAAATGCATCCACTTACCATTTTTTATTATAATACAAATTTATTGATGGCTCACATGGTACGTCCTGGGCTGGGCACTGTGAGCTGTACAAGTGTGTTTTGGCGGGTGTGAGGGGCGTAGCACAGAGTGAGGAGAAGGGGAAGTCCTTGTTAGGGATGGGGAGGTGAGTCCAAATGCTTGTAGCTTTAGTTTTGATGGCGAATTGCCCTGCAGAGGGAAGGGCACTCCATATTTGAGCACGCTGGGACTTGGAAGGGGATGTGATAAACCAGTGTGATTTCTTTCTTTGGGCAGGCAGATTTGTTTGATTGTGGTAAAGTTTATAGTATCAAAATATTAGTAATTAGATGTGATGGTTACACAGCCATCATGCTTGTACTTAATGCCACTGTGAATTGTACCCTTTAAAATGGCTAAAATTGTAAATTTTATGTTATGTATATTTCACCACAGTTAAAAAAAATTGAGGGTGGCTGGGTGCAGCAGCTCATACCCATAATCCCAGCACTTTGGGAGGCCAAGGCGGGCGGATCATGAGGTCAGGAGATTGAGCCCATCCTGGCCAACATGGTGAAATCCTGTCTCTACTAAAAATACAAAAACAATTAGCCGTGCATGGTGGCGCGCTCCTGTAGTCCCAGCTACTTGGGAGGCTGAGACAGGAGAATCGCTTGAACCCAGGAGGTAGAGACTGCAGTGAGCCAAGATCACGCCACTGCACTCCAGCCTGGGTGACAGCGAGACTCTATCTCAAAAAAAAAAAAAAAAAATTGAGGATGATGGCTAATAAGTGTTTGAATATATATTTATTGGTGGGACAATCTGACCATCCTGAATAACATCATTTAAGAGAAGAGAGGCTGGAGTAGGGAGGTGATAGATATTGGTGAAGTAATGAGAAAGTCATTGTGGAAGAACAGAGCAAGGAAAAAATTAGTGAAACTAGTGATTAATGGGTAGGAAGGAGGTTGCATAACACAGGCAATGAGAGAAAACTGAAGTTTACTACATGTGGGGACAAAAGAATTTAGAATGTTAAAGTCATACAAAAAACAAAATGATTCATAATGAGATTTAAAGAAGAGTATTGAATTTTATTTTTAATGTTACATAAGGTGGTAAAATACTGGTGCTATGATCCAAAAGGTGACAGTACTCTCCAAATCTCAGTTTCTACTAGTTGTTTACATTTTCATATGTTGTTTACATTTTCATATTTTGCAATATTGAATGTTAAATGTTGAGTGGAAAGAGAAGATCCAAATACATGAATATAGTCTTTATTTGAATGGTTGAGAAATGGACAAATATTATCATACTTGCAAGTTTCTTAAGAACTTGTGGCATTGGCTCTTTTTTTCCAGTTACAATTTCTTCTAACAAGTCTACCAATCATGAAAGGAAATCGACACTGACCCCTACCCAGAGGGAAAGTATCCCAGCGAAGTCTCCAGTGCCTGGGGTGGACCCTGTCGTGAGCCACAGTCCGTTTGATCCCCATCACAGAGGCAGCACTGCAGGCGAGGTTTATCGGAGCCACCTGCCCACGCACTTGGATCCAGCCATGCCTTTTCACAGGGCTTTGGATCCTGGTAAACACAAAATATAGTGATAATTTATGGCAAATAAATATGCCACCAGTATGACTTTTCAGCTTTCTGTTGTTGTACAATATAGTACAATTGCAAATATCATTAATGTACAGCTCAGTGAATTTTCACAAACTAAATTCTCCCATGTTACCAGCACCCAGATCAAGAAATAAAATCTTATCAGCACCCGGTAAAGAACTAAAAAGAATAGTATATGAAAAGCTCTCTTATCTGATGGCACTTGGTGAAACTAGTTGAAAAAGTGGATTAATGTGAATAATTATTTTAAAATGACAGAGGCATACCTAAACATGTTAACTTACAGCATAAATAGACGTTCATTTACCAGAACTCTGATCTAATGCCAAGGCTTTTTCATAAACAAGTGATTAAGTCTCACTGTCTTATATAAAAGAAATTCTTTTTTTTAAGTAAAGCTAGAACTTCCAAGTAAAGACACTTCCAAGCAATCTAAATACAGAATCCTTCTAGATTTTTTTTCCAGCCTTTGAAGTTGTCTAGTCCGCACCTGATTCAACTTCTGTATCAACTCTTTCCAAAGCTGTTAGTTTTCAGAGAAACCACTCTTCATTCTTCCTTGATTTACAAATTATGTCATTAAGTTACATAATTCTAGTAACAAGTACAGCTGGAAGAAACTTCAGAACACCACTGACATTGGTAGACAGAATCTGATAGGTGCAGATGTGCAGGTTTCTAGAGAGCAGTCTGCTGGGCAGAGGGCATTGTGTTTTACACAGGGAGGGGAGAGGAGCAGTCACATCGGTTGGTACAGAGAGGCTTGGCTGGGCTGTTATAATCTGCAGGACCACCGGCTGCACCTTGTCCTCCCAGGGTGCAGTCCTTGCTCTTCCTTGCCGCTATTGGCTGAGCCCAGTCACACATGTGTTTTCTGCTGAGACCTCTTCTCTGGCCTAAATAAACTCTTTGCTTAATAAGTATCCTTCAGGTGCAAATTAGGACACAGAATACTTGTGCCTCACTTTGGTCCTTAGAGAAGAATTTTTCATTATCAGTATGCTAAATTTTAAAAGTAAGAATTCTAAGGGTTATTTACATTTCATAATAATAGGAAAGTAACTGTGGGAAATATTTTATCTAAAAGCTGTGTAAATGCCATCAAATTATTTGTCATTTGACAACACTGTTTCAGAGGAGCCCAATACCTATTACTTAGGGCACTGTCTCCCAGATTGTGTCAGCTGACAGACTTACCTAGCTTCTAGATGAAGGGGAAGCAAATATTCCAGAAAACATGTTACTTGTTTTTCTAGGGAGAACATATACATATAAAATAGGTCACTCAAGTTCTCAGACAAAATGGAATTTTTCTGGTTTCTATTTAGTGTTTATCATTGTCTTCATTTTGTAGTGGTTTCTTTTGCTTGTTTTTGAGCCTGAGTTGGATTATAATGTTTTGAGGAGAGAGACATTATCTACTTTTTACCACGCCTACCCCTTCCTCGTATCTTGTGTCTTGTGTCATTCTCTCACCTAGGGGTTGCTAAAAACTACAGCTTTTTGGCCAAATCCTGTTGCCACTTGTGTTTGTAAATAAAGTTTTATTAGGATACAGCCACACCATTTATTCTTTTTTTCCGTAGCTCTTTTTGTGCTACAGTGACAGAGTTGAGTAGCTGTGACAAATGCGAAATGGCCCACAAAGCCTAAAATATATTTACCATTTGGCCCTTTATGTCAAAAGTTTGCCAATCTCTGCTCCAAACACATGGACTAATTAAATGCTTATAGTCTATAATCATTTTCACCCCCTGGAGAGTAAAGTTACTGATTGCCACAAAGTATTTTCGTATACATTTCTGTTGGTTGTACTGGATGATCAGTACTATAAAGACAATTTTATTTTCAAACACAACTCTTGCAGATGCCAGGTAAAAATATGATAAAGTTACATGTCAAAGATTGAAAGTAAAACTACTTGAGAAGTTTTTAGCTACTGTTATCCTTCCCCTTTTCCATTACATCTTAGACATTAGAATTGCTATTGCTAATACATCAAGGTCTAAAATAAATCCACCTTAATCCTTGTAGCTAAGTAAAAGTTCCATGTGCACTAGCTCAGCATGTGATTTTTCTCTACTCTTTTGTACGTGGTGTTTAGCAAATGTATTTCAGCCAGGACAAAACTCAGTGCCTTTCTTTCATTCTCTCAATCAGCAGCGGCTGCTTACCTGTTTCAGAGACAGCTTTCACCAACTCCAGGTTACCCAAGTCAGTATCAGCTTTACGCAATGGAGAACACAAGACAGACAATCTTAAATGATTACATTACCTCACAACAGATGCAAGTGAACTTGCGTCCAGATGTGGCCAGAGGACTCTCCCCAAGAGAGCAGCCACTGGGTCTCCCATACCCAGCAACGAGAGGTGTGTGTCTTTGCATTTCAGATTTCGTAGAATTTATTATGTTTACCTAGTGTTTCTTAGGTACTCAGTAAATACTTGTTGAATGAATGATGGAAAGAAAGAAAGAAAAGAATACTATATCCTTCCTCCCGTAGACTTTTTAGCCCAGAGACATACATTGAGACAAGGTGTTTTGGTGAATACTGAAATTAACTAAACCAAATCCTTGTGCTGAGTATTTGTAATCCATGGCTTACAAATTTGCTCTCTTTAATCTGCCCATACTTTGAGGTTACTGATGTGAAGTACAGTCTTTAATATCCTTCTTTAAAGAATGTCTTAAAAAGTAATGATGATAGTAAACATTTTTATTTATATTATGTACAAATTACCCTTGATTCACAGAGATAGACAAAATCCAAAGTCATGTATGGTTCTGTACCTTTAGAATAACACTTAACATAAATTGTATTGTCTTTTGGATAGGAATCATTGACCTGACCAATATGCCTCCAACAATTTTAGTGCCTCATCCAGGGGGAACAAGCACTCCTCCCATGGACAGAATCACTTATATTCCTGGTACACAGATTACTTTCCCTCCCAGGCCGTACAACTCTGCTTCCATGTCTCCAGGTGAGATTGTACAGTTACACACCTCTCTAATAGAACCATCATGTTTACATTTTTACAACATAGCCTTTTAAGGTATCTTGGGCAATTTTTCCTCATTTGGTTTCTTGTTTTTCTTTTAACATTTAATAGTAGTTCTTATGTGCCAGCTGTCACTAGATACCTTAGGAATGCCTTAAAAGCTTATGTTATGCTTCAGTTCTTATCCAGGACTCTTAATAAAACAAACTTCTTTTTCTCTTTTCTTGTTTTTTTTTTGTTTTTGTTTTGGAGACAGAGTCTGGCTCTGTTGCCCAGGCTGGAGCGCAGTGGTGTGATCTCAGCTCACTGCAACCTCCATCTCCCAGGTTCAAGAGATTCTCGTGCCTCAGCCTCTGGAGTAGCTGGGATTACAGGTGCGCGCCACCACACCTGGCTAATTTTTTGTGTGTTTTTAGTAGAGACAGGGTCTCACTATGTTGCCCAGGCTGGTCGTAAACTCCTGGCCTCCGGTGATCCACCTGCCTTGGCCTCCCGAAGTGCTGGGATTACAGGTGTCAGCCACTGCACCCAGCCAAAACAAACTTCTTATATCCCAAATTTGAAGCTTTTTGAAAAATTTTCAGTCACTTAGAATTTCGGAATTGTTTGATATACTCAGTCAGTTGATATTTTTATCTTTAAGCTGCAGGTTTATGTTTTACAGGACACCCAACACACCTTGCAGCTGCTGCAAGTGCTGAGAGGGAACGGGAACGGGAGCGGGAGAAGGAGCGGGAGCGGGAACGGATTGCTGCAGCTTCCTCCGACCTCTACCTGCGGCCAGGTCAGTGAAAGGCACTGCTCTTCCATTCTCTGGACACATCTTAGTAATCTTGTACACTGTGCTTAATGCTGCGCACAAAAAGTTTTGATGGAAACAAAAATTCTAAGACAACGTTATTACAGGCCCCAAGTGAAAAACAGGTGAAAGTGCTGTAGCAGCTGAGATGGTGGAAACGTGAATTTTACACGGAAAAATGTTTTCATGATGAAGGTATCATTTTTATTTGGTGCAAACAGTGGACTGCAGTTGGGCCTGAAGATATTGGTCACAGAGCTTTCAAGGCTGAAAGAACAGCCCTAGCAAAAACTCCTAGATATAAAGGTGTTGTTGAGCTTGAGTTTAGAGGAGGAATGGAAAATACAGTTAGCAGCTTGTGTAGCATCTTGAATTACAGTGAAATGTTGTGTCCAGGAGGCAGGTGACATGATCAGAGGGACATTTACACGAGTGGAATAGATGGATTAAAACCCTGAAGAGTGGGTATGGCTGGTCCCGGATGTAGCCTCTGTGGAGATAAAAATTTTAAATACTCTTTTGTCTAGTAATTCCACGTCTAGGAATATATCCCATAGAAATACTCAGATAAGCTGGGCATGGTGGCTCATGCCTATAATCCCAGCTACTCAGGAGGCCAAGGCAGGAGGATTGCTTGAGGCCAGGAATTCAAGACCAGCCTCAGCAACATGGTGAGACCCTGTCTCTAAAATATATATATAAAAAATTAGCCAGCAGCCGTGGTGTGCACCTGTAGTCCTAGCTACTCAGGAGGATGAAGTAGGATGATCCCTTGAAGCCAGGAGTTTGAGGCTGCAGTGAGCTATGGAGTGTCACTGCACTCCATCCTGGGTGACAGAGTGTGATGCTGTCTCTTAAAAATTTTTTAATTTAATTAAAAAAATAAATATTCATATAAGCTGATGAATGGTTAGAAGGGAGAAAACTGCTGAGAAGCCTGGCTGAGGTGGTGGTGTCTGTGAGAAGAGGGGTGTGTGCTAAAACATAAAACAGCTAGCTGTTATGAAGCCAGTGAGCACGTTAGAAGGTTGGAGTGAGGACACAGAACAAGATGAGGTCAAGAAGAAAGTGACTGGGGAGGGATTTGAGAGTTCAGAATCCTCTGCGTGAAGTAGTTCTTACCAAGTCCAAGCTCTGACTTGGTTATGGGAGAGTTAGGGTTAAGTGAACAAAAACATACCAAATATTGTAGAAGTGTAATTGTGGGAGCCAAGTGTTTTGTGGGAAGATAATGTGAATGATTTCATTTCAAAAGAGAGAGCTTGCTGAGAGAAAGAGTCACCTGTGAAGGGGACAGTGAAGAAGTGAAGCAGGGCAAACTGTGGTTGAATGAAACAGTCTCAAACCCTAGTGTAGCAGTGGTATATTATTTTCATTATGATGCTTAGAAAGTTGTGCCTGATTAGATTTTGGAAATCATATACACACTAGAGTTTGAGGAAAAATCAGAAAGATGAACTTATATGATTTGTAGTAGTACTTCTTGTTGGTGCTGTTTTATTTATGGAATCAAGATTGAAATTTATCAGAGAAATGGAAATGACAGTAAATGATGGCTGATGTTTTGTTTCAAGTTACTGCTGCGGTTTTATTGCATCTTTATTTGGACACTTTTAGAACATATTTCTGGAAAGGCCAGAAAGTAGACTATCAAGTTTCTTATCTTGTTTTTCTTTTTTCTATTTAGGTATGTTAGGAAATAAACAATCCATAAGCATTGCTTCCTTTTGTCTCTGGCTTCCTCCTTATGTCTTTGTTTCTTTCTCTTTTTCACCTCTGCAGGCTCAGAACAGCCTGGCCGACCTGGCAGTCATGGATATGTTCGCTCCCCTTCCCCTTCAGTAAGAACTCAGGAGACCATGTTGCAACAGAGACCCAGTGTTTTCCAAGGAACCAATGGAACCAGTGTAATCACACCTTTGGATCCAACTGCTCAGCTACGAATCATGTCAGTCTCTTGTACATATTTTGACAAAAAATGTCTCTTGCATATACATTTTAAAATTTGTGACTGCAATAGTCTAAGTATAGTCATGCTTTTCTGCCCATGCCATGAAGGCTTTTTTTGTTGTTGTTGCAGTTTGTCCTTCCATCTCCCCACCACATTCCCAGCAAATGGTCTTCCCTTCACAGAGCTGTGATTTGGTTTTATTTACAGGCCACTGCCTGCTGGGGGCCCTTCAATAAGCCAAGGCCTGCCAGCCTCCCGTTACAACACTGCTGCGGATGCCCTGGCTGCTCTTGTGGATGCTGCAGCTTCTGCACCCCAGATGGATGTGTCCAAAACAAAAGAGAGTAAGCATGAAGCTGCCAGGTTAGAAGAAAATTTGAGAAGCAGGTCAGCAGCAGTTAGTGAACAGCAGCAGCTAGAGCAGAAAACCCTGGAGGTGGAGAAGAGATCTGTTCAGTGTTTATACACTTCTTCAGCCTTTCCAAGTGGCAAGCCCCAGCCTCATTCTTCAGTAGTTTATTCTGAGGCTGGGAAAGATAAAGGGCCTCCTCCAAAATCCAGATATGAGGAAGAGCTAAGGACCAGAGGGAAGACTACCATTACTGCAGCTAACTTCATAGACGTGATCATCACCCGGCAAATTGCCTCGGACAAGGATGCGAGGGAACGTGGCTCTCAAAGTTCAGACTCTTCTAGTAGCTGTATGTATCTCAATCCGAGTTTCACAATGTGATGTCTGAGTAAAGAATTACTTTATTCTTTAGGTCAAGTAGAACTATATGGTATTTAAAAATCCTAACGGTTGATAGTAAATGTAATGCAAAAATGTATCTTCTGCTGTTTTTATGATTATTTAAATATCCCAGTTTCCTACATATAAGCCTATCAATGTATCTTCCACAAGAAAACTGTATCATTCATGTAATTAAATTTGGAAAGTAGAAGGCAGACCTTATTAACATATTTAGGCATCTGAAAGGTAATGGATATATCGCCAGGCTCTGGGCTACTGAGGTGTAATTTCTCAGGAAGCATTTGCTAGGACATGGTTCTATATTTATGCCAATACCCCAAAGCCTCTAATATCCTTTTTCTAAGACACAGGTTTTTAAAAGTGAGACTACCTATTATTGGTGATTGGTATTTATATTGCATCGTTTTTGCAAGTTGGATTTTGTTCAAGTCTGGTTAGTCATTAGGATGGCTACACTGCAAATGTGTTAGAATTCACAGGTCTACATTAAAATGCTAGAAAAGTTACTTTTTAAATTTTCTTTTAAACTATTGCCTTAATTCTATGTGGAATTGCAGAAAGAACAAGCAAGTATTTAAATAAGCATCTGCTAATACTGGAAGTAATTTAATCATATATAATCATCTTTCTGTTATCTCCATTGAATAAATTCAGTAGAGTTAGACATCATGAAAAAAAAAATGATTTCTCATGCTCCAGAATGCAATGTGCAGTTCTTTTGATCTCTGAGTATCCACTAGCTTAATTATAATTTGTTTACGTCATATCTACCGCATTGCTGAGGCTTTTAGAGAGAGAGTTAGTGTTGTGTAGACAAAAGACTTCTTTTAACCTGAGATTAGGAAAATCTGCAATATAGATTTTCTGCATGCAGAAAATTGCTAGCTGAGAAAGAGATATTCTATAGTTGTATGAATAGGTCTTTTGAAGGGAAGTCACCGGCACACTGGGAGATCCCACCTGGGCTTATTGAATGGTATAGCACATGGGTTCCTTAATCATTGGATTAAACATTTCTTTTCAGTTTGCATCACAAACCAAACCTTGCTTTAGGAATTTGATTTTCAGAAGGTGTGAAAATAGAAAGCTCATCTTTTCTGAGTGTCCATGTCTCTGTGTGTGGTTATCTTTTTTATCACTGGTCAGTGAATTCCATGATGTCCAAAGGCTATGTACAGTTCTTCAGTGTGGTTTTCAGTTTGACTCTTGAGAACCTTCCTCATCCTGAAGGGGAGGTCCATTGCCATAGTCTTGCCCCTTAAGGCTTCAAGAACAATGTGAACACGGTTTGGATTCCGACTTTCTACTGAGTGAATATTGGAAGTTGTAACCAGATTTAGGATGTTGAATACATAAACAGTGATGAGTAACAGTGGATACAAAAGTCACAAATTACTGTAAACTTCTTAGAATATAGTGATTTATTTTAGTTTCTCAATGATCATTTCTGTTCCATTTATCAAGTTTCCAATCTCCTAAGTGTACTAGAACCCAGGTAGCTGCAGTTTCCATGACCTGGTGGGGATAGGAAGGACTGTTGAGTACCAGAGGAGCAGGTGGTGGCTAGGGAGCAGAGTTCATTCCCACCTGCTGCATCTGTGTCCAGCCCAGGGCCATGCACCCTTTGGAGCTCTGACAGTGCTCTCAGATTCTGTAGTGCAGTTTGTGGATGTGAAGAGCCCTCTGAATTCAGAGGTTCCTGAGCAGGCGGTTACATCTGCTCCCAACTGTCAGCTCTGAGGCTATGGCAGGACTGTGAAAAGCTGCCTGTTAGCCCCACTGCATAGCCCTCTGTTTACTTGGGAACTGTGTCTTAGAGGAGGTCCTTTTCTGATGTGGGTATCCTCCAGAGTTGGTTGACATCCTCCCTTTCTGGGAATATACTTCCCTTCAGACATTCTCTACCATTTCTGGTTATTTTCACAATGTAACACAGTGCTAAAAAATTATTAATGTTTGGAGTAAGTTTTGTTAGCAATACTCCATTTATTTGAGAAAATCATTATATAGTGTTATATAATCCATAGCTTTAAAATCATCATGGTGGTGAATGAAGCAGCTTTATAGCCTCAGCGTTTTTCTAAGAACAGAGTGTCCCACAGAATTGGAATCATTGGAATCAGTTATTGAGATCTACTCCCTCATTTGTTTATTAACCTCTTCCATAAATGTTTCCCTGGTGATTTCTTTTCCAGCTCCCAGGAAAATATCATAAATCTGTTCTCTGTTCTGCCTCATTCCAGTGTTTATTATTGGGCTTTAAAACATGTCTTTTTTTTTTTTTTTTTTTTTTTTTTTGAGACGGAGTTTCGCTCTTGTTGCCCAGAATGGAGTGCAATGACACAATCTCAGCTCACCACAACCTCCGCCTCCCGGGTTCAAGCGATTCTCCGGCCTCAGCCTCCCGAGTAGCTGGGATTACAGGCATGAGCTACCACGCCCTACTAATTTTGTATTTTTTTTAGTAGAGACAGGGTTTCTCCACGTTGGTCAGGCTGGTCTCAAACCCCTGACCTCAGGTGATCCACCTGCCTCGGCCTTCCAAAGTGCTGGGATTACAGCCATGAGCCACTGCACCCAGCCTAAAACATGTCTTAAAGCCCATAAAACTTCAGAAAACCCTCATTAACCTGGAATACCTTTGAACATGGTGGATCAGAATTGAAAAAATGCTACAGGTGTGAAGAACTTAGACTTCAGAAACTTTTCCTGGGATTAGTTTTGAAATAAGATTTTCTTTTCTTAAAGTATCTTCTCACAGGTATGAAACACCTAGCGATGCTATTGAGGTGATAAGTCCTGCCAGCTCACCTGCGCCACCCCAGGAGAAACTGCAGACCTATCAGCCAGAGGTTGTTAAGGCAAATCAAGCGGAAAGTATGTCTTCTTAAGCTACCATTTACATGTTTTCATATTTGCATTTATCATTTGCTTCTAATTATCTGTCTAGACCATAGTAAGAATTAACTTGTTTTGTTTGTTTTAGGGTAATCTTACATGAGCCTTCTTTAGAAACAGCAATCGATTCTTTTTTATTTTTTAATGATACAGAAAATTGTTTATATTAATTTTGTTTGCTTACTTCTGCATTTATATTTTGTTCCACTAGTCCTCAGACTTCTTCAGTGAATAATTTTTTTTTTCTCCAAAATTAAGATAAGTTCTTTGTTTGGAGCTATGTACCACATCCTTTCAGGTGTTCTTCTGAATTATATTTAATCTTTGATAATGAGTGAAAAGCACAGACATTCCTGGAGTAAGACATCTATGTGTTCTCTCCTAGATGATCCTACCAGACAATATGAAGGACCATTACATCACTATCGACCACAGCAGGAATCACCATCTCCCCAACAACAGCTGCCCCCTTCTTCACAGGCAGAGGGAATGGGGCAAGTGCCCAGGACCCATCGGCTGATCACACTTGCTGATCACATCTGTGTAAGTTTTTCATTATTCTTATTAGTTAATTTTTCTTTTTTGATCATGGGGAAAGCAGATTTCATATAGAAAAAGAAATTTATAATAAAGATATCTAGATTTCTTAATACTATTTTTTTTTTGCAAGTACTCAATGAATTTTACCACTTCCTTCATTTCTCATTCACAGCAAATTATCACACAAGATTTTGCTAGAAATCAAGTTTCCTCGCAGACTCCCCAGCAGCCTCCTACTTCTACATTCCAGAACTCACCTTCTGCTTTGGTATCTACACCTGTGAGGACTAAAACATCAAACCGTTACAGCCCAGAATCCCAGGCTCAGTCTGTCCATCATCAAAGACCAGGTTCAAGGGTCTCTCCAGAAAATCTTGTGGACAAATCCAGGGGAAGGTATGATCTTTATTCCAAATTATATATAAATTGCCCAACAGTAAAACAAATGGAATATATCTACAGGATAAGGAATTTGTTTCTCACAACTAAAGTTCATTTGCCTTTATTCCCAGGAAAGTGTAAATGAGCTTTCTTCCCCCTGCATATTATTCTTAGAATGTCCACTGTCTTGGCATTTGGTACTATGACTTTTTAATGTATATTCAAAAGATGATTATATTCTATTTGTTGGTTTGTAAAGACAGTTAAGAAGAATGTGTAGTTTGGTAGTGGTTTGGGGACACTTCAGTGGTGCTTCCGAATAATACCTCTCATATTTATCTGTCTCAATGGTTTCTACTGGGTCAGCATCAGTAGAAGTTTAAGAAGGTGATATTGGCCAGACATAGTGGCTTATACCTGTAATGCTAGCACTTTGGGAGGCTGAGGTAGGAGGATTGCTTGAGCCCAGGAATTTGAGACCAGCCTGGGCAACATAGTGAGATCTCATCTCTACAAAAAAAAAGTTTATATATTTTTTGTTTGTTTGTTTGCTTGCTTCTGCATTTATATTTTATTCTAGGCCTCAGACTTCTGTCAGTGAATAATTTTATATATATATATATGTATATATGTATGTATAGATACACACACATATATATATGCACACACACACATATATATTTTAAGGTGACCTTAAATAAAGGAAAGGGAAGCCAATAGTGGCATCATGAGTGGAAACATGTTATATGCCAGGGCTCTCTGATAAAGAGCATATCTTCTTACCTGATATTCTGTGTTTGGTTAAAATAAAGTGGACACAGGATTCTTGCTTCAAAGTGGTAGACTAAATATTAGCAAATGTTAAATTATAGTTAACAAGCACAAAGGGAAATAAATTTAAGAATGCTGAGAAGGCCGGGCGTGGTGGCTCACGCCTGTAATCCCAGCACTTTGGGAGGCCAAGCTGGGTGCATCATCTGAAGTCAGGAGCTCAAGACCAACCTGGCCAACATGGTGAAACCCCGTCTCTACAAAAATACAAAAAAAAAATTAGCCAGGCATGATGGCAGGTGCCTGTAATCCCAGCTACTCAGGACACTGAGGCAGAAGAATCGCTTGAACCTGGGCGGAAGAATCACTTGAACCCGAGATCATGCCATTGCACTGCAGCCTGGGCGACAGAGCGAGACTCCGTCTCAAAAAAAAAAAAAAAAAAAAAAGATAAAAAGAATGCTGAGAACAAGACTGAGATATGGGCAGATCAAAGATTCTGGCAAATACCTGAAGACATAGAGGACACATGAGCCAGAGTAATGGAAGCCATGGCTCAGAGCCTGAAAAAGAGAAATTTGTAGCAGAAGTGATTCTCCAGCCTACCTACCAACCCATCAAAGTGAGCAAAGAGCAGATAGAAGAATATAAATAAGAAGCTAAATGGTCTTCTTTAAAAAAAAAAATTATTGTGGAAGTTTTCAAATACATACAAAAGTAGAGAGAACAAGTATAATACACCTCTAGGTATCCATCACCCAATTTTGGTAATCCTCAGTGTATGACGAGTTTTGTTTCATTTTCATCCCCGCTTGCCCCGACCCCCAAACTGGATAATTTTGAAGCAAATCTCGGACTTAGTCATTAGACGCAGCTGGATAACCTTAAGGATAAGATGAAAGCACATTTATTCCCTTTCAGCCAAAACAAAACCAAAAAAAGAAAAGAAATGTGATTATCAAAGAAAAATGGAAAACTATATAGCATTGTCATGGTCCATTCCTGATGAAAATGTTTGCACAATCTGTGGTGTTAGAAAACAGCATCAACTGATTTTCATTTTAGTTATTTATTTAACTTTCATTTTAAGTTCAGGAGTACATGTGCAGGTTTATTATATAGGTAAACTTGAGTCGTGGGGGTTTGTTGTAAAGATTATTTTGTCACCCAGGTATTAAGCCTGGTACCCATTAGTTATTTTTTCCTGAGCCTTCTCCTCCCACCCTCCATCCTCCAATAGGCCCTAGTGTGTGTTGTTCTCTTCCATGTGTCCGTGTGTTCTCACCATTTAGCTCCCGCTTATAAGTGAGAACACGTGGTATTTGGTTTTCTGTTCTTGCGTTAGTTTGCTAAGGATAATGGCCTCCAGCTCCATCCATGTCCCTGAAAAGGACAGGAGCTCATTCTTTTTCATGGCTCCATAGTATTCCATGGTGTATATGTACCACATTGTCTTTATCCAGTCAATCACTGATGGGCATTTGGGTTGATTCCATGTCTTTGCTGTTGTCAATAGTGCTACAGTGAACATACATGTGCATGTGTCTTTATAATAGAATGATTTATATTCCTTTGGGTATATACCCAGTAATGGGATTGTTGGGTTGAGTGGTAGTTCTGCATTTAGGTCTTTGAGGAATTTCCACAGTGTCTTCCACAGTGGTTGAACTAATTTACACTCCCACCAACAGTGTATAAGTGTTCCATTTTCTCCACAGTCTTGCCAGGATCTGTTATTTTTTCACTTTTTAATAGCCATTCTGACTGGTGTGAGATGGTGTCTCATTTTGGTTTTGATTGGCACTTACTCTTTTTTTGTTGTTGTTAAAACAGAGTCTTGCCCTGTTGCCCAGGCTAGAGTGCAATGGTGTGATCTTAGCTCACTGTAACCTCCACCTCCCAGGTTCAAGTGATTCTCCTGCCTCAGCCTCCTAAGTAGCTAGGATTACAGGCTCCTGCCCCCATATCTGGTTAATTTTTGTATTTTTAGTAGAGACAGGGTTTTTCACTATGTTGGCCAGGCTGGTCTCGAACTCCTGACCTCAGCTGATCTACCCACCTCAGCTTCCCAAAGTGGTGGGATTACAGGCATGAGCCACTGCACCTGGCTTGATTTGCACTTCTCTAATGATCAGTGATATTGAGCTTTTTTTTTCATATGCTTCTTGGCTGCATATATGTCTTCTTTTGAAAAGTGTCTGTTCATGTCATTTGCCCACTCTCTTTTTTATCTCATTCTGTTTGCCCAGGCTGGATTTCAGTGGCGCAGTCTCGGCTCACAGCAGCCTCAACCCTCCCAGGCTCAGGTGATTGTCCCACATCAGCTTCCCAAGTAGCTGGGATTACAGGCACATGCCACCACACTCGCTTTACCCGCTCTTTAATGGAGTTGTTTTTTTCTTGTAAATTTGTTTAAGCTCTTTATACATGCTGGATATTAGACCTTTGTCAGGTGCATAGTTTGCAAAATTTTTCTCCCATTCTGTAGGTTGTCTGTTCACTCTGTTGACAGTTTCCTTTTCTGTGCAGAAGCTCTTTAAATTAGATCCCACTTGTCAATTTTTGTTTTTGTTCCAGTTGCTTTTGGTGTCTTTGTTATGAAATCTTTGTCCCTGCCTATGTCCTGAAAGGTATTTCCTAGGTTGTCTTCCAAGGTTTTTATAGTTTTTTTTTTTTTTTTTTTTTTTACATTTAAGTCTTTAATCCATCTTGAGTTAATTTTATATATATATGGTATAAAGAAGAAGCCCAGTTTCAGTCTTCTGCATGTGATAGCCAGTTATCCCAGCACCATTTATTGATAGGGAATTCTTTCCTCATTGCTTGTTTTTGTCAGGTTTGTCGAAGATCAGACAGTTGTAGGTGTGAGGCCTTATTTCTGGGTTCTCTGTTCTGTTCCATTGGTCTGTGTGTCTTATCTTTGTACCAATACAATGCTGTTTTGGTTACTGTAGCCCTGTATTATAGTTTGAAGTCAGGTAGTATGACACCTACAGCTTTGTTCTTTTTGCTTAGTATTGCCTTGGCTATTCAGGCTCTTTTTTGGATCTATATTAATTTTAAAATAGTTTTTTGTAGTTCTGTGAAGAATGTCTTCGGTAGTTTAATAGGAATAGCATTGAATTTGTGAATTGCATTGGGCAGTACGGCCATTTTAATGATATTGATTCTTCCTATCCATGAGCATGGAATGTTTTTTCATTTTTTATCTTTTCATCTTTTATCTCTTTGAGAAGTGTTTTGTAGTTCCCCTTGTAGAGATCTTTCACCTCCCTGGTTAGCTGTATTCCTAGGTATTTTATTATTTTTGTGGCAGTTGTGAATCGAATTGCATTCCTTATTTGGCTCTTGGCTTGGCTCTCATTGGTGTATAGGAACGCTAGTGATTTTTTGCACACTGATGTATCCTGAGACTTTGCTGAAGTTGTTTCATCAGCTTAAGGACCTTTGGGGCTGAGACTATGGAGTTTTCTAGATATGGGATTATGTCTGCAAACAGAGATAGTTTGATTTCCTTTCTTCCTATTTGGATGCCCTTTCTTTCGTTCCCTTGCCTGATCACCCTGGTCAAGACTTCCAATAGGATGTTGAATAAAAGTGGTGACAGAGGGCATCCTTGTTGTGTGCTGGCTTTCAAGAGGAATGCTTCCAGCTTTTGCCCATTCAGTATGATGTTGGCTGTGGGTTTTCATATATGGCTCTTTTATTATGTTGAGGTATGTTCCTTCAATATCTAGTTTACTGAGAGTTTTTAACATGAAAGGGTACTGAATTTTATTGAAAGCCTTTTCTGCATCTATTGATATTTGTGTATATTGAACCAACCTTGCATCCTAGGGATAACATCTACTTGATTGTGGTGGATAAGCTTTTTAATATTTTGCTGGGTTTGGTTTGCCAGTATTTTGTTGAGGATTTTTGCATTCATGTTCATCAAGGATATTGGCCGGAAGTTTTCTTTTTATTGTTGTGTCTCTGCCAAGTTTTGGTATCAGGATGATGCTGGCCTCATAGAATGAGATAGGGAGGAGTCCTTCCTTAATGTTTGGAATATTTTCAGTAGGAATGGTGCCAGCTCTTTTTGTACATCTGGTAGAATTCAGCAGTGAATGTGTCTGGTCATGGGCTTTTTTTGGGTGGTAGGCTATTTATTACTGACTCAATTTCAGAGCATGTTATTGGTCTGTTCAGGGAATCAGTTTTTTCCTGGTTCAGTTTTAGGAGGGTGTATGTGACCAGAAATTTATCCATTTCTTTTAGATTTCCTAGGTTATATGCATAAAGGTGTTCATAATATTTTCTTATGATTGTTTGTGTTTCTGTGGGGTCAGTGGTAATATTCCTTGTCATTTCTGATTGTGTTTATTTGAATCTTCTCTATTAGTCTTAGCTAGCAGTCTGTTTTATTAATTTTTTCTAAAAACCAGATTCTGAGGCCGGGTGCCGTGGCTCATGCCTCTAATCCCAGCACTTTGGGAGGCCGAGGCAGGCAGATCACGAGGTCAGGAGATCGAGACCATCCTGGCTAACACAGTGAAACCCCATTTCTACTAAAAAAAAAAAAAGAAATACAAAAAATTAGCCAGGCGTGGTGGCCGGCATCTATCTGTAGTTCCAGTTACTCGGGAGGCTGAGGCAGGAGAATGGCGTGAACCCGGGAGGCGGAGCTTGCAGTGAGCCAAGATCGCGCCACCGCACTCCAGCCTGGGCGACAAAGCGAGACTCCATCTCAAAACAAAACAAAAACCAGATCCTGAATTTGTTGATCTTTTGAGTGTTTTTTTGTGTCTGAATCTCCTTCAGTTCAGCTTCCGTTTTGTTTATTTTATTTATTTATTTATTTTTTGAGAAGGAGTTTCGCTCTTGTTGTTCAGGCTGGAATGCAATGGCGCGATCTCAGCTCACCACAACGTCTGCCTCCTGGTTCAAGCAATTCTCCTGCCTCAGCCTCTCGAGTAGCTGGGATTACAGGCATGTGCCACCACCCCAGCTAATTTTGTATTTTTTTAGTAGAGACGGGGTTTCTCCACGTTGGTCAGACTGGTCTCAAACTCCCGACCTCCGGTGATCCGCCTGCCTTAGCGTCCCCACGTGCTGGGATTACAGGTGTGAGCCACCGCGCCCCCTGCAGTTTTGGTTATTTCTTGTCTTCTGCTAGCTTTGGGATTTGTTTGCTCTTGGTTGTGATGTTAGCTTGTTAACTTGAGATCTTTCTAACTTTTTGATGTGGATATTTAGTGCTATAAATTTCCCTGTCAACACTGCCTTAGCTGTGTCCCAGAGATTCTGGTACGTTGTATCTTTGTTCTCATTAGTTTAAAAAAACTTGCTTTCTGCCTTTATTTCATTATGTACTCCAGGAGCAGGTTATTGAATTTCTATGTAATTGTATGGAGTGATTTTTATAAGCAAAACACAGAGGAGTTTCTCTGTAGTTCTAGAAAAGGATGTGATGCAATAAATCTTAAAAATGGCTGACAGATATTGGGAGGTGAGGGTTGCATAGGAAAGAGATGGAGAAGTAAGGGTATGTGTGCTAATTTCTTCATTTTTAAAAAAGAAAATATAAAAGGCTGAAGTATGCTATGTAAAGGCAAAATGGACAAAATTAAAATAGGCAAGCCAGCACAGTGGCTGACACCTGTAATTTCAGTGCTTTGGGAGACCAAGGCGAGAGGATCGCTTGAGGCCAGCGGTTCAAGACCAGCCTGGGCAATGTAGTGAGACCCCATCTCCACAAAAAAACTAAAAAATAAAATCGCCCAGGCATGGTGGCATGCACCTGTAGTCCCAGCTACTTGGGAGCCTGAGGTGGGAGGATCACGTGAGCGCAGAAGTTGAGGCTGCAGTAAGCAGTGATTGTACTACTGCACTCTAGCCTGGGTGACAGAGGGAGACCCTGTCTCAAAAATAAAAATAAAAATAAAAATAAAATGGGCAACAACAGAGAAGGCAAATCAAATTCTTCATCTTTCATGGAAGAGAGTTAACAGATACTGTTTCAAGTTTTATAAATAAAAAAAACATGTTTAAGATTATTTACAGAGTTTTGGAGGTAAACAGCAAAACAACTTAAAAAAAAAGTGGCTATCTTGAACAACTGGATGGGCTGATTGAGAAAGGCCATAACAAATCATATTATAATTTTGCTTTAGTCTAATAGTCATAATTCCAGATGTTGAAAGTCACAGGTGGCTTTCATATGCATAATCGCTATGTCAAAAAATTTTAGCAGGGCCGGGTGTGGTGGCTCACGCCTGTAATCCCAGCACTTCAGGAGGCTGAGGCAGGTGGATCACTTGAGGTCAGGAGTTTGAGACCATTCTGGCCAACATGGTGAATCCCCGTCTCTAATAAAACTACAAAAATCAGCCAAGTGTGGTGGTGGCTACCTGTAATCCCAGCTATTCAGGAGGCTGAGGCACTAGAATCCTTTCAACCTGGGAGGTGGAGGTTATAGTGAGCCAAGATCGTGCTACTGCACTCCAGCCTGGGTGACAGAGCAAGACTCTGTCTTAAAAAAAAAAAAAAATTGAGGGTGTGGTGGGGCGAGGTGCTTGTAATTCCCATTACTTTTGGAGGCTGAGGTGGGAGGATTGCTTGAGCCCAGGAGTTTGAGGTCAGCAACATAGTGAGACCCCTGTCTCTACAAAAAATTAAAAATGGGCCACCAGACATAATAAAACATATAATAAAAATATTAGCTGGGCATGGTGACGCATGCCTGTAATCCCAGTTACTCGGGAGATGTAAGTGAGAGGACCACTTGAGCCCAAGAGTTTGAGGCTGCAGTGAGCTATGATTGCACTCCTGTACTCCTGCCTGGGCAACGAGCGGGACCCTGTCTCTAAAAAATAAAAATTTTAATAATAAGATAAATGGGCCAGGTGCGGTAGCTCAGGCCTGTAATCCTAGCACTTTTGGAGGCCCAGGCAGGTGGATCACCTGAGGTCAGGAGGCCTAGCCAACATGGTGAAACCCCGTCTCTACTAAAAATACAAAAATTAGCCGGGGTATGGTGGCGCATGCCTATAATTCCAATTCCAGCTGCTCGGGAGGCTGAGGCAGGAGAATTGCTTGAACCTGGGAGGCAGAGGTTGCAGTGAGCTGATCACACCACTGCACTCCAGGCTGGGTGACAAAGCCAGACTCTGTCTCAAAAAAAAAAAAAATGATAAATGGGTGGGAGCTAAACAGTGTGTCTATCTTATATTATTCTTACCAAATGGTATCCAGAGAAAAAATATAAAATTGCAGAGAACCCCTCTGCCATAATATAGTGTAACTAGAACCTATGTTGACTCACCTGATAAAACTTCTTGGGTGTCAGTTTAGTACTGAAGTCCTTTATCTTTAACTTGACGATGAAAGAACTGGTCAGTCGACTCAAAATAGGTAGGAAAACCCTTGAGGTTTCACCTGGACTAAGGAGCCAAGGGTGAGATGGTGTCTGATGTTGAAGGACATGCGGAGCCTCAAGGACGCAGCTTCTGCCACTGCTGCTGCCCGGGCAGCACTGTCTGATGACGTGACTCCTGGATCCACGGGGCGCGCATGGGTCAAGTGGCAGTAACACAGTGGTTTTTTTTGTTGTTGTTTGTTTGTTTTAACTATGTATATAGTGAATACCTGAGGCAACTTTTTTTCTGATAGAAATTGGCAGCTTTTGCTCCTTCTCCTGAATGAAGTCATGAGTTAACAAGTTTCTGTTTAGGTAAGTCCCAGGTTAGCCTTTGAAACACAATCTAATATTTCACATATTACAATAGTAGGCCTGGAAAATCCCCAGAGAGGAGTCACGTCTCTTCGGAGCCCTACGAGCCCATCTCCCCACCCCAGGTTCCGGTTGTGCATGAGAAACAGGACAGCTTGCTGCTCTTGTCTCAGAGGGGCGCAGAGCCTGCAGAGCAGAGGTAAGTGTGCTTCCTAGTGACAGCAACCATTCATGGCGTGGGTGCTCATGCTTTAACATTTCCTTCAGTTGTTGCCGTTTTTCTCAGAACTTTGGGCTTTTATGTCTGGATGGCATTCTTAGAGGATCATTTGTCTCTTTTCCTACTCATCTAATGCTAGTGTATTTTAGCAAAAAGAAAATATTTATAATATCATATTTAAATAGGTTAGAAAATATTTGTTCATTATTCTTGAAATTAAATCTTTCTAGATTTTTTTTTTAATGTTTTTGTCTAGGGGAAAGGGTCATCCATTGATTCAGCCAACATTTGAATGCTTACTGTATACCAAGCACTGTGGACTCTGAATAGATTTAATCTTACCTATTTCTAACCGTGACCCCAACCCTATTAATTATTAAATTATCCCCATTTGACTAGATGCCTTTGAGTTGGCTCCTTTCCAGTCAGTCTCCATACCTCCACCTGAGTGATTTGTCTAAAACTCATGCAGAATCCAGCACCCAGTCTTTTGCATGGCATCTGAGTTCCTGGCATGACCAGGTGTATGCTGCGCATTCAGCTTCACTTCCCTCTGCATCATCCCTACACTGGAATCTCTGTCCAAATCATGTTGCTTATTGTTCCCTGAATTCCTTTCTGTCCATAGTCGTGCAGTTTGCCTAGTGCTGAACCCTCCACTGATGCGCTGAAAGCCAGACATGTCACTTGCTCATGGTCGTACTGATACTAATGGGGAAGGGCCAGTTTTAAACGAAGGCCTTTCTAACTCCAAATTGCTAGTGCCTTTCTTACAAAGTGTTGCTATTAATTTATTGCATTTATTCTTAGGGAGCTAAACAGATATTGCTACTTTTCAATGAAATGAAGAAAATCCATTTTTGGAGAGGGAGTGATGTTCAATTTAATTATACATTTACATCTTTCCCCTACGTTTATGAGTGTTTTGAGGACAGGGACCATGTCTTATTCCTGTTCCTATCACCTTAATTGTCTTTCCTGGCATAGAGTACGTGTTCTTGTGTTTGAATGATGACTGAATCCACATGATTGGATTAGGTTTTCAATAACCTATAGTCTCTGTTCTCATCTCTGGCTCTAGCTAGATCCTTGGTGGCCTGGAGTTTTTAGGGAAACCTTGTTTTTTTTTAAATGTGTTAGTATAGGAAGCTGCCAGTAAAATATGAAACTCTTTATATTAAACTCAGCTCATTTGTTAGGTTGCTTGAAATGATTGTAACAAATAGGCAGTTTTATTCCTATACTGTTGTGTTCCAGTCCAGCTGTTGATTGCTTAGATATGAGTTCTTGCTATTTTGTAGTCAAGCGTGCTATTAGTTTTAATTTTAGTGTACTTAAAACTAATTCTAGTAAAATTGTTCCCAGTTTAGGTGGTAACCATTAATATATCAGTGTTTGTGCTGTTAAGGAGAGAGCATCATAAGCTGTTTCTGAGTTTTCCTATTAATATTCATTTACTGCTTCTTCATTCCTTCCTAAGAATTTCTGCTCTAGATTATCTCCATTCTAATTCTAATTTTATGATTTCATTTTGAGAGCTAAATCATTTTTCCTCAAATGATGTACTAAGTGGTTTATGATTACATACTGTTTCTTAGGGCTGTAACCACAAACACAGGATGAGGAGGCAGTAGTTTTCTAAGTACTCTCTGACTGTTGTTATCATTGATAGGAATGTCCCCAGGATTAGGAGTACGTGGTTGTAATATACTTAACTTTGGCCCTAACAGGAATGATGCCCGCTCACCAGGGAGTATAAGCTACTTGCCTTCATTCTTCACCAAGCTTGAAAATACATCACCCATGGTTAAATCAAAGAAGCAGGAGATTTTTCGTAAGTTGAACTCCTCTGGTGGAGGTGACTCTGATATGGGTAAGTGGGATTTCTTTCATGAACCCCAAATAAAACATGCATTAATAATGATATCTCCAGTGTTGCCTCTCCTGTAATGCTTGAGTTTGAAGGCTCTTTACAGGACATCTGTCCAACACATCTGATCCTAGAGTTCCTTCTCAAGTGTCTGCCAGCCCATGAAGAGTTCTAATTAGGAGGCAGGAGTTCGCTCCTTTCTGAAGCTGTGCCGTTTCTCTTTGAAGAAATGCTGTGTCTAGGTTACTTTTCTTTATGTAGGACTGGATTAACTCTCCATAGTTTACTTTTCTTTCTCCCCTACCCATCAGTCTTCATTTTGTCCATTTGGGCCTATCCCCACATAACATCTCCTCAGATATTTGAAGACGTGTCTTTCAGGAGTCCTCTCAATCAGTGTCCCCAGTTTCATCAGCTGTGGGTCACATGTCCTCATTCTTAGTACCCCTACCATCTCAGTTATTCTCCACCAAAAACATTTAACCTAGCCTTTCACTAGGTTTCGAGTAATACAAAATAGAGTAGTATAATATGATCTATGCTAAATTCATCATTTTTAAAGTAGCCTAAGACTATTAGCTGTTTTGTTGGCAGCCTATACACTGTTAAGTTATGAAGTGCACTGTTAAGTACTTAGTATGAACGTTGATGTCAAGGTCTTGGGCTACTTTTAATTCATGCCTTGCCCTCGCTCTACTTTTACAGTAACTAGCTCCAAGTATAGGACAAGTCCAAGTCCGTCTGTGCTTGCTCCAGTCCAGCTACTTTTTCTACCCTACCAGTGTCTTTGTGGACTTGAGTTGATTCATTCACTATTCATATGCAACTCTGATAAACTAACCGTGTAAAAATAAAACATTGGCCTGGAATCTCAACACTTTGGGAGGCCAAGGCGGGAGGATTGATTGGGCCCAGGAGTTCGAGATTAGCCTGGACAACACAGGGAGACCCCATCTCTACAAAATATAAAAAATTAGCTGGGTGCGGTGGTATACATCCCTGTAGTCCTATTTACATGGGAAGCTGAGGTGGGAGGATTGCTTGAGCCTGGGAAGTTGAGGCTACAGTGAGCTACGATCGCATCACTGCACTGCAGCCTAAGCCAGAGTGAGATGTCTCAAGAAAAAAAAAAAAATTTTTTTTAAATTGTCTGGGTGTGGTGGCTCACGCCTGTAATCCCAGCACTTTGCAAGGCCAAGACGGGTTGATCACCTGAGATCAAGAGTTTGAGGCCAGCCTGGGCAAGATGGTGAAACCCTGTCTCTACTAAAAATATAAACAGCTGGTCATGGTGGCGTGCACCTGTAATCCCAGCTACTCAGGAGGCTGAAGCATGAGAATCATTTGAACCTGGGAGGCAGAGGTTGCAGTGAGCCAAGATTGTGCCACTGCATTCCAGCCTGGGCAACAAAGTGAGTCTCTGTCTCAAAAAATAATAAATTAATAAAATAAAAATATAAAATCAGTAATAATGGTAGCAAAAGGTTATCTAGCGTACTATGTGGTAGGCTCTATTCTAAGCATGTGTAGATATAGTCTCATTTAATCCTCACAACAACCCTACATATTACAATTATCTCCATTTTGTAGATGAGGAAACAGACTCAGGTTTAAGAGTTGGCACAGGTTACATATCTAGTAAGTAATGAGGCTGCAGTTCAAACCCAGGCATTCCAACTCCAGAGTCCATGTTGCTAATGATGGACCAACTGGCTTCTAACAGTTCCATACTCATAGCATCTTAACCAGATTGTTGGTAAATATTCTAGCTAATGTTCTGTGGCAGAACCTTTTTCCTCTGGGTTGATATGCAAGTATTAATCAGAACCTCCTCGTGTTCTCTCAGCACTCACTTGTACTAACTATCCCCCCAGTCTTATCAGTCTTTTCCTCAGTCCCCTTGATAGAGAGACTTTGGGTAGACCATAGTCTGGTTTATTCTTTTTTTTTTTTTCTTAAGTTCAGCTTTGTATTGAACACGTTATAAGAAATTTAGTCAAAACAACCAAAAGCCCATGTCATCATCAGACTCCTCAGATTCTTCTTTGTTTGCTTCCACTTTCTTCTCAGCTGGAGCAGCAGCAGTGGAGTGGGCAGGATCCCACTGGTGCAGCACCAGCTGCTGGAGCAGG
Organism: Homo sapiens; assembly: GCF_000001405.40. Lineage (NCBI taxonomy): Eukaryota > Metazoa > Chordata > Mammalia > Primates > Hominidae > Homo > Homo sapiens. Next base: position 16,044,821 of record NC_000017.11, on the reverse strand, counting down.
TCCACCAGCCCCTACATTGTAGATGAGGCTCCCAATGTTGACATTGGCCAGGGCCATTGCAAACAAGCTGGACCAAAAAGGTTCAACATTTACACCAGCTGCTTTAACGAGGGCATTGATCTTATCCTCCGTGATGGTCACCTCATTGTCATGCAGAGTGAGGGCTGAGTAGATGCAGGCGAGCTCGGAGACAGAGGACATGGTATGGGCAAGTGTGGGGCTGGCGCTGCCGGACGTGGTGGTAGTTGCCGGATGAAGTGAGGGCCTCATCCCAACGTGGCCTTAGCTTCCTTGGAAGGACCAAGCACTGTGGTGGCAGCTGAGGAAAGGACGATCTGCTTTATTTCTGTGATCTACCATCTACTAGTCTCCTGATCCTGTCAAAAGAAAGGAAAGTGGGGGCCTTGCACTGTGAACTGCCTGGTGGATGTTTGTTTAGATCTGTGTCACTCTTGTGATTAATAAATGTTGAACACCAAGGAAAAAAGGATGAGCCAGTGTCACCACTGTTTCTGAACTTGTCCTCGCTCTTAATTACTAGGTTCTGTTTAGGTGGCAACAAAATAAAAGACAAATATTTTAGAATGCTGACCAGAATTGTTATCAGGCTTACAGATAGCCTTTCTTTCTTTCTTTTTTTTTTTTTTTTTTTTGAGATGGAGTCTTACTCTGTGGCCCAGGCTGGAGTGCAGTGGCACGATCTCGGCTCACCGCAACCTCCGCCTCCCGGGTTCAAGTGTTTCTCCTGGGCCAGCCTCCCGAGTAGCTGGGATTACAGGCACCAGCCACCATATCCGGCTAATTTTGTATTTTTAGTACAGACGGGGTTTATCCATGTTGGCCAGGCTGGTCTCGAACTCCTGACCTCAGGTGATCCACCCACCTCAGCATCCCAAAGTGTTGGGATTACAGGCGTGAACCACTGTATCCGGCCACCTTTTCAAAAAATATTGTTATTACTATTTTCTGTCTCCAGTCTTCAACAGTTTAATCTATTATTTACAGCTCCTCAAGTGTCACCAACAAAAATATACTCTTGTTTTCAATTTCTCTTGGCACTCAGAGATGAATCTGTGTGAGCACGGAGAGCTAGAGATCTCAGAGCAGCCAGGAACTGAGATGCAAATCATTTCACCTTTGTGTGGTCTGCTCATTCTGTAGTCTTTGTCTTACCCTTAAAGTGGGAAACTCTTTGACAGGGAAATGCCATGTTTGAACTGAAGAAGCCTACTTTATAGTTTTTTCTCTCTTGCCTAATGTTTTCAGTAGCGTACTATGTTGGGTGTTTTAGTATGCCACATGGTCTCTATTCTCTGAAGCTGTATGATGAAACAAGTACCTAACTTTAACAGGAGATAATTAATGTCTTAAGGGAAGTACTAACAGAATTGCTTTAGAGTCTGGGATTTTTTTTTTATTGCAAGAACTATTTTTCATGGTGGAAAGGAGAATTTATATTAAAGAACCAGTGGGCTCCTGGGCCCACCATGGCACATTTAGCCTTCACTGGGAAGTAGAACTAAATGAAAGCCATCAGCAGCCAACACAGCTTCACTTCAGCTCATTGTATCTGAATCCAGTGTTCCCAAGGACATCAGTGACTTTATTTTTTTGAAAACTGTAATGCTTTAAAACTTACTTTATTGGATCTCTTTGCAGCTTTTGACACAGTGAACCACTTTCCTTTCCTGAAATGCTTTCCTCTCTTGGCTTTCTGATGCCATGTTCTCCTGTTTCTTCTCTACTTCTCTGGCCACTTCTGTCTCCTTAGAAGCTCAGTCTTGCTTTGCCTGGCCCTTGATTGTTAGTTTTCCCCAGGGCTCACTTCTTAGCCCCTTTCTCCTCATGTCTTATAATTTGAGTCATCTCATCTACTCTGGGGAGTTGAATGGTCGCTTGTATGCTGAAAACTCCCAAATTTGTATCTGTAGCCCAGCTTTTCCTACTAAGCTCTACTTACATATCTTTGCAGACCTCATTACTTCTTGACTAACTTACTGGCTCCTTAAATATCTAAAATTGAATCCATGTTCTACCTCCCCATACAAAAAGTTCCTCCTCCTTCCCTACCACAGTTAACAGTTACCATTACTCTGGCCATTACTATCCTGGTCTCTCTGCCTCCTGATGGGAGTCAGCTCCTCCTGTCAAGTTGGCCTCCACAGTGGCTTTCACATGTCTACCTTCCATTCTGCTAATTTCTGAGCAGTTACCACATTCTTGCTCAACAGTAGGTACCAGTCACCTGGATTGCTTATTAAATAGTTGAATTATGGAGCCCCAGGAATGTAGAAAATTTACTAAGCTACCCAGGTGATTCTAATTTGTATGGCCTTAGCAAGTACCACACTGCACTGTAAGCTCCATTAGCAAAGGAAGGGTTATCCTGCAAGTGCAGTATCTAAGGATTATCATTGGTTAACTTATAGGAAATTGTCTTCATCTGACCATTTTTGATCAATAAGGTAATCTTAACAATTCAGTCAAATAACTGCTCAATTAAATATCTATCAAATGAATGACTCCTGTTCCACACACTTCATGATAACAGGGCTCTGCTGTTTCAGGCTCAATTTATTTACCTTGTCACCTGGCCCATAAGTAAGAAGACTGTCATCCATGGCCATTGTTTTCTAGTTCTTCTGAGGACTTTTCTCCTCTGTCAGTTTAAAGCCTCCCTAATCAACCAAGTTTGTTTCTAGGCACATGCACTCTTCCCTCCTCTCATGTGCTCAGCCCTTGGGTAAGAGTCCATCCTTCTGTGGTCTCATTAGAAATTTCACATTCTGGCCGGGCACGGTGGCTCACACCTGTAATCCCAGCACTTTGGGAGGCCGAGGCGGGCATATCGAGGTCAGGAGATCAAGACCATCCTGGCTAACACGGTGAAATCCCATCTCTACTAAAAATGTAAAAAATTAGCCAGGCATAGTGGCGGGCGCCTGTAGTCCCAGCCACTCGGGGGGCTGAGGCAGGAGAGTGGCGTGAACCTGGGAGGCAGAGCTTGCAGTGAGCCAAGATCGCACCGCTGCACTCCAGCCTGGGCGGCAGAGTGAGACTCCGTCTTAAAAATAAATTAATTAATAAATTAATTAATTTCACATTCTGGCTGAGCACAGTGGCCCATGCCTGTAATCCCAGCACTTTAGGAGGCTGAGGTGGGTAGATCACCTGAGGTCAGGAGTTCGAGACCAGCCTGGCCAAAATGGTGAAACTCCGTCTCTACTAAAAATACAAAAATTAGCTGGGCATGGTGGCGGGGGGCCTATAATCCCAGCTGCTCGGGAGGCTGAGGCAGGAGAACTGCTTGAACCCAGGAGGCAGAGGTTGCAGTGAGCCTAGATCACGCCATTGCACTCCAGCCTGGGTGACAAGAATAAAACACCACCATCTCAAAGGAAAAAAAAAAAAAAAAAAGAACTTTCACATTCTTTGGGACACATCATTTGGCTGCCCACTTGCTTTCTGCATTCTTTTTTTCTCTTTAAAATTCTTAGCGTCAAGTTGGGAATGACGGAAACACCAATTTATGTCCCAAATTCTTCCCCTTTCTGGCACACTGCTTTATTATAGGCGGTTCCCAGGTCTTATGCTGTTATCATTCAAACTGCAGATTACAAGTTGCACAGTCAGCAGGAATGAAAAGGATCAACAGAGTCTTTTGTTTTTTCCAGCAAATATCCTGAGTTTCCAGTTAGCCATGCAGGGAAACACAGTCATTTTCATAGTATTCACTGTGGTGGCTTTCCTCTGGATCACATCCCAGGCTGCCTCAAACCTGTTGGTATTTGTGGCGGTCATCCCAGAGTCCAAGGTTTCTTCTTCGTCAGAAAGCCTTGGTTCCTGTTCTGAGAACAGCATTTTCCTATTTGTTTTTCTCCAGCAGTGCAAAGTTCCTTTCCCTTTTCTGGGTTACACTGCTTCTTTTTTTATTTATTTATTTATTTTTGGTAAACAGATGGGAGAGTCTCACTGTGTTGCCCAGGCTGGCCTCAAATTCCTATGCTCAAGCAGTCCTACCGCCTCAGCCTGCTGAGTAGCTGGGGGACTAGGAGTGCACCACTGCACACAGCTTATTGCTCTTCTTTTGATGTTCCTACCTTACCTATTTCCTGATTTCCCTTTAAAAATAGCCTGGGCAACAGAGTGAGACCCTGTCTCAAAAAAAAAAAATACTTCCATTTTATCTTCACTTAATGGGTGAGAAATAAAGGTTGAGATCATGAAAAATAAAAAGATTAATTTTATTATAGGAATTTTTTGAGACTTTAGTTTGGTATATATGATTATCACATCTTAATTAACTTGAATGTTTGCTTAAATATAGCAGCTGCTCAGCCAGGAACTGAGATCTTTAATCTGCCAGCAGTTACTACGTCAGGTAAGATTGAAAAGACATTATTTACCAATACAAAATTGGCACAGCAGTAGTCAGTCCAACAAATATGTACTGAGTACCAACTGTATACCAGGGGAGTGACTGCTCTAATATGGAAAAATAAATAAATAATTTAGTGAAGGAAGGTTTACCCAGTAGCACAGAAAGGAACTGAGATCCAGTAAATACCTATTGAAAAGATAAATGAACAAAAAGAATGAAACTATTAAAGAACACTGTCAAAACTAGGGAACTGAGAAAATTGTTGAGTAACTTTAATAGAAGTGTGGGTGACTGATTCACTTGGGAAACAAATTTCCTTAAGGAGTTATCTGTGGATTAAGATGGTCTCTGGGCTGGGTGCGGTGGCTCACGCCTGTAATCCCAGCACTTTGGGAGGCCAAGGCGGGCGGATCACCTGAGGTTCGGAATTCGAGATCAGCCTGACCAATATGGTGAAACCCCATCTCCTAAAAATACAAAAAATTAGCCTGGTGTGGTGGTGGGTGCCTGTAGTCCCAGCTACTTGGGAGACTGAGGTAGGAGAATCCCTTGAATCTGGGAGGCGGAGGTTGCAGTGAGCCAAGATCGCGCCACTGCACTCCAGCCTGGGTGCGACAGAGAGAGACTCTGTCTCCAAAAAAAAAGGTCTCTGTGTGGTGGGTCCTGGTATTGTTCTAGGTCACTTGCCAAGTGCTGTGTGTATTCAGTGGGCTGATGGGGCAATGCATGTTTGTTTCCTGATTGGCCTTTCAGAAATAAGTGGAAATGTTTTTGATTCTCTTTCAGGCTCAGTTAGCTCTAGAGGCCATTCTTTTGCTGATCCTGCCAGTAATCTTGGGCTGGAAGACATTATCAGGAAGGCTCTCATGGGAAGCTTTGATGACAAAGTTGAGGATCATGGAGTTGTCATGTCCCAGCCTATGGGAGTAGTGCCTGGTACTGCCAACACCTCAGTTGTGACCAGTGGTGAGACACGAAGAGAGGAAGGGGACCCATCACCTCATTCAGGTACAGCTTTCATTTTAGTGCTTTTCTGCTGCTTTTCCCCAAAAAAGCCAGTTTATTTCCCAAATTCTGATGCATCACTAAGACATTTCATTTATGTCTTTATGTGCTCAGAGTCACCTCTTAGGGTTTCCGTTACTTAAAAAAGGTTTTTGAAAACCTACCCAGACATTATAATATGAACAGAAATAAAATGGAAGAAAATTTTTACCCAAAGTGTCACCCTCCTGGGATGTCCATTTTTTATTTGTTTGCACCTAGTCCTCATCTATACATACTGCATTGTAATTGTAACACAAATATAATGTTTTTGAATAAAAGTGATTTAACTGTAAAAATTAGGCTCAGTAGAAAAGAAACATAAGCCAGCCGGGTGCGGTGGTTCACGCCTGTAATCCCAGCACTTTGGGGGGCGGAGGCGGGCGGATCACAAGGTCAAGAGATCGAGACCATCCTGGCCAACATGGTGAAACCCCATCTCTACTAAAAATACAAAAATTAGCTGGGCATGATGGCGTGTGCCTGTAATCCCAGGTACTCAGGAGGCTGAGGCAGGAGAATTGCTTGAACCCGAGAGGCGGAGGTTGCTGTGAGCTGAGATCACACCACTGCACTCCAGCCTGGAAACAGAGTGAGACTCCGTCTCAAAATACATACATACACAGACACACACAATAAAATAAAATAATCGTAAGCCATAAAAAAAGAGTAGGAAAAAAGGTGTAATCATAGCACTTTGGGAGGGTAAGTTGGGTGGATCACTTGAGCTCAGGAGTTTGAGACCAGCCTGGGCAACATGATGAAAACCCCGTCTCTACAAAAATTACAAAAATTAGCTGGGTGTGGTGGCTCACGCTGTAGTCCCAGTTACTTGTGGGGGCCGAGGTGGGAAGATCACTTGAGCCCAGGAGGCAGAGGTTGCAGTGAGCTGCAATTGCACCACTGCACTCCAGCCCAGGTGACAAAGTGAGACCCTGTCTCAAAAAAGGAAAAAAAAAAAGAGTAGGAAAAAGGGAAGAAAAAGAAACAGTTCTTCAGATCACATCATCCGGAATGCTAATGCTTGTATCTGATAAGCATTGTTTCAGACATGTCTCTGGATAGCCAGATAAGAGTTGCTAGAATGAGATTTTATACATTCTGTTAAAAACAAGCACACAAAAAAACCATAATAATCCTAAGCTTTAATCTTACAACCTTTTTCTTAATATTTTGAGAATATCTCTTGTGCTTTTCAAAATTACCTGAAGTTCAGCAGTATTTCTGTTTTAGTTTAGATTTATTTTCCTGTTATCTTCAAGCAAAAGATCTATCTCACTATGGTTAAGAAAAAGATTAAAGAGATTAGAGGTCTTAAAAAAAAAACTATACATGTTAACTTTAAGACCTTCCCCTTTCTGTTCTTACCTTCCAATTTTTATTGGCTTTAAGTGTGTGTGTTTTAAGGTTATAAGACTGGTGACTTAGTCAATTACAATTGTACTGGTTGTATAGGAATTTGGGGCAGTGTGAAATTGTTTTGCTGGGGCTGAGGAAAAAATTTGCTGATGACCTGGGCTCTGATCTCTTCTGAGCTCTTTTTGATGTTTTCTTTTAGAGCACAGTCAGAGGTGTCTCACTTCTGTGAAATTCTGCTGAGTTCATCAGCTACACAGTCTGGAAAAATCAAAAGGGCTACCAAAACTTGCTGAGCCTCTGCTCAAGTCCTGTAGTAGCATGAAGAAGCTTTGTTCTGCAGTTTTTCCTTTACATATTATTTCTTTGTGTGGTGTATTAATTCCAGTTGGGAAAGGGGGGTTGGTCATTAGTGAAGTATGATTTTTGTCACCCTGCCTTCTTTCTTTAGTAGTTTCTGTACTCTGAGGCCAGTAAAGAAGGCTTGATGTCCCAGAAATTTCAGTTCCTTAATTACCACATTTTAATGGCAGGAGGACGAACCTTGTTTTTTGTTTTGATTGTTACAAGTGAAATCCTGGCTTTCTTTTAAATGCAAGCATACCTCGTTTTATTGTGCTTTTTTTTTTAACTGAAGGTTTATGGCAACCCTGTGTCAAGCAAGTCTATCAGCATTATTTTTCTAATAGCATGGGCTCTCCTTTGTGTCTGTGTCATATTTTGGTAATTCTCACAATATTTCAAACTTGTTCATGATTATTATCTCTGTGATGGTGATCAGTGACCTTTGATATTACTATTGTAATTGTTTGGGGGCACCATGAGGAGCACCTGTATAAGATGGCAAACAACCCATAAAGGTGGTGTGTGTCCTGACTCCTCCACTGACTGGTTGTTCCCTGTCTCTCTCCTCCTCTGGCTCCCTTATTCCCTGACACACAACAATATTCAAATTCGGCCAATTAACCCTGCAATGGCTTCTAAGTGTTCAAGTGAAAAGAAGAATCACTAAGTCTGTCACTTGAAATGAAAAGTTAGAAATGATTAAGCTTAGTGAGAAAGGCATGTTGAAAGCCAAGACAGGCTGAAAGCTAGACCTCATGTGCCAAACAGTTAGCCAAATTGTGAATGCAAAGGAAAAGTTTTTGAAGGAAATTGAAAGTGCTATTCCAGTGAACACACAAATGGTAATAAAGCAAAACAGTGTTTCGTGACACACAGAAGATTTTAGTGGTCTGGATAGAAGACCAAACCAGCCACAACATTCCCTTAAGCCAAAACCTAATCCTAATCCAAGCCCTAACTCTTCAATTCTCTGAAGGCTCAGAGAGGCGAGGAAGCCACAGATGAGAAGGCTGAAGCTAGCAGAGGCCATTCAGAGGTTGAAGAAGCCGTCTCTGTAACATAAAAGTGCAAGGTGAGGGAGAAAGTGCTGATGAAGATGTTGCAGCAAGTTACTCAGAAGACCTAGCTAAGATCTTTGATAAAGGTGACTGCATTAAACAACAGATCTTCCATGTAGACAAAACAGCCTTCTACTGGAAGAGTCCAAAACTTCAAAAGACAGGCTGACTCTCTTGTTAGGGGCTAATGCAGGTGGTGACTTTTAAGTTGAAGCCAGTGCTCCTTTACCATTCTGAAAATCCTAGGCCACTTAAGAATTATGCTTGGTCTACTCGCCTGTGCTCTAGAAATGGAACAAAGCCTAGATGACAGCATGTGTTTACAGAATGGCTTGCTGAATATTTTAAGCCCACTGTTCAGACCTACTGCTTAGAAAAAATAATTTTCAATACTGCTCATTAACAATCCACTTAGTCACCCAAGAGCTCTGATGGAAAGGTTCAAGGAGATGAATGTTGTTTTCATGCCTGCTAACACAACATCCATTCTGAAGCCCATGGATCAAGGAATAATTTCTACTTTCAAGTCTTATTATTTAAGAAATACATTTCATAAGGCAATAGCTGCCATAGTGATTCCTCTGACGGATCTGAGCAAAGTAAACTGAAAACCTTCTGAAAAGGATTCACCATTTTAGATGCTATTAACGACATTTGTAATTCATGGGAGGAGGTAAGAATATCAACATTAACAGGAGTTTGGAAAAAGATGATTCCAGCTCCCATGGATAACTTGGGAGGGGATCAAGACGTCAGTGGAGGGAGTCACTGCAGGTGTAGGAGAAATAGCAAGAGAGGCCGGGTATGATGACTCATGCCTGTAATCCCAGCACTTTGGGTGGCTGAGGCAGTAGAATCACTTGAACCCAGGAGTTTGAGACCAACCTGGGCAACATGGTGAGACCCCATCTCTACAAAAATTTTAAAAAGTAGCCGGGTGTGGTGGTGTGTACCTGTGGTCCCAGCTACTTGGGTCTGAGGTGGGAGGATTGCTTGAGCCCAAGAAGTTGAGGCTTTAGTGAGCTGGTAAGCCGTGATTGTGCCACTGCAGTGCAGCCTGGGCAGCAGAGGTGAGACCCTGCCTTAAAAAAAAAAAAAAAAAAAAAAGAACAAGAGAACTAGTAGTGGAGCCTGAAGATGTAACTGAATTGCTGCAATCTCATGATCAAACTTGAAATGGATGAGGAGTTGCTTCTTAGGGATGAGCAAAGAAAGTGGTTTCTTGAGATTGAATCTGCCCCTGAAGATGCTGTGAACATGGCTGAAATGACAACAAAGGATTTAGAATACTACATTACATAAACCCAGTTAATAAAGAAGGGTTTGAGGGATCAACTCCAATTTTGAAAGTTCTACTGTGGCTAAAATGCTATCATTGCATGCTACAAATAAGTCTTTCATGAAAGGAAAAGAAATTGCCACAGCCATCCCAGCCTTTGGCAACCGCCATGCAGATTAGTCAGCAGCCATCAACATGGAGGCAAGACCATCCACCAGCAAAATAATTGTGACTTACTAAACCCTCAGTATCTCTGAGGTATGCCTGTAGTATTTTATTTCATTGAGTACCAGGATCTGGATTCTTCATGTTACCATTCTGCTTTTTTTTCATTTAGCAATATATAATCATTAGCATTTTGGTAATTTTTGAGAACTTAATATATTAATACTTTAACTTGAATTTCACTTTCAGGAGGAGTTTGCAAACCAAAGCTGATCAGCAAGTCAAACAGCAGGAAATCTAAGTCTCCTATACCTGGGCAAGGCTACTTAGGAACGGAACGGCCCTCTTCAGTCTCCTCTGTACATTCAGAAGGGGATTACCATAGGCAGACGCCAGGGTGGGCCTGGGAAGACAGGCCCTCTTCAACAGGTAAGGATTCTGCTTTAACTTAGAAAATGAGACAGAGCAATAATATCAATGTCTTGGTTATTAGTTCTTCAAAATTCAGCAACTCTTCTAATTTGGAAACCTATATTCCCATTTCTGTATCATTAATATGTTCCACTTTCCCGAATAGAAGTATTTTTTTGAGGGGTCTTGTTCTGTCACCCAGGCTGGAATGCAATGGCATGATCATGGCTCACTGCAGCCTCGACCTCTGAGGCTCAGGTGATCCTCTCACCTGAGCGACCCAAGTAGCTGGGACTACAGGCGTGCACGACCATGCCTGGCTAATTTTTTTCATTTTCATTTTAATTTTTATTTTTTGTAGGGACAAGGTCTCACTACGTTGCCCAGGCTGGTCTCGAACTCCTGAACTCATTCCTCCTGCCTTGGCCTCACAAAGTGTTAGTATTACAGGAGTCAACCAATGCACACACCCAGAATAGAAACTGAATGCACATATAACCTGAAACATTTTTAGAATGCAAAGCCTGATTACCATAAACAAAGGAAGAGCTATGAAAAAATAATCTCAACCATTCTCCTCACTTCTGTATTACACTGGTAGCGAACATTGACTATTTGCAAAGCAAATAAGGTGGTTTTAGTTCTTTTGAGAACTGTACCTGAATGTACCCATGCCACTTCTAAGAGTACTTCACCTTTCATATTGGTATTCTTAGAAAAAGTTCTTAGGGAAATACTAAGAAATCAAAATTAGAAATGAGAAGACTAGTTTAAAAAGCCATCATCTAGCTGGGCGCGGTGGCTCATGCCTGTTATCCCAGCATTTTGGGAGGCTGAGGCGGGCAGATCACTTGAGGTCAGAGGTGGGAGAATCACTTGAACCTGGGAGGCGGAAATTGCAGTGAGCTGAGATTGCGCCACTGCACTCCAGCCTGGGCAACAAAAAGAGACTCCATCTTAACAAAAACAAAAAAAGCCATCATCTGTCTGTACGTTCACTACATTTACACAAACTGATGAAAAACAATACTCCAGGATACTTATTATTTTCTATTTTGTGCCTATTTGTAAACTTAATGTATGTAATAACTATGATCACAGTAGCTTTAAAAAGCAACAGACTTTTAAAACTGGGATATTACGAATTTTAGAGTTTCAGAGAATTATAAGCCATCTTTTCCTTAGGATTAAATACAAATATGTCACTGAAAAAAATCTGAAATGTGCCCTTCCCTGTAAGATATATGTAAATTATATCAGGCTTTTGCATTATAAAACTCATGTCACATGCAAAGTGGTTGTTTTGAGTTTGAAAGCTTACAGCCCAGACCAGTGGTTGCTGCTTCTCAGATCTCTTAGGGAAGAATTAATTAGGCCATACATGAGATTTATTATTTGATTAAATGGTTATGTTTTATGTTTTTGGGTTTTTTTTTTTTTTTTTTTGGAGACGGAGTTTCGTTCTTGTTGCCCAGGCTGGAGTGCAATGGTGCTATCTTGGCTCACAGCAACCTCCGCCTCCTGGGTTCAGGCGATTCTCCTGCCTCAGCCTCCCGACTAGCTGGGATTACAGGCATGCACCACCACACCCGGCTAATTTTGTAAGATGGGGTTTCTCCATGTTGGTCAGGCTGGTCTTGAACTCCCGACCTCAGGTGATCTGCCCACCTTGGCCTCCCAAAGTGCTGGGATTACAGGCGTGAGCCACTGCGCCCAGCCTGTTTTTGCGTTTTCTTAAGCTGTAGGAGGCTTTCTGGGGACAGTTAAACATCTAGAAACTGATGAAGGGTAGCAGTGTTCATTAATTACCTCATTTCTCAATCTTGTAGACTTTAAAATCTGCCCAGTGAGATTCAGCAGATGACTTGCATCCTGCTGCCCCTCAGTCTGCAGACGTTCCTGGGTACTTGTCCATTGTCGTCTGAGAACTATACTCTTGCATTTCTCTTGAAGAGTTAAGAAAGCTCTTGCTATAACCTGACTCTGTGATTCTCCATGGAAACATCTGATATAGACTTAACTAAAAATCTAGCCTGGGCTTTCTCTTCTGGGCTCAGCAGCCCTCACTCATATGCTACTCATGTTACTCTTCTTTTTTGGACCCGCACTGACTGCTATATATCATTGGCTAGGATTTAAGTGGTGAGACTTTGGCCATTCCGTGTTGTATTCATTTTGCTTTCATGGTGTCACATGACCATTTTACAATAATCCTATTCTACTCCATCCTACAAAAGTTGGATTGGATGAAATACCAGTTATGTTCATGACAATGAAAACCTAATTTTTCTTTTGTCAGGCTCAACTCAGTTTCCTTATAACCCTCTGACTATGCGGATGCTCAGCAGTACTCCACCAACACCGATTGCATGTGCTCCCTCTGCGGTGAACCAAGCAGCTCCTCACCAACAGAACAGGATCTGGGAGCGAGAGCCTGCCCCACTGCTCTCAGCACAGTACGAGACCCTGTCGGATAGTGATGACTGAACTGCACAAAGTGAGGGGAACAGGGTGCAGGAGAGGGATCTCTAGTTTTTGTGGTTTAATTTTTAGTAGCAGGTCAAAAACCTGCCCTCCTGTGACTTATTCCCTGAGACTTTTCAGGAGAGCCAGCCCACAGATGATGAAGAAATGATGGAAGTTCATTTGGAGAGTCAAATGGGAAAAAAACAAACAAAAAACTGCCTTTGATACAGGCAATTCAGTGGACTATAATAATAGTGGAGGGTTGAGATGTAGAGTTTTTAAAAAGTGAACAGTTGCTGTTCTTACATCTGTAAAGAAAACCATAATGTCTTTAAATCACTCTTCTGTAAATAGATGACCTTTTTGCAGTGTATATCCCCTTGCTGTAGTATCTGGTGTACTTATGTTCAAATCAGCGCATCAACTTTGGGGGTGATTTTTAAAAATCTTTTTGTCTATCTATCTTTTTAACCCTAGCCTTCTAAACAACCTCATACAGCCCAGTTACATAATGTTGGCTGTCACGGGCATTGTACTTTTATCTGATATTGTTTCCTCTAAATTCAGCTTTCCAGTGATGTTTAAAATCTTGTGAAAATGTTTAGATTTTTAACACAGACCCTGTCATAAAATCTGTACATTAGGGTCAAAAGGTAAAAGTAACAAATTCTGCCATATTGTAAATTTCCAGTGCAGGCTTTAATTTTTTTTTTTCATTAGTAGCACTGAAAAAATATTACTGCATGGGTATGTTCTAGTTCAGTTTATAAAGTTTTAAAGGCTTATTTGAGGCATACCTCACTGTTACGCACACTGGTAATTTAACCATGCCCCTAAGTATTCCTTTTCTCCTGCATTTGATGCAGCCCAACAAAGCTTTTGTTTTGAAATAAATTTGACTACCCTGTCCATAGCTACAGTAGATTATTTGTGGTTTAAGGCTCCTGGTGTCTCAGGTTCCAAAGGAAAAGCTTACATATTTTTCCCTTAGTTTGAATATATGATTGGTTGGGTTAAAAGATAATGATCTGTGTAGTATTTAGATAAGCTTTATGCTGCATCCTGAAAAACTCATGGTGAACACAGTCCTTTTTCCCCATCACTATGGACCAGCATTTACTCTCACTTTGCTCCCTTGGGACAAGAGTTTACTGTTAAATGTTTTCATTTCACAGAGTCTCAAGGTGCAAATAATTTAAAAGACTGAATTCTAAACTAATTATGGTACTAGAGGGCCAGTTTTATCTTTCATTAAGAATTGCTTGCTGAATTTTAAAGTTTTTTTCATACAATTTATCATAGCATTTAAGTATCTTTCTATAACATAGATACTAACAGTTTTGGGAGAATGCCACTGGTAACTGGAAAGGGGAGAAACAGATCTCTCAGGATGATAAAAATTAGCACTTTACAGACTTTCAAGTAGACCTAAACTTTTAAACAAAAGTACTCAAGGCTTTTAAGGAAGCAGCTCTGTGATTAGCTACTGACCAAGACCCTCCTATCACTGGTGTCTAATCCCTATGTTACAGATGAAGACACAGGTTTAGTACTTTGCCCATATAGTTAAATTAGTGACAGAGATAGGCCATAAGCCCACATTTGTCTTCAGTCAAAGCTTTCACTCCTGTCCCTGTTCCACTCCTGTATACCTGAGGTCCCCAACATAAACTTTAGATCAGGCTTAGTGGTCAGCATTCCTAGTACTTGGAAAGTTGGTATTTTTTACAACAGATATATGTAAACATATAAAAATTTCAAAATGAATGAAAAACAGTGACTAAATGTTCCACTTCACAGTTTTCTGCTGAATTTTTTTTTTTCAGGTACTGGTAATATTTTAGAGTTTGTTAATAATTTATATTGCCAACCTACCATAAAAGAGATTATGATGGTATTTTTCTATGACCCTGAGGGTCTTAAGCTATTCTGAGTCAGAATACAGTTGACCCTTGAACAACACGGGTTTGAACTGTGTGGGTCCACTTATACATGGATTTTCTTCCACCTCTGCCACCCAAGATAGCAAGACCAACCCCTTCTCATCCTCAGCCTATTCAACATGAAGATGACAAGGATGAAGACCTTCATGATGATCCACTTCCACTTAATGAATAGTAAATATATTTTCTCTTCCTTATAATCTTAACAAACATTTTCTCTTCTCTAGCTTACTTTATTGTAAGAATACAGTATATAATACATATACAAAATATGTGTCAATCGACTATGTTATCCGTAAGACTTCTGGTCAGCAGTAGGCCATGAGTAGTTAAGTTTTGGAGGAGTCAAAGTTAGATGTGGATTTTTGACTACTTAGGGGGTCTATGCCCCTAACTCCTGCATTATTTGAAGGTCAACCGTATAGTTTCTGAGAACATGTCAGATCAGAGCCTAACTTCTTACTCTTGCAGTTCTACCTGAGGACCCGAAGGTGAGGTGCTGTGAACCACTCCCTCCATCCTCATCATAATGCATGTGCGTATTACTTTATTTACCATCACCTGGAGAAGAAATCTCAGAATGAGAGTTAAAATCCAATAATAGTTCTTGGTTCAAAATAAATGAAAGGACAGAATTCTCACATGGTTTACCTATGGAGGTTCACCTTATCATGATTTAAGTGGTAAGCACAGAGCAGCACTGACAACTTACTGTGGTTCACTGCAAACCAAAACATGATATTCTTTGTAGACTTAGATTTCAGTGTTCTGACACTATATCCTTACACGTGATTTTTTTAGCACCCAGAACTAAATTAAGGTCTTCCTAATACTCTTCATAAAAGTATTCTGACAGCCAGTTTTCCACTGCATGTTTATGACTGCAAATTTCATAATGCTTTTAATTTTGGTACACTGAGTGATTCTATTTTAAAAATATTTATGCCCAGAAAACTCCAGTGACCATTGGACAGTTAAAAAATTTTAATGACACGATTTTAACCAATTCACTTTTGAATTTAGACCAATCAGTAAAGGAGATCAGTCCTCCTTTTGCTTCAGTACCTTATTTTACAACAGTGTAAATGAACTGTAATGAAAACACCCACATGAAGAGACTGTCCTGAAAACTCCTAGTGTTTCCAACAACGAGACCATGAGCTGAGTCACTGTGGATGATTTAAAATTAATAAATAAATAAAACTTGGAATGAAAAACCTTTCAGTAACCCCTGCAGTTGTGAAAAGGTAAAAACATTCTCAATGCAAAAGGTGAGTGGTTGACATTAATTTTTTTAAGAAATCACCATACGTTAATACTGGTTTCTACTGAAACAGTCTGATTTATATTGTATCTTATCTCTCTGAGCTAGACTTGGTAAACGGCATTAGCTGCATGGTAAATAATATGAGATTAGACAGAAAATAGGAAGAAATTTACATCTGCAACATACAAAACTCTAGTTTTAGTCTAATCCCTGAGGATTTGGACCTCAAGGTTTCTGGTGTTTTTATTTTCTTCAGAAAGTTTTTTTTTTTTTTTTTTTTTTTTTTTTGAGAAATGCAAAGATTACTGGGATACATACAATATTGTTGTGTAGTCTCATTTATTATGAAGATTCTTCCAGTATGTACATACGAACCAAAAGTATCAGTTTATCAGTCCCACTCACATCCCACCCCCACAGGCATACCAACAGGGTCAATCTTCCTTCATGGTACCTAGAAAAACTGTCTTTTTCCTTAGGTAAATGGCTAAAAATGTATTCATGACTGCTGCAGTAAGAGCATCCACCTATGTATCTTTACATACTTTGAGACAGTGTGATAAAGCTCTTTCAGCACAGCAGTCTATTCATTCAAAGTCATCTAACCAAATACCTTCCCCCACAGCTAAGAAAGAATCCCAGTGTTTCCCTAGTTTAGAGATGAAGATACTGAAATTGCAAAAGCAAAAAGGCTAGGACTAAGATCCAGGTCAGTAGTTCAGCTATACCAGCAGTACACATTAGAATTACGAAGAGTTTTAAAATATACCTGTAGGGGCCTATTCTGACTCAGAACAGCCTGGGCTGTGTGTCCTTAAAGAGTACTTGAGATGACTCAGTTGTGTGACTAAGGCTGCAAAGGAAGTAGAGTGTTCAGATAACACAGACAAAAGGTTACATCATTCTTAGTTTTTAGTTTTATATAAACACCCCCATTTTTAGTTTTATATAACCAGATAAATATGGTTCACTTTTATTTAAATTCAAATGGGTGCTATACTGTCACGTGCCTAATCCCCACTTTACAACTTCATGCTGGATGCTGGTAGCAAACTAAGATATTTTTCTCTTTTATGTATTAAATTCCACTTGTGCTTCATGAAACAGACTATAAGAACAACAATTCACCATAATCCCCCTTTGCCATGAGGAAGGTAATTCTGGTCAGTTTGCCAGGTATTGATAAAGTAAAGTAAGAGAAGACAGGGCAGCAAATCAGCAGACCAAAAACTTATGGTAGAAATGCCAGGCTGAATCACCACACCCACAGCGCACAGGAACACCAGCCCATATGAATCTACAGTTCTACTTAGACCAGCAGGGACAGCACCAAGTCACGTGTTACAACTGAAAGCATCACTTGACGACATCCTGAAAGGTCATAATCAGTTGGGAATGAAAGTCATTTTTCCTTTAAAATACAAAAATGGCAGTGTGTACAACCCCTCCTTCACTAAGGCTAAATTGAGGAAACCTGAATATCAAAAACGACAGATTTAAGCCATTGATCGGGTGCCACAGAGACAGGAATGATAGCTATTCTTCCACATTACTAGACATTATTCTCCCTACACAAAAATGGATTTAGAGCTTGACAGAATTTGTCAAAGGTCTACTTTTCTTTGACAGCTCAGCCAACTCTTCCCTGATGTGTTGTACAGAAATTTCATCTTTTTTCAGCTTTGCTTGCTTCAGTGCTTCCTGGTAGATCTCTTTTGCTTGTGTATATCGTTCTAAAATAACCCAGAGAGAAGGGACAGTAAGAAGAAAGTGTATGTTTTCAAGGTGATTCTGAAGAGAGAGCATGAATGCAGATATAGGGCTAATTTACTGTGTGCTTATGAAGCGACAAGCTGGTGCTGCCTCATTTCATCCCCATCTGACAGGCTGGAACTCCACTGAATGCTGTGGGATTCCTAACGGCCCTTTCCAGTATATCCTGAGGACTTTGATGAGCCCAAGATTTCATGAATGGTGGTATGTGTAATACACCTGTCATCCCAGGTTTCTGAAAATGATCGGTATAGTGTGCTGACACTAAGAAATGTCTGACAAAATGATACTTCCTGTCATAAAGCTTCACCAGCACACTGTGAGAAACACATTGTAACTGAACACATTTAGAAATCTGTAAAGCACTACTGACGTAAGGTACTATCATTGCAAGGTTTTCTCCAGCTTGATGGGGTTCGACAGGCTAGTGCAGGTCTGTAGAAGTTACGTGAATTGAACACAATAGTACTTCAACCTAATCAATACCTCCTTTTTCTGCCATTCAACCAGTCTTTTAATTTACATGTTTATTCGTTGGCCCTTGCCCTCCCTACATACCACTTCACAAATCTATCAATCCAGTGACATCCCTCCCTTAAAGCAAGTCAGTTAAGTTTACATTGCTACCTACCTCTGTGCATCAAAACTGCAGCTAGATTACTGAGTACCATGTGTAGCTCAGGATGATTTATCTGTCTTGCCAGATCTGATGCCCTTTGCATATAAATATAGGCCTCATCAAAGCGGCCCTGTGCATCCAGGGTAGTAGCCAGGTCACTCATCAGCACAATGGTCTGTATGTAAAAGAAAAAACAATTTTTTCTTTAAAAACATGCCTTCACAGAACTTTAATGTGGAGTGCATCCAACTCTGAATACATAAGATTTCATCTTTCCTAGCATTCCACAAAAGATGAGGGATACCATTCTTTAACAAATTTGTGGGCATTTGTTAATCATAATCACATTGTACAGTGGACAATGTTAGTTCGACCTTTTGGGAAATAATACAAATCTGGAAATTAGGTAACAGACAGTGCTTATTAATCCAACTAATTACCCAGTTAGAAGCACCAAATGAAAAACAACAGCAAGAAGCTACACATATTATCTCCTTTAAGGCTGAGCAACTTTGAGAAGCCAGCCTCCTATGGTTTGATTGCCTCTGGAGCCCCACTGTATTATGTTGTTCCTGCTGATAACCCTGAGGCTCATCAAAAACAAGAAATACACCATCTATTTTAGGAAGATGCCCAGTAGGAGTTTTTTTAATTTGGCTACTGAAATGGAATTTCAGTATGGAAGAGGTAGACTTCCATACCTACTTCCCCACTGATGCCATGCTTTAAGCCCCCTGACTCTAGTACTTGGAGATCTGAATTCTGTACTTGCTTGTTTATTATTCCTCACTCCATTAAGGGACTCTTCATAATAAGTTATAAATCCCTTTCATGGAGATAATTCATAGCTCAACCTCCCTTTTCTTCCAAAACATATTACTCACCCTACCCATGTACCCCAGCCTTGGGACACATTCAGTTAAAATTGTTATGTCTTATATTGGCAGTAGCAAGCATTCATAGACAAAGCAATGCACTCCTTACATCTAAGAACTTACTCGGATGGAGGGGAGACCCAAAGAGATGATTTCAATTCAATGTGTTTAATGTTCTAACACAGAGCTTTACACGTTATACTTAAATTCTATAATATGCCAATGGTTTAAGTGTTTTTAATGTGGTCCCTTGCCCTTCCCTCACCTCTTGCCATTTTAACTGTGGGGCAAGGGAGGCAAGGATATTTGTGTATTAAACCGTTCCTCATAAGCTTCTAATAGGGGTATCTAGAGACCCCACTCTGAAATACTGTGCTGTGTCCATTGAAGCCTGACCAGTCCTGCTCTGTAGAAAGGTTGCTCTGTTGTGCAAACCATGGATCATGCAAAAAGTTCTGGGCAGACCTAGTAACTGATAACTAGTCTCAAATCCTTTCTGAAACAAGTAGTTGGGGTGAGGGTGCTGGTGATAAGAAAATGAGTAGACTGGGGACCAAGGAGGATCTAGGACCATCTGCTGATCCTGTTACCAATGAGTGTGACATTTCACACCCTTCAATTTTGAAGCCTTTGTTTTATATTCCCCCTTCTGTGTTTTCCTCCCTTACCTGTGGGTGTCTTTCTCCTTGTATTTCTTCAGAAATCTGCAGAGCTTTTTCATACATCCTTTGTGCCTGTGACGGCTGCTTGGAGAACAGAAGGTAGCGAGCACAGGCGTCTAAGCACATGCCCAAGAGGAGGTGGGTATTGGCTTTCTCTTCCACTAAGGAGAAAAGAGGAATCAGCAAATCTACCCAAATGGTTGTTACCAGGACCCACAAATATGTCAGCAGAATGGGACCCACATGTCACTTAGGGAACAATGTAGGTGAATTAACATCCAGTTAAATGACCTATTCCAGACTAGCTGGAATCATGGAACTTCAGCCCACATTTTAAGTAGATTAAGAGTCCGCACATCAATTAAAATGTGGAATGTTATTTTTAGTTTGAAACAAATAATATTCAGCAGAAACAAATGAAAATAAACCCAAAGAAGAATGAGTTAACAACAAAAAGTCAAGGCCAATGAAAAACCTGTATGGTATAAGAAAAACAATGCAGGAAGAAGACAGAGAACACTCAGAATCCTGAAGTGCAAAGTCACAAGCTGAATTTAAAGAATTCAACGTAAAGGCCGGGCGCGGTGGCTCACACCTGTAATCACAGCACTTTGGGAGGCCGAGGCGGGTGGATCACAAGGTCAGGAGATTGAGACCATCCTGGCTAACATGGTGAAACCCCGTCTCTACTAAAAATACAAAAAAAAAAAAAAAATTAGCCAGGCGTGGTGGCGGGTACCTGTAGTCCCAGCTACTCAGGAGGCTGAGGCAGGGGAATGGCGTGAACCCAGGAGGTGGAGCTTGCAGTGAGCCGAGATCACACCACTGCACTCCAGCCTGGGCGACAGAGCAAGACTCAGTCTCAAAAGAAAAAAAAAGAAAAAAAAGAATTTAAGGTAAAATTTAAACAAGCTAATCATTCAGAGAAGAAGAATAAAGCTTACAATGACATAGCACCTCTCAACACATTCAAGAATTGACTATACGATGTCTGAAAAAAAACAAGCTTAAAATACCTAATGCCATGTAAGAAGAATTGGAGACACAGATCTAGAGAACGGTAACCTATATCAACCTGGGTAAGACTTCTAAAAGATGATACAAATAATGTAGAAATGGTCATAAGCAAGATTATATGGAAATTCTGCCAACAACTCAGCAGGAGGTAACTGTTCACACAATAAAAGACTAGAAAAAGAGGTTACCTTAGATAATCTTAGGTTCAGTTGGGTTTATTTACCAGCAAAGCTGTCGTTCATATCAAGCCCGTTCCCTTCTATGTCTTCAGTTTTCAGAAATCTTACAAGTGGCATAGAGTTTAAGGAAGACTATGTTACTAAAATGAGACTTTTCTTTTTTAATACCTTCCCATTTAGAAAAAAAGTGCAGCTTGCTTCTATATCGCTTACCTAATTTTACATAAATATACTCTTTGAGGCTGGAGCAAATCTGATTTTCAATGTGAAAATAAACTATTAAAAGTGTTCTTGGAGTTATTTCTACAGAGAACTAACACCAGAATCGTCTGTATCATCAGACTCGTCTATTTCTGAAAAATCGGATTCATCAAATGAATCTTCAACCAACAACTATTCGAGAATGATGTTAACATCACGCGTAGGCATGCTATGTTTTCTAGGATTTGACGTCTTCAGCGATCAAGAATTACTGTATTTTGTAAATGGAAATACCACTACTAAAAACAGAATGCTATAAATAGAATGATGTCTTGTTTCCAAAGTTGATATACTAGAGCAATGTGAAAATGATAAAAGCGAGATATTTTGTGGCAACGATTTAAAAAGATGTTCAGTAGTAAAACAAAAGTACAAGAATAAAGTGACAAGCAATTCTAGTGGAAACTTGTTACCCTTGTTATCACTGAATAGTGGAGTGGAAGCAAAAGCAGTAAAACTTTTTAGAGAAAACAGTGAGGTACAATTTAGCTATAATATCTTAAAAATACATTTAAAATTCACAGCACATTCTGACCACAAGAAAAATGGAAACACTTTCTGAAAAGCAAACTTTTCTAAAGATAAATGTACTATTACTGAACTTTTAGAAAACGTAAGAAAACTTTTAGCAACTGCCAAGAGAAAATTTCATAAAGTTCCCCCAAAGAGTTCCTTTGCTAGTAATTTACTTAAACATGGTTCTTTGAAATATTAATATAAAAATTGCTAAAAGTTAGACAAGAAAAAAATCAAGTACTTTAATAACAACTGAGAAATATATTGGAATCGTTTATACAGAGCCCTTAAAGGACCATTTGAAACTGAGGCATATTTACTTCTTCAAACATAAATGATTCTCTTTCATAAATAACTTCTAGTCACAGAAAAAGATACGCTACTATACTCAGTCCATGAAGCAAACAGGATTCACTATAGAATTTTTTACTCAAAATATTACCAAATGGAATAATCAGATGTATTAAGATGACCAAACAGCATTTATTCCAGGAATAAAAGAATGGTTCAGTATATCAAACTAGGTTTACATAAATATAGACTAAAGGGAATTTGATAAAGTACTGGAGCAATTATATGCATTTGTAACAATAGCAAAAGAGCATCTCTAATTTAGGAAAACTTGAGCATAGGCCTCTAACACTCCCCTACCCCCTCACCATCAATAGCAATATAGGAAAGTCTACAAGGGTCTTTGAAACTAGAGATATTTGTTGCCCAAATTCCAAGAATATCCTGAAATTTCTGCTAAACTAAATCTCTTGTTAATCAACTGATTAGCACTTTCTGATGAGTGTTAATGGTTTTAGTGGAGGGAATAAAGCAGAATCTAACGTAACACTATAGATGAAACCCATCTGCTTCAAACACCTGGAAACCTTAGATAAACTATAACACACATCCTTTCCCTGCACAGCTGAGCTCCCAAGAGCCACAAATTAGGAGTAAGCTAAAACCCAAAGTGGAGAGTCTGTGAGTTGACACAGCAGAAGCCCGGTTTTTGTTGTAGCTTGAGTTGTCTCTGTAATCCAGGAATTAAAGCTGTTGATGTGTACTAAACAAAATGAGATCTGAAGCCAATGCATAAACCAGGATGATTACCATTAGGACCACAACCCCAGGAAAAGCATGTATGTGAAAAAAATTGCACCACTCCAGCCTACACTCCCCTTAACCCCCCGACCACAGGCACAGGGAGACAACAAGGAGCCTTGAATGGCCAAGTCTGGAATCTAAAGAGGAGAAAAATGACTACCCTGTAAATTTGATGTCTAAATTTGTAGCATCCACTTCGGCCAGGAGCTGAGTGCCTGGAAGACACAAAACTATTCTGGAATCTCACTTATAGCTAAAACCTTGCTGAAGATGAATGTATAATCCAAGATTAGTAAACATGACAATTCATCATAAATGAGAATCAGCAGACAGTAAAAAAGCAGGCCTCATCCCCCAAAATTTTAGAAAATCAGACAACTCCAGTAATTCTAACTCCTTACTTCCAGTAAGTCAAGCAGCATACACCACCTCAGAGTCTTGTACCTGTAATTGCCCTTTGTCTGTAATTTTTTTCCCTCACAAATAGCCACTTGGCCTATTCTCTCCCATTCACCAGGTTTCATACTAACAAGGCCTTCCCTACCCCCTCTATAAGACACCATACTGCCCCAACATATTCCTGGTATACATATTCCTTCATAAATATCTACATAGCACTTTGGACACACCAACTTACTGGGTAGTGCTTACTATGCGTCTTTCCCCCACCAGAAATGTAGCTCCATGAGGCGGTGACTTTGTTTTTTTGTTTTTTCTTTTTTGAGACGAAGTCTCACTCTGTCGCCCAGGCTGCAGTGCAGTTGCAAAATCTCAGCTCACTGCAACCTCCGCCTCCTGAGTTCAAGTGATTCTTCTGCCTCAGCCTCCCGAGTAGCTGGGACTACAGGTGCGCCACCACGCCCAGCTAAATTTTTTTTGTATTTTTATTAGAGACGGGGTTTCACAATATTTGCCAGGCTGGTCTTGAACTCCTGACCTCATGATCCGCCCGCCTTGGCCTCCCAAAGTGCTGGGATTACAGGCGTGAGCCACTGCGCCCAGCCAACTTTCTTTTATTTATATCTGTATCTCAGCACCTAGCAGCATATCTAGTGTGTAATGGGCACTCAGTATTTCTGACTGAATTGTTGAATGAATGAACAAATAGAAGGAATTATAAAAGGGCTAGGCGTGGTGGCTCACACCTGCAATCCTGTACTTTGGGAGGCTGAGGCAGGAGGACCACTTCAGCCCAAGAGGTCGAGACCAGCCTGGACAACATAGCGAAACCTCATCTCTACTCTCCCCCACCACCCCCCAAAAATATATATAAGCCAGACATGGTGGCACGTGCCTGTACTCCTAATTCTTCTGGAGGCTGAGGTGGGAGGATCACTTGATATCAGGAGTTTAAGGTTGCAGTGAGCTGTGATCGTGTCACTGCACTCACTTCAGCCTGGCCAACAAAGGAAGACCTTGTCTCTTGGGGGGTGGGGGGTAGTGGGGGAAATAAAGTACTGAATTAAATAGGGAAAAATTATAATGAAACTAAAAATAGTTATAATTACAGATTTAAACATTAGCACCCCATGAATCTATGAAAACCCAATATAGAGATGTCATTACAAATCAAGACATAAGAAGCACAAACTATGAAGATAAATATCAAGATTCTGTTAATATACAAATTTTTAATCTACATCAAATGCCCTAATGTGAAAAGACAAGCTACAAAGAGATACGTAACCCACAAAAATACAAAATGATCGAATACGTAAGGAACTCTTACGAATCGTTAAGAAAAAGACAACCCCTCAAAAATATAAGCAAAAGATATGAAGAAATAATTTTCAGAGCAGGTAATCTGAATAACCGATAAATACAGTAATCAGAAACACATAGTGAAGCCACAATGAAATTCCTTTTCAAACCCAGCAGATTATCAAAAAAATCTGATAACAAAGATATACAGAGAACATCATGAACACTAATATACTGCTAGTCAAAATGTAAACTGGTAAAACCACTTTGATCAGCAATTTGGTTTTTGTTGTTGTTTTTGAGACAAAGTCTTGCAGTGGCTTGATCTCAGCTCATTACAACCTCTGCCTTCCTGGGTTTAAGCGATTCGCATGCCTCAGCCTCCCAAGTAGTTGGGATTACAGGTACCCACCAGCATGCCTGGCTTTTTTTTTTTTTTTTTTAAGTAGAGATGGGGTTTCACCATATTGGCCAGGCTGGTCTCCAACTCCTGACCTCAAATGATCTGCCTGCCTCAGCCTCCCAAAATGCTGGGATTACAGGTGTGAGCCACTACACCCAGCCTGTTAAGCAATTTGGTATATGCACCCTGGCAACTCCACTTTTATGTAATATTCCAGGTGTGCACAAAGATGCAAGTCCAAGAATGTTCAGTGAAGTATGACTTTTAACAGCAAAACATATAGAATAACCCAACAGGTCCATCAATAGAACTGTGGTATATTTCTACAATGGACTACTATACCATGGTTGTAGTGAGGGAACCACACAGGGCCACCTTTAGCTTGTATCCACACTTGTGAACAGAAAAAACAGGTTCAACTTACCCCTCACCCCAGTGGATTAATTAGAGGAAGTCACCCTTTAAAGACAGACGCAACCCAGCAGACATGCAGTTTGGCAAGCAAACAGGGCCTCTGTGCTAAGAAAACTGCTTTAAATAGCAGCCCAATAAATCTCATCAACATAATATTGAGTGACAAAAGCAAACTACAAAACCAATTGTACAGTATGATACCATTCATATTAAGTTTAAAAACATATTAGCCCTATTGTATATTGTTTTTTTGTTTTGGAGACGGAGTCTTCACTCTGTCACCCAGGCTGGAGTGCAGTGGCACGATCTCGGCTCACTGCAATCTCTGCCTCTCAGGTTGAAGCGATTCTCCTGCCTCAGCCTCCCGAGTAGTGGGGATTACAGGCGCCCGCCACCATGTTGGGCTAATTTTTGTATTTTTAGTAGAGACAAGGTTTCGCCATGTTGGCCAGGCTGGTCTTGAACTCCTAACCTCAGGTGATCCACCTGTCCCGGCTTCTCAAAGTGCTGGGATTACAGGTGTGAGCCACTGTACCCAGCAATATATTGTTTATTGATATATACAAGTGCAATAAGTAGGCAAACAAAACCAAACTCAGGATAGTAGCTACCCCTAGGCAGGGAGGGAAGGGTATACAGGGATTTAAATATCCAAAAAAAATTCTAAAGCAAATATGGTAAAATATTGAAATCTGGCCAAGGCTGAAAGTACACAGATATTTGGTAAGTCCTCAAAACTTTACTTTTGTTTGAAATCTAATTTTAAAAAATTACATCAGAGGGAAGCCAGGCGTGATGCCTCATGCCTGTAATGCCAGCATTTTGGGAGGTCAAGGCAGGTAGATTGCTTTAGCTCAGAAGTTCAAGACCAGCCTGGGCAAGATGGTGAAACTCCGCCTCTATGAAAAAATCCGGAAATTAGCCAGGCATGGTGACATGAGCATGCAGTCTCAGCTACTTGGGAGGCTGAGGTAGGAGGATCAGTTGAGCCTGGGAGGTTGAGGCTGCAGTGAGCCATGACTGCACCACTGCACTCCAGCCTGGGCGACACAGTGAGACCCTATCTCAAAAAACAAAAAACAAATCAAAAGAAAAGCACAGAACTGACTTTTCTTAATAATAAATTGGTAATGTGGAATATCAACTGAAGAAACTCCCAAAATATACATGAGAAAACTGATGGAAGAGGGGATAATGTGAAGGATAGAGAAGAGAGGTCAACATACAGGTAAATGACATTCCAGGGTAAGAGGCCAGAGCATGTGGGACAGAAGCATTGAGCCAGAATAGACTACAGAAGCTCCAGAGAACTGGATGCTAAAAATGAAGGTTCACCAGGGACTAAGCAAGCTTCATAAACAGACAACTCCCTAACCTTATGCTCATTTAACTTCTGAGTCCAGCAAAGCATCTGAGCAGGAGAAAATAGACTATTTAAAAAACAAGGCAAATATGCAGGCTTTAGAATTCTCCTCTGCAATAAATTCCACTAAGTCTAAAATTCCAGATCACAGAGAAAAAACAAGTGAGGAAAAGGGAAAGAAGGATAATGTTAAAATGTACTCATCTCATTTTAGAGAAGAAACTGAAAAAAATTTTTTTTCCTCTGAGTCAACTGTCTTTAAGAAATGTTTAGGTTACTCCTTATACAACTGAAAATCATATATACATATACCTTCCCTACAAAATACAAATACAGATCAGAGAGGGAAAAGTTCCTGTAAGAGGAACTGAAAACAAAGGAATTAACAAAAATGGAAAGCACTTTTTAAAATGCAATAATTAGACCAATTATCCCTTTCAATACTAATTTGTTTTGTTTTGTTGTTTGAGATGGAGTTTCGCTCTTCTTAACCAGGCTGGAGTGCAATGGCGTGATCTCGGCTCACTGCAACCTCCGCCTCCCAGGTTCATGCGATTCTCCTGCTTCAGCCTCCCGAGTAGCTGAGGTTACAGGCACCCGCCACCACACCTAGCTCATTTTTTGTATTTTTAGTAGAGACGGGGTTTCACTATGTTGGCCAGGCTGGTCTTGAACTCCTGACCTCAGGCGATCCACCTGCCTCAGCCTCCCAAAGTGCTGGGATTACAGGCGTGAGCCACTGCACCCAGCCTGAATACTTTTTTTTTTTTTTTTTTTTTTGAGCCGGAGTCTCACTCTGTCGCCCAGGCTGGAGTGCAGTGGCGCGATCTCGGCTCACTGCAAGCTCTGGCTTCTGGGTTCGTGCCATTCTCCTGCCTCAGCCTCCCGAGTAGCTGGGACTATAGGCACCCGTCACCATGCCTGGCTAATTTTTTTCGCCTCACTAATTTTTAAAAGGTTTTCAGATTCTGTATCAGAAGACAATGATACTCAGGTTTTAAAAAAATTCCAACCATAGCCTTCTATAAAAGATACACTGAAAATGACTCAGAAAAGTTAAGGGTAAGATATAGTAGATAATATAAAACTAGAATTCGTAACAAATACCTTAAATAGGGAAAAAGGAATCATTTTCCTGATGAAGGGACAATTCGTAACAAATAAATATATCTATGAGACTGTCTAAACAGAGCACAGAAACATGTATAAAGAAAGAAGATTTTAAAAAATTTATCGGCCGGGCATGGTGGCTCATGCCTGTAATCCCAGCACTTTGGGAGGCTCAGGCAGGTGGATCACCTGAGGTCAGGAGTTCAAGAACAGCTTGGCCAACATGGTGAAACCTCGTCTCTACTAAAAATACCAAAAACTGGCTGGGCACAGTAGCTCATGCCTGTAATCCCAGCACTCTGGGAGGCTGAGGCAGGCGGATCACCTGAGGTCAGGAGTTCGAGACCAGCCTGGACAACATGGTGAAACCCGATCTCAACTAAAAATACAAAAATTAGCCAGATGCAGTGGTGCACACCTGTACTCCCAGCTACTCGGGAGGCTGAAGTGCAAGAATCACTTGAACCCGGGAGGTGGAGGTTGCAGTGAGCCGAGATCACGCCACTGCACTCCAGCCTGGGCGACAAAGCAAGACTCCATCCCAAAAAAAAAAAAAAAAAAAAAAATTAGAACAACTAGACAAAATTAGTAAGGACCCAGAAGACTTGAATAACACTATAAACCAACTAGACCTAACAGACATTCATAGAAAACTCCATTCAACAGAATACACATACTTCTCAAATGCACATACAACATTCTCCAGGATAAGCCATATGTGAGGCCATACAACAAATCTCAATAAATAAAATCAAGCACAGTTGTTCTCTGAACACAATGGAATGAAACTGGATTCAACAGAAGAAAATTTGAGAAATTCACTGTATGTGGAAATTAATCAATATACTCCTAAATATCCAAAGGGTCAAAGAAGAAATCCCCCCCAAAATTGGAAAATACTTGAGATACATGAAAATATAACTTACCAAAATTAATGAGATGCAGCTAAAGCTTATAGTTATAAATGGCAATTATGTTAGAAGAAAAACCTTAAATCAATAACCTCATCTCCCACCTAAGGGACCAGAAAAAAGGGAACAAAATAAACCCAAAGCAAACAGGAGAGAGGTAATAAAGACAAAGTAGAAATAAGTGAAATGGAAAATAGAAAGACAATAAAGAAAATTAATGAAACCAGAAGTTGGCTCTTTGAATGAATAAACAAAATTAACAAAAACCAAGGAGAAACTATAAATAAAATGGCCAGGAAGGTCCTTCATAAATTGATAATAGTAAAATATAGGTGCCAAATCATATAATAAATAAGATTAGTAAATATATCACATTCCACAAACTCTTATATAATAGTGCCTAATGAGTACTGGTCATAGTCCTGGAGTATTTAATTCTTGTAACTCTATGAGGTAAGTTCTATTATTATTTTCATTTTATTGATAAGGAAGCTGAGAACAGAGAAGTTAAATAACTTGTCCACTGCTAGTAAGTGGCAGAACCAGAATCTGAACTCAGGCTCCAGACTTTAAGCACTCATGGAACCAAATATTATGTCATCAAAAATAACTTTCTAGAAATGTTTTATTTAATATATGAAAATAAAAACTTTCAAGGAAAGGAGGAGGAAGGAATCAATGGGAAACATCTTTTTACTAATTTAAAAGGAAATCCATAAAATTAGGATCTAGAAAAGGAAGAGGATCTCAGATACGTAAGAGTAGTGTAAAATATGCTTTAAAAATATAATTCCTTAAAGTTTCTTCTAGGAAATTAATAGTTATAAAATTTGTTCACCCATACGTTCATTTATTCAATAGATATTTATTAATGTTTATGTTTTTAGCACTGTCCTATATTGAAATTAAGAAAATGGAAGAAATACATGAGTAATCAAGAAGGAAAAAAAAAGCTGCCGGAGAATTAACTCAGGAGTTCTGGTCCATCTGGCATCACAGACTCTGCAACTTTCAAGGAACAGACCATTCCAATGCAATATCCCACACTTATTTCAGAATAGAAAATACAGAAAGCATCCCAATTCATTTTATCACATTAATAACAATCCTGCGATAACAAATAATACAAACATAATAGTACAAACAATACAATAAGAAATTTACTGTGGATCTCATAAGAAACGCAAGTTACATATCAGCATTAAATATTATCCAGCACTACACAGGTACTAAGCAATTAACCTACAAGCAAGCCTGGTCCGCTCTAGATATATAATAGTAATAAATCTATTCATATATCTTGGTACCAAATTGGATATAAGACTAAGTTTCCTATTACTACTATTGCTTGATGTTCTGAAGGTACAGCCAATGAACTAATTTTATAAAGGGTGGGGAAGGGAGACAGTAGTATAACTCTCTGGAAGGAAACAATTACAGGTTAAGTATTCCTTATCTGAAATGTTTAGGACCAAAAGTGTTTCAGATTTCAGATTTTTTGAGTTTGGAATATTTCCTTTGGATACTGCCAGCATCCCAAAACCAAAAACCCAAATCCAAATGCTCCAATGCGTACTTTCTTTATGCATCATGTTGGCACTCAGAAAGCTTCGGTTCTGGGGGATGCTCAACCTGTATCATGATTTCCGGAATGTATGATTATAAATCTGGAATTAGTGTGAATATCAACTGAAAAGCAAAGAGTTCAGTCAAGGAGTCAGTTAGAATCAAATTTAATAAATAGCTGTCATCTATATGAAGAAAACTATAAGCAGGAGCTATAGAATGTTCCTCAGTGAGACGGCTCACTATTACAAAGATCTTCCTTTGCTAGCAGAGCAGCTGCTTTGTCCCAGTATCCGTTCTTTTCTCACATGACTCACATCCTCAGGAAAGGAGACTGATGTATTTTAGCCAATCATGATAATCCATTTTTCTTGCCAAGGACTGGGTTAGAAATGGCATGTAACCCAATTCTAACCAATGAGAAGTAAGGACAAATCTACTTGGAGACTTCTAGGAAAGATTACCTTGATCCTATGAGAAACATCAAAGAAGTCTCCTTTTCCTCTGGACACTGTCATTTCTGGATGAGATTCCTGGGAATTGTTATAGTTTCACGTTTCAACCACCAGGGGAGCATGGGGAAAAAGCCAATACATGAGTGAGGAAGGATGGAAAGAGCCTGTTCCTTTATGATTTCAGTGAATCACACTGTCAACTAACTCAACAGCCTGCTCCCTATTGCTGAACTGCCAGTTACTTGACATAAATGTCCTTACTGTTAAACCTAATTTAGCTGAAATTTCTGCTCTTTGCAGTCAAAGATATGCTAACTTATTCAGATGGCAATCTCCCCAAACTAATTTATAAATATAATGCATATCTGATAATTCAGTCTGAAGGCACTTTACGAACTTGACAAAATAATTCTAAAATTCATGTGAAAACAGTGAAATGTGGGAAGGAATTTTACAAAGGAAGCATGTGTCAACTGTCCTACCATATAACTCAAATATATAATTCAAAGAATGTATACTGTTATAAAACTCATCAGGTAAATACATCAGAATGGAAAACCCCAAAAGAAACCCAAGTATGTACTAATTAGTACATATAGATTGATTACTATCTGCAAGAAAACAGTCACCAGCTTCACACCAAAATACCAGATATACTAAAAAGTTAAAACTGTTTAGAAATAAAAGGAAAAAAATAGAAAATTATAAGGAAAGATGAGTGAGAATGCATACAATTTCAAAGCTTGAAAAATATCTCTCTAAGCATTAAGCTCCAGAAGAGCAAGGACTTTTGCCTTACTTGCTGCTATTCAAATCCTAGAATACCTGGCACAGAACAGCTACTCAGTATTTATTAAAGATGAATAAAAGCAAAGGAAATTAGAAATGAATTCTGATCTAATTCTGAAAAGATTACTCATGCAAGTCATAAAAATGCCCTAAAATGAATACATATTATGATTCATTTGTATAATTTTAATTTTTTTTGAGACAGGGTCTCTATTGCCTGTGCTGAAGGACAGTGGCACTATGATAGCTCACTGCAGCCTCGACCTCTTGGGCTCAAGTTATCCTCCTGCCTCAGTCTCCTAAGTAGCTGGGACCACAGGCATGTGCCACCGTGCCCAGGTAATTTTTTTATTTTTTGAAGAGACAGGATCTCACCATGTTGCCCAGTCTGGTCTCAAAACTCCTAGGCTCAAGCGATCCTCCCACCTTGGCCTCCCAAAGTGTTGGGGTTACAGGCTTGAGTCACTCCACCCAGCCTATTTAAATTTTTAAAAGCAATATGCAAAAACTAAATGACATCTTCTTAAGGGACACAGAGTAAAATGAAAGAAAAGCAAATAGGCCTAGCGTGGTGGCTCATGCCTGTAATCCCAGCACTTTGGGAGGTTGAGGCGGGCAGATCACCTGAGGTCGGCAGTTCGAGACCAGCCTGACCAACATGGAGAAACCCCGTCTCTACTAAAAATACAAAATTAGCCAGGCGTGGTGGCATATGCCTGTAATCCCAGCTACTCGGGAGGCTGAGACAGGAGAATCACTTGAACCCAGGAGGCGGAGGTTGCAGTGAGCCGAGATCATGCCATTGAATGATAGTGACAAGATTAAGGAGAATAGTATCCCAGGTAGGAAGAGCTCCAAAGGTACTGGCAATGCTGGATCACTTGTCTATTCTCACAATCCTCTTCCACCCCCCAGCCCCAAGACAGGGTCTTGCTCTGTCACCCAGGCTGGACCACAGGTGGTGCGATCTCAGCTCACTGCAACCTCCACCTCCCAGGCTCAAGAGATTCTCACCTCAGCCTCCCGAGTAGCTGGGACTACAAGTGCGCAACACCATGCCCAGATAATTTTTGTAAACATGGGGTTTTGCCACGTTTCCAGGGCTGGTCTTTAACGACTGACCTCAAGTGATCCACCCGCCTTGGCCTCCCAAAGTGCTGGGATTACAGGCGTGAGCCACTGTCCCTCGCCAATTCTCATAAATTCTTTATACAAATGTTAATTTCACATTCCCTTTTTATTAGAAAAAAAAACCCCACTCTATAAACACAAATCAGGAGGAAAACCCAAGAGACAAAGGATTAATATTTTTACAATAAAGCTCCAATAAAAAATAAACCTCTTAGCACCCTAAGACATGGTGAGAAAAAAAAAAAGATAAACCTCACTGTTTATCAAAGAAATGCTAGATAATGCATCAAGGCCATATCATCAAGCTAACAAAGATTATAAAAGTTAATGAGTTTTGGGGAGGAGGACATAGGCTTATCACAATAATAAAAACCACTAACAAACCCTTTTTGAGCAGCTACAATGTATTATTCTAAGTACGTTTTATGTATTAACTCATTCCACCTTCCTAAAGGTCCTATGAGTGTTACTCTTAATCCCACACTGAAGAAAAAGCACACAGGGATTATGTAATTTGGCCAAAGTCACAAAGTACATAAATAGCCAAACCAGGAAATGTAAATTAACACAGTCCTTTCAATGGCAATTTGGCAATAGTCATCAACAACCTTAAAATGTGCTACTCTTGACTTGGAAATCTCAGTGCTAAGAATCCACTTTAAAAAAACAGGTTTGGACACTATCTTGATGCCCAATAACAGATTTACTATTCTGAACTGAACACAGGCATTCCTCTCCACTCCTTCCCCAAATACCACTAAAATGAAACTTACAGGATGAAAAAGATATAACGCGGCCGGGCGCGGTGGCTCACGCCTGTAATCCCAACACTTGGGGAGGCTGGGGCGGGTGGATCACCTAAGTCAGGAGACCAGGCCGGCCAACATGGTGAAATCCCGTCTCTACTAAAAATACAAAATTAGCCGGGTGTGGTAGCTCACGCCTGTAATCCCAGCTACTCAGGAAGCAGAGGCATGAGAATTGCTTGAACCCAGGAGGTGGAGCTTGCTGTGAGCCAAAATTGAGCCACTGCACTCCAGCCTGGGTGACAGAGTGAGACTCCGTCTCAACAAAAACAAAAACAAAAAAAAGAAGATGAAGACTGAATGCCTATGGCCAGCCATGCCAATGAAAAGTGAGCCAACATGAACTCTAGAATACTGGGAAAGCTTATGAATTGAAGAAAGCAAGTAATATGTAAAAGTGAAGAATCTGGCATATACATAACAAACGGAGCCACAAAAAAACCTAGTTAACTTCAGAGGAAGCAAAACGTACACAAAAGGAAATGTAACTGTGTAATCATGTTACTTGGCTCAGCAGCTAACACTATTCATACACTCATAATGTAGACACAACCAGAAACTGCACTAAATCTTCACTTTTCCATAAATCAACATATTCTGAAAATAATGAACTAGGAAATAGCAATTTTATATTATTGAGAAATGTGAAGGTAAATACCAGAGGAAACTGGTTAAGAGTTGAAAATAGGGGCCGGGCACAGTGGCTCATGCCTGTAATCCCAGCACTTTGGGAGGCAAAGGCAGGCGGATCATGAGGTCAGGAGATCGAGACCATCCTGGCTAACATGGTAAAACCCAGTCTCTACTAAAAATACAAAAATAGCCAGGTGTGGTGGCGGGTGCCTGTAGTCCCAGCTACTCGGGAGGCTGAGGCAGGAGAATCGCTTGAACCGGGGAGGCAGAGGTTGCAGTGAGCCGAGATCACGCCACTGCACTCCAGCCTGGGCGACAGAGCGGGACTCTGTCTCAAAAACAAAAGTTGAAAATAGGGCCAAGTGCGGTGGCTCACACCTGTAATCCCAGCACTTTGGGAGGCTGAGGCAGGCAGATTATGAGGTCAAGAGATTGAGACCATCCTGGCTAACATGGTGAAACCCTGTCTCTACTAAAAACACAAAAATTAGCTGGGCATGGTGGCACGTGCCTGTAGTCCCGGCTACTCGGGAGGCTGAGGCAGGAGAACCGCTTAAACCCGGGAGGCGGAGGTTGCAGTGAGCCGAGATTGCACCACTGCACTCCAGCCTGGTGACAAGAGTGAGACTCTGTCTCAAAAAAAAAAAAAAAAAAAAAAAATTAAAAATTAAAAAATAAAAAAAATAGATGGGGTGGGTGAGATAGCCAAGAAAATGCTCTCTTAAATTAAGCTTTGTACTATTAATATTATTTGACTTTTTATACTAACAGATAACATTGGAAATTAAAAAGAAAAATATAAATTTGTACAAAATTATAGAATACTCAGAGAAACACAAATAAAATATAAATTCCCTATAAACCTACCAACCAAAGAGAATCACTGCCTGTATTTTGATATCTATCATTCAGCCTTTGTTCCATTCCTATTTTTAGTCTACATACTAACTATACTGTTTTGTAACCAAAGTTTTCACTTAATTTTTTATGGGCATTTCCTCAGTAAGTACATATATGTCTACAACATAGGTAACAAAATAATTATCCTAGAGCAAGGTTTTATGTAATTAAGTAATGTAATTTTATGTAATTAAGTAATGTTATCCTAGAATAGAGATAGTTGTGTCAATAAAAAGCACGTAAATTTGATAATGGATTTGCTTTGTGCAAAACTGAATAGGTAGGAATTCCTTTTCTAGAAAAAATAAGATGAAGAATCATGTAACACATTTTCTATACTGTGCAACTAGTAAAATGTAAAAATAATATTTATAATAGAAATTAGCTTGCTCTATCTAACAAGAATTCCTTTGCCTGGAAAAAAAAAGTGTTTTCATAATATGTTACTAAATTGTTAAAACTCAGGTTACAAAGTAGGATATACAGTATCATCCCAAATTTATTTCTTAAAATGTAACCCGAAAAGCCGTAGTAATAAATAAAACAGTAGCTCTTTCTTAATAGTATGATTACAGATGATTTTTACTTAGTGCTTTTCTAAACTTTCTTCAGTGTTTACTGGTATTATTTTTTGAATCAGAAAATATAGCTTTACACTCCTAAGAAACCATAGTCAACACTATAAATGAAAGACAGCAAAGGTGTAAATAGTTCAGAAGTGACTTACTTGACAGCTAGACTTGTTTTTACACCTCTTGTGGATTTCCTCAAAGCACTTCCACACTGCACTGAAACTGGATTTATTTGCTGGTCTTTCTTGGGTCTTTTGTTCTTTCATTCAGTAATTATTGAGCCTCTATTATGTGCCAGGCACTGTTCTAGGCACCGAGGATTTAGCACTGAGTATAATGGATGAAGTCTCTATCCTTCTTTGATATGGAAGACAAAGACTAAAAATTTTTAAACAAAAACATACTTTTAGTGGAGAAACACAAGCACACAACACACACACCTCTACTTTTAAGTGTGATGAAGAAAAGTAAAGGAAAGAGGAGTAGAGCAATAGTAAGGTGGGAAGAGATGATAGTTTTAGTGAAGGGAGCACTCTGAGGAAGTGCTATTTGAGCAGAGACCTGAGTGAAGTACGGGAGTTGGCCAGAGAAAGGTAAGAGAGAACAGTCTAGGTAGGGGGAATATCAAGCAAAGAGGCCTTGAGGTGGCACTAAGCTTGGAATGTGCCAGAATAAGACCAGTGTGGTGAGACTGGAACGAGCAAGGGGAGAGCAGCAGATGGCATGGAAGAGGTGGGTGGGCCCAGGTCATAAGCGCCTTACAGGTCCATGCAGGGATTCTAAATTTATTCTAAAGGTGATACAAAGGTACTGAGGTCTTGAAACAGTGATGGCCTGGACCAAAGCAGTAGGGTAATGGGATGAGACATGGTCAGTATGGATATATTTTGATGGCTGATCCAGTATAACTTGCTGATGGATTAGATATGAGGAATGAGGAAGAAATCATGGACAATTCTTAGGTTCTTGGCCAAAGCAACTAAATGAGTAGTGTGCCATTTACAAATCTGGGGCTGACTGGTGACGAAACAAGTTGTGAGCGGCAAAACTGAGACCTATTTTGGACATGTTAAGTATGAGATGACCATTAGACTTCAAGTCAAGATGTCGGGTGGGCAATCATAATTATAAGTCTGCCATTTGGGGGCAAGTTGGGGCTGAAGGTATAAATCTAATATTTAAAACTATGGAACTAAAAGATATCTCCTAGGTGTTGGGGCAGAGAGAAAAGAGAATAGGGCTGAAAACAGCCCTAAGGCGTGCCAACATTAAGAGGTAGGGAAGTCTATTCACCTCACTAGAGAGACCAGTGAGGCATCCCAGAAGCCAAGTGAAAGTATTTTCAGTAGGAGACAGTGATCCCCTAAGTTAAAGCTGCTGATGAGTAAGTTAAGGATTGAGAAGTAACCATTGGATTTGGTGACTTTGATAAAGGTAGCTTCAGTGGAGTGATGAAAACAAAAAAATTGGTGTACAGTGATCCCTCCTACTCCACAGTTTCATTTTCTGGGGTTTCAGTTATCTGCAGTCAACCAGAGTCCGAAAAATATTAAATGAAAAATTCAAGAAATAATCCGTAAGTTTTTAAATTGCATGCCATTCTGGGTGGCATGAAGAAATCTTACACTGTCACACTCCATCCTGCCCAGGACATGAATCATCTTTGTCCAGTGTACCCAAGTTGTATACGGCAGCTGGCCTCAGTCACTTAGCAGCAGTCTCAGTTATCAGATCAACCCACAATGTTGCAGTACTTGTGCTCAAGCAATCCATATTTTACATAATGGCCCCAAAGTGTGAGAGTGGTGATACTGGCAATTTGAATATGACAAAGAGAAGTCATAAAGTGCTTCCTTTTAATGAAAAGGTGAAAGTTCTCAACTTAGTAAGAAAACAAAAAACAAAAAACAAAAAACTGTATGCTGAGGTTGATAAGATCTACAATAAGAATGAATCTCCTGTCTGTGACACTGTTAACAGTATATAGTTATAATTGTTCTATTAAAAGTTATTGTTGTTAATCTCTTACTGTGCCTAACTTATAAATTAAACTTTATCATAGGTACATATATATAAGAAAAAAACACAGTGTATTAGAAGTCGTTTCAGGCATCTGCTGGGGGTCTTGGAACATATTCCCCATGGATAACGGGGGACTACTCTATGTTCAAGAGAGAGTTAGAAGACCACTAGGTACAGAAGAGTTGACTGCTGTATCCCTACCATCTCGGTAGCTCTTGGTATAGAGTAGGTATTGAATAAATGTCAAATCTGAAAATTCTCAATACTTCAACCCAAATTAAGAAACCCAAAATGGTGGAGAGCTAGAGAGCTTCCTGCTCATCCAGTTCTATTCCTAGCCTCCAGAATGAGTGAGGATGGATTGTAAAAACATGAGCTTTTTTTCTCTTCTTTCTTAATTTGCTGTATATCTAGGGCTAAAACGTAATAAGCATTTTGATTGGTAGCTGAACTAAGAGATACGAGAAACACCTTCTCCTTCTGCTCCCCAATTTTCCTTAAGTTATATGTAACTAAAAGTTAACAAATAAATTATGACCATGTTACCAAGGGGGTTAAAAAAAAAACCACCACCAAAACAGCAGTCAAATATTTTAAATAAAACATCTTATTCCAAAACTTCTGCTGATACCTTAAAGACAGACACTTATTTTGCAAAATAGGTAACTTTCCCTCTTCCCAATTTAGATCTCTTTCCATTTCTCAAAAGTGTAAAGTAAAGCCTTTTGTGGAGAAAAGGCAATGCCCAGATAATGGGTTTCCTACCTGACATAATGTCTTCTGCTAATTCCTTTTCTCTTTCAATTTTTTCCTCTAGAGTTGAAATGCAGAATTCATAGCCAGCAACAGCAAATTCCTGTCTGTAAAGCAAAATCAATAATCAGCCATTTACCTTTTCTTCTTTTTTTTTTCTTCCTTCTGTTGAGATGGAGTTTCGCTCTTGTTGCCCAGGCTGGAGTGCAATGGCGTGACCTCGGCTCAGAGCAACCTCCACCTCCGGGGTTCAAGCGATTCTCCTGCCTTAGCCTCTCGAATAGCTGGGATTACAGGTGCCCGCCACTATGCCCAGCTAATTTTTGTATTTTTGGTAAAGACAGAGTTTCACCATGTTGGCCAGGCTGGTCTGGAACTCCTGACCTTAAGTGATCCACCCACCTCGGCCTCCCAAAGTGGTGGGATTACAGGCGTGAGCCACTGCGCCCGGCCCATTTACCTTTTCACAAATTCTTTTTATCTTCATTTTTCCAGCTCAGTTTAAACATTATCAGTAAAGGAAGTGTAAAATGGGAAGAGGGAACTTTGCTTAAAGTCTAAGTAGTGTCAAATCTGCCATTTCTCAAAGCAGTTTTTTTAAGTCATCCATTTAATATAACTTAGGACACAAAAAGCTAGGAATGCTGCCCTAATTTTAATAACTGACATAGCCAGCAGTATTCATCATCTCCCACTAACAGATGGCCTCCAGTGAATCAACTTCTCCATGTGTGAAAGCCTTACCCCTGTTCAAAGTAATACTACCCTAAACAGTTCAGGCCGCCCTACAGTGAGGATTCCAACTGTTGACCTCATACAGCTTCTGAGGAGCTTTAGTCATTTTATATTTCTTTCAAGCTATAAGTCTCTGATAAAAGTTTCTTTTGCAGAAATGGGACTCCTAGCTATGGCAATAGAAGTCATTTAACCCAACTCTGTAGCCCTGGACCCTCAATCAACTGGAGAGGGTTGAGTCAACCCAAGCAGGCCGACTGACTGCTGCTTTTTACAGAGATGCAGAGGAAATGTGACAGAAATCCCTTCTCCATTTAGGAGCTCAGCTTTGGTTCTTTTCTTCAGTTTTGGCTCTAGTTTCTTACAGAAGTGGCACTAAAAAGCTCACCTGTTCTCTAGTGCTTTGCCAGGGGAGAACTTATGACCCTACTGTTCTGCTCTGTTCTCAGAAGAACAGAAGCATCCCCTTCCTTCCCTACGCTCAAAACTTGGCAAGAGGG
Organism: Homo sapiens; assembly: GCF_000001405.40. NCBI lineage: Eukaryota > Metazoa > Chordata > Mammalia > Primates > Hominidae > Homo > Homo sapiens. The sequence goes on along the minus strand of NC_000017.11, from coordinate 16,005,345 downwards.
CCCTCTCTAGCCATAACACAGGGCAAGTGGACACTGCCCAGAAGACGCTCCCAGTCGGAGCAAGAGGTCTACAAACAATTCCCCTCATAACCTATATCAGCCTTTCGAAGCCTCAGATCTGGCCATGTCTTTTCTAGTCTCATGCTTCTCTTAATAAAACAAAATGAAAAGTACAGAGTACCATGTAACTCAGAGGCTAATTGTTACTAGCTTTCACCTCTAGAAGACTATGAATTTGTCTTACTCAACAATGTTTATTAGGCTCTGGGCTTCTTCTTACCCTAGGGATTCATACCCAATCAAGAACTAGGCATGTTTGTTACAACTCCAAGAAAGATTGACCAAGCTGCAGTGTTCCCTGGCATGGGCCAAGCTCAAAGCTCCTCAAAAGACTTGAAGTCAAAGGCTCCAGGAAGCTCTAGCCTATCTAGTGTCCAATCAAAATGCAAGGAGACTATGCAGGTCCTGATGAGAACAAAGGAGCTGGTGAGTAGGACAGTAGGGAACAGTGCCAGGGCCTGGCCTCAGTGAGCACCCTTTCTACAGCATCAGGCTCCATGTCACTCCAAACCTCTCGCACCAACTTCTGCACCACTAAAACCTGAAGGGAAGCTAGTCTTAGGTCTCTCCCTAAATTCATCCCAAATACAACTCTCTAGAGGAGTTCTCTGCTTACAACCTAGATGCTTCATCTTTGAACTCTATTTATACCAGCAAAATGGCTTCTTCAGAGTATTAATATATTATCCCCAGCAGCTTTCACACTGCTCTTTCCTCTTCTAGGAAAAGTTAAACTAAAGTTCTAACTCTAACTTCCCTTCCCACTTCAAGCAGCAACAGAAAACTTAGTTAGTTTTGTCACAGGGCAGCCAGAGATGTTGTGTGCCCCACTAGGCAGGCTGATGGAAACAGTAGGGGCAAACTGGAAAAAGACTGACAATTTCAAAGATGAGGGATGGAACACTTTGAGTGTGACACCCAATTTCTGGGAGACCCAGATGACCAGTAGACAATGAATATTATGTAACATCCCAGAGTCAAAGTTTCCTGCCCACAGTCCTACTCCCTGGCTGCTGTACTTACCTGTTCTGCGCAGCATAGATACTGGCCAGCTTTAGGGAAATTTCAATTATTGCATTGTCCTCCTGTGAGAGAAAGAGAATGAAGGGAACTCATAACAAGTAAATTTTTTCATGGCATATTTCAGATCAACTTCCAGACTGACGGTGGCCTCAAAGCCACAGTCTTTATTCTTTTAGAGTGATGAGCCAACTGTGAATTCCTTGGCAAGCATGCTGTTGCATTTAGTGAAAGAATGGCAATTTGTATAGAGATCTCAGAAGGGAAACTCCACCTTTCCTGACCAAAGCATGTGGTGGGGCTAGGAGGAGTTTTCAGGAGACAAGACTGTTTTGAAAACTGCTTCAGTGAGGGGCCAATACTAGGCAATGTCCTTACCTGCTTCATGCCCCCTCCAAGGAGGTAACTCATTGTTGCTTTAAAAAGTTGTTCAGCCTAAAAGCATAAGGAAAAGATTTTTCTTTTAATTGGGCCCCATTTTATATATATATATATGACCCTGGATTCTAAGTGCCAGTCTGATGCAACATTCCTTGTAAAACCCATATACCCACACACACGCACACTCACACACAGAAAAGTACCCTTTTGAAGCGAAAACAGATCAAAATATCAGGACCCTCAACATCCTCTGTGTACCTTAAACTACTCTCTGATGAGTAGAAAACAACCTCAGAGATTAAGTTCTTATCCAAACCCACTGTGGCAGAGACTACAAACTGTCTCCTAATAGTCATTCTCTTCTCCATCTTTTTGATTACAGAGTCCCCTCGATTTAGCCTGGGAAATATGGTGAAATCCCGTCTCTACAATAAATAAATAAATAAATAAATAAATAAATAAGAAAATTAGCCAAGTGTTGTGGCACACGCCTGGAATCCCAGCTACTCAGGAGGCTGAGGTGAGAGGATCAACTGAGCCTGGCAGGTCGAGGTTGCAGTCAGCCATGATTAAGCCACCGCACTCCAACCTGGGCAACAGAGCAAGACCTTATCTTAAAAAAAAAATTCAGTCAATTTTAGCAGATTGGACACCCTTAAGTTAGATATGGTCATATGATAAAATTTAGGCCAAGGGATGCAGGCAGAAAGAACGTGAACTTCTAATCATGTTTTATAAGGAAGCTGCTCACAGTCCATCTTCTCCCCCTTCCTGCAGACTGGAGGTGAGTCAGCTCACCTAGGCAGAGGAGGGCTTATCTTAGAAGAAACCTGGACTTCTGGATCAGAGAGCAAAGGTGCCTATGTCTGTCTGCCTTCAGTCTTTAGCCTATCTCTGGACTAACACAATAAAGAGAAATACACTTTTATCTTGTTTGAGTCACTATATTCTAGGGTCTCTTTGTTATAGCAGCTTAGCCTGTACTCTTACTATTACAGTTCCCTTGAAGCTACTCCTTCATAAATTCAAGATATTACAAAGCAATTTACTTACATTTTCAAGCTGACCCCGTATAAATGCTAAGTTGGCCATCTGAAAGCAAATTACAAATTGTTTTTCAGTTTAGAATACTGTGTTCCTACTTATTTCAAAACTTTAAAATTCCCTTTTGCTTTCACCCTCAAAATTTAAAAAATAGTTGAAAATGAAAAGCACATCACCAATTAATCTGCAAGAAGAAGCACAGGACAGCAATCATGTGAGAATTAAATACTTGCACATACTTTGTTGTTAACAAACCAAATCTAGGTCCACTCATCATTAAAAAAACATGCTAATGATACTGGTTTTTTTTGGTCTGGAATTGAGAGGTCTTATGTCACCCCAAGGGTAAAAAAACTGAAGCTGTGGCCGGGCGTGGTGGCTCATGCCTGAAATCTCAGCACTTTGGGAGGCCAAGGCAGGTGGATCACCTGAGATCAGGAGTTCGAGACCAGCCTGGCCAATATGGTGAAACCTCGTCTCTACTACAATACAAAATTTAGCCAGGCATAGTGATGCATGCCTGTAATCCAGCTACTCGGGAGGGTGAGGCAAAAGAATCGTCTGAACTCATGAGGCGGAGGCTGCAGTGAGCCAAGATTGTGCCACTGCACTGCAGCCTGGGCAACAGAGTGAGGCTCCATCTCAAAAAAACAAAACAAAACAAAAAATGAAACTGAAGCCAAAAGAAAACTCAGTAAAAAGAAAAGGAGTTTTAGAACATCGTGAAAGTCAGGAATATAAATCAGAAGAACTAACTACCCTTCCCTCCCATCCAACCTTCCTCATCAGTGGTTCAGACTGGTTATAAGAGTTACCAAATCATAAGTGTAAGTGATGGCCTTCTTGTTATCAGTCTGATAGGCGAGACGAAGAGCGTCATGCAAAATTAACTCAGCCTCTTCTGGCTCATCTTTCATAATGCTCAACTGAAAAGGGAAGACAAAATAATAGAAAATGAAACATATAGTAGATGCATATGCTAAGAGACAGAAGTGTATGCAACTGTACATCCCAACTGATAGAAGGAAGCTAACTCATTCATCAGACATTTACTGAATTCCTACTATGTACAAAGCATTGTCTACAGAGATGACAGGGAGGTCAGCCTCCCTTGCAGCTAGGTGTGGCCATCTGATGAAGTTTTGGCCAAGAGACACAGGCAGAAGGAATGTGATCTTACAACATATTTTATAAGGAAGCTGCTTGTCCTCCATCCTCTTTCTAATTTCTTGCAGGCTGGAGGTGACCATATAGGACAAGTAAGCTTAATTACAACTAATGATAAGAGCTATAAAGATGACAGAAAGGAATGATAAGGGGTCTCCTCTAAATAGGACTTAGGGAAGCCTTCCAAGGAAGTGACAGCTAAACTGAGGTAGTAAGGATGAGAATGAGTCAACCAAATAAGGACCTGGGGAGAACAATGACTCAAACAGAGGGTAGAGAATGAGTGAAGTCCCTACAAGCTGAAGAGAATGGTTTTGAGGAAGAAATGCAAAGAAATAGATGTGAAGGGAGGATGGTGAGCCAGAGGATTACTGCCAAATGGGTGGGCAAGGTATATGCTGGTTTAGATCATGTGGGGTGTTGCAAGCCAAGGCAAGGAGTTTGTATTTTATCATAAATGCAGTGGGTAGCCATTCAGAGCTTTCTGACAAGGAGATGACATAATCCAATTTACTCTTTTTTTTTTTGGTCGCTTTGGTTTCTGCATGGAGAATAGATTGCAAGAGGCCAGGAGGCCAGGAAAGACTACTGGAGCATAGTTGGTGGCAATGATGGTTTGCACTAGGGTGACAGCAAGGGAGATAGACAAAAGGGGAAAGATTTGAGAAATATTTTGCATTTGTTGGCAACAGGACTTGTTGCTGGACTGTAAGTGTATTGGAAGGCAATGGTAAGGTACCACAAGTTTTAAGAATGACTATGAGGTTTTTAGGCTGAAAAACTGATGGTAGTAAAGAGATGGCGAAAGCGTATGTTGAGGAGGCATTAAAGATCGTTTAGTTTTGGGCATGTTAAATCTGAGAGGTAGGTATGGTCCTAAAGTGCAAATGGCATGTCAGTAGCACACTACAGAATGGAAATACAAATTTGGACGTTGTTGGCATCGAGTAGGTATTTAGCTCAATGGAAGAGATGAGATAACTTGGGAAAAGAGGAGGAAAAAAAAATAGAAAAGGATGTGGAGAAAAGGAAGAATTCAGGAGGAGAACCGAACCGCATAACCAACACTAAGTTGCCATTTTCAGGCCGCTATATACGTGCGAAATTATGTCATTTCAGATAGGCTGGTTAATTGATAAAACCACTACAAAACGTTCCCGATATTTCGTTTGCATAAAGCGTGATGCCTAGGGCGCCATCTCCATTTGCACTTGACACTGCAGAGGTTTTACTGCAGGCCTTAGAGTCGGAAAAGCCTGGATGGATTCCAATCCCCTCTCGGATGACCCACCTCATTCTCGGCAATTTTACCCGCGGAGCCTCCATCCACTCTTCGGCGAGGCGGAGAGAGTAATGCGCAGCAACGCCAAGACCCCGCTCACAAAGGCTACCGCGCTCGGCCGGGCGCAGGGCCCGGAGCCGCCTCACCTTGGCTCGCTTCAGCAGCTGGATGATCTCTGCCTCGGCCTCGTCCGCCCCGTCCTCGGCAGCGGCCCCGTCGGCTCCCTGCTGCTCCTCCTCCTCTGCCGCAGCGGGCCTCGAGAACCAGGCGAGCGCTGCGGGAAGGGGCTCTGAGGTCATCGGGCCCGGCCCGCGCCCCTGTCCCCGCCCGGCCGGCCCCGCCCGGCCCGCGCCCCTCACCTGCCAGCAGCGGCAGCAGGCCTGGGCCCCGGCCGTGCGGCGCGACTCGGGATGGCGGCACCTGCACCTCGGGCCCCGGACCTCCTGCCAGCCCCGGGAGCAGGCGCGCGGAGCAGCCCCGGCACCGCCGCCCCGCGGCCCGCAGGAAGCCTCGGCCCAGGCTCCAGCTCAGGAGCCGGAACATGCTCCCGCCGCGTCCTCTGCGCACTGCAGGCCAGACGCGCTCCTGGCCCCCGACCACGCGCCGAGCGCCCTCCGGATTGGCCGGGCCCTGACGACTGAGCAGGACATCCCTGCGTCCGCACGCGCGATGACGCGCCCCGACGTCACTCCGTCTCGCCCTGCCCCGGCGGGGGGTCAGGATCCTCCACAGGTAGGCGCAGTCAGCTGGAGCGTCGCGGCGGTCCGCCGGTCGTGGAGGGCGTGTCCTGCGGCGCGATGGCCGTAGTGTTGCCGGCGGTTGTGGAGGAGCTCCTGAGCGAGATGGCGGCGGCGGTGCAGGAGAGCGCGCGAAGTACGGGACCGAGGTCGTGTGTGGCTGCGCCATGGGCGCGGGCGGGGCATCCGGGCACCGCCGGGCCGGGAGGCAGGAGGCGGGGTGTCCGGGCCTGGCCCTGCCTTTTTTCCATGTGGTTCTCTAAACCTCTTGTTCGTAAAAAGACAAAAAAACAAAACAACAAAAAAGCGAAATTGGAACAAGTAAAAGTCAAATCGATTCAGCAAATATTTACGGTACAGCGCAGTTGCAGGAGCCCCTCCGTCGGAGCGAGTAGGCCAGTGGGGACCGAAGTGCTGAGAGCTGGCCGGGTCGCTGGGAGGGGTCCCCGCCCGGGGGTGGAAGGGACGGGAGCCTACAGTGAGTGATAGAAACGTGGAGTTCTTGATTATTTTACACGAAATTTTGAATTATTAAACTTCTTTTTCTCAAATTCTGATGTTAACATTAAAGTTAATGCTTCCATACACTTTAAAAAGTAGGCCCAGCGCAGTGGCTCACTCCCGTAATCCCAGCACTTTGGGAGGCCGAGGCAGTTGGATTACCTAAGGTCAGGAGTTCGAGACCAGCCTGGCCAACATGGTGAAACTTCGTCTCTACTAAAAATACAAAAAATTAGCTGGGCGTGGTGGCGGGCGCCTGTAATTCCAGCTACTCAGGAGGCTGAGGCAGGAGAATCGCTTGAACCCGGGAGGCGGAGGTTGCCGTGAGCCGAGATCGCGCCATTGCACTCCAGCCTGGGCAACAAGAGCGAAATTCCATCTCAAAAAAAAAAAAAAAAGCATTTTAAGAGCCACAAAACCTAAATGCATATGCAATCGTTGGAGTAAATCTGGGTATTGTGAAAGCACCATTTTTTTTCTGACCAGCAGAGGGTACTCTTTGGCTATGCTCACCAAAATCACTTGAGAAGGGTTGATCTCAAGATGTGTTCAGAGTATGCTAGGATAAGATCAAATCAAATTTGATATACTCAAAATGCATTGACTAATGAACTACTCTTAGGATGTAAAAATGGCCACCTTATAAATAACAGCCATATCAGGCCCCCAAACTGCCATCGCTTATTCAACTTGGATGGCTTTTGTTTTAAAAGTACTGTACTGCATTTTGAAAGGGTTTATCTTGAGTTACTGTTTTTAAGGAACTGAGAAAAATAAGCCAACTTTGTTTCCTCATCTCAGTCAAAATTAAGGAGACTTAAGTATATGTGCTTGAAAGATTAGTGCAGCCAAGTATTCAAACATACTTGTTTCCAAAAAGGATGGGAAAAAAGCCAACTGATGTTAGCTTATACAATTGTTCTGGGCTCTCAGATTTGATGGCCTGAGGGTTTGGAATGCTGTCACTTTAAACAATAATCGCCAGAACTGTTCTGTGTCTGAATAGGTTAATCCATACACTGACAGTAGTTTGGGTTGGTTTGTTTTTTTTTTTTAGACAGAGTCTTGCTCTGTCTCCCAGGCTGGAGTGCAATGGGCGATCTCAGCTCAGTGCAACCTCCGCTTCCCAAGTTCAAGTGATTCTCCTGCCTCAGCCTCCCAAGTAGCTGTGACTACAGGCGCATGCCACCACACCCGGCTAATTTGTGTATTTTTAGAAGAGACGGGGTTTCACCATATTGGCCAGGCTGGTCTCAAACTCCTGACCTTGTGATACGGACACCTCAGCCTCCCAAAATGCTGGGATTACAGGCGTGAGCCACCGTGCCCAGCCAGTTTTGGGTTTTTTCCCTCCAACAAGAAGGTTCACAAGACACATTGACAGTCCTGAAGGGGGCATAATCATTGCCCCTGACACCCATGGTTCAGACACAGGAACCAATGCTGTTGATTCATGTTTATTTTCAGAAGCCCTGTTTTCTGTCTTTTTCAAAATCTTTTTTCTATTAATATATAGTTATGCACCCTTCCTAACCCCCATTCTTCAGTGGTAATTTTTTTAGATCAAGATTCCAAGTTTTATTTGTATGATGATATATAAACTAGTCACAGTGGAACCATGTAGGAAGCTATGATTACTTTTTGTTTTCTTTGTAACTTTTGGATTTCCCTGGAGTTACAACTATCTTGGTTTTGTTTATGTGCTTATTTAGTTTTTTACATATTTATTCCTACTTTAACCTCACATCCTTTACTAGTGTTCTCAATCTCCCCTCAAGATGTTCAGATGAACGAAGTATGTTATCAGTTTCACCTTCCTGAAGACATCTCTAGAGCCTTCGGACTTGCTTAATATGGACTGGCTGATCTCTCGGCTGTTTGCTGAGATCTCTCTTAACCATTATTATCTGGGAATTCTCTGTATCTTTGTTGGGTCCTATGTTTAGTATATCCTACAGTTTTCTTTTTCTCAGTTTACTACCTCTTTTTTTTTTTTTTGAGACAGTCTGTCACCCAGGCTGATGTGCAATAGCATGATCAAAGCTCACTGTAGCTTTGACCTCCTAGGCTCAGATGATCCTCCCACCTCAGCCTCCCAAGTGAGTATCTGGGACTGCAGGCACACAATACCACAGCTGGCTAGTTTTTTGTATTTTTTGTAGAGACAAGGTCTCACTATGTTGCCTAGGCTGGACTCGAAGTCTGGAGCTCAAGAGGTCCACCTGCCTTGGCTTCCCAAAGTGCCAGGATTACAGGCATGAGCCACCGCACCCGGCCCATGTAAAATTTTTTTTTTTTTTTTCGAGACAAGGTCTTGCTCTGTCACCCAGGCTGGAGTGCAGTGGCACAATCATAGGTCACTGCTCCCTCAACCTCCCAGGCTCAAGAGATCCTCTTGTCTCAGCCTCCTGAGTAACTGGTACCACAGGTGTGCACCACCATGCCCAGCTAGTTTTTGTATTGTTTGTAGAGACGGGGTTTCACTGTGTTGCCCAGGCTTACTACCTTATATTATGGCACACAGACTCTGCCAGCTTCCTGAAGAAGGGGGCATGAGATGTACCTTTTGAGGCTTTCTTTTCTATTTTTTGAGACCGGGTCTCACTCTGTTCCCCAGGCTAGAGTACAGTTGCGCAATCACACCTCATGCCCAGCTGATTATTTTATTTTCTGTAGAGACGGGTCTTCCTTTGTTGCCCAGGCTACTCTGGAACTCCTGGGCTCAGGCGATCCTTCTGCCTTGGCCTCCCAAAGTGCTGGGATTATAGTTGTGAGCCCCCACACCGGCCCCTGTTTGAGGCTTATGTCTGAAAAAGTTGTGGGGTTTTTTTGTTTTTTTGGGTTTTTTTTGAGACGGAGTTTCGCTCTTGTTGCCCAGGCTGGAGTGCAATGGTGCAATCTCTGCTCACCGCACCCTCTGCCTCCTGGGTTCAAGGGATTCTCCTGCCTCAGTCTCTCGAGTAGCTGGGATTACAGGCATGCGCCACCATGCCCGGCTAATAGTTTTTCTATTTTTAGTAGAGATACTAAATGTTAGTCAGGCTGACCATCGCGCCCGGCTGAAAAAGTTCTTTTTCTGCCCTTACACTTAAGTGATTGTTTGTCTAGGTATTGAATTATTTGTTGGAAATAATATTTCTTCAGACATCTGAAAACATTTTTCCACTACATCTTAGCTTCTAGTGTTACTCCTGATTTTTGTATGTGACCTTTTTTTTCTCTGGAAGTTTGAATTATGTTTTCTTCATAACCAGTGTTCTGAATCTTCTGATAAAGTTTTTTTTTTTTCACTTCACAGTGTGGGCACACAGTGGGCCCTTTCAAGCTAGAAATTCATGTCCTTCAGCTGTGGGGAATTTTGAATTATTTGATTGATGAATTCCCTCCATCTGTTTTCTCTGTTCTTTCCGGTATTTCTGTAATTAAGTTACTGGATGTCCTCTGTTGTCCTTCTGGTTGACTTACTGTGGCTTCTGTGTTGCTTTTATATTTTCTCTACTTCCTGGGAACTTTCTTGAACTTTATCTTCCAGATTTTCTGTTGAATTTCTGCTGTCTTTTTTTTTTTTTTTTTTTTTTAAGAGACAGGGTCTTGCCGGCCACAGTGGCTCATGCCTGTAATCCCAGCACTTTGGGAGGCCAAGGTGGGCAGATCATCTGAAGTCGGGAGTTCGAGACCAGCCTGATCAACATGGAGAAACCCCGTCTCTACTAAAAAAATTAGCTGGGCGTGGTGGTGCATGCCTGTAATCCCAGCTACTCTGTAGGCTGAGGCAGGAGAATTGCTTGAACCCGGGAAGTGGAGGTTGCGGTAAGCCGAGATTGCGTCATTGTACTCCAGCCTGGGCAACAAGAGCGAAACTCCGTCTCAAAAAAAAAAAAAAGAGAGACGGGGTCTTACTGTGTTGCCCAGGCTGGCCTCAGACTCCTGGTTTCAAGCAATCTTCCTGCCTCAGCTTCCCAAGTAACTGAAACTACAGAGACATACCATGTATTTTTAATTTATAACTTTTTTTCAGAAGATTCCCTTTTTCTTCTTATTATGCCTTCTGCCTGTTTTTGTGCCTGTTTTATGATTGCATTAACTTTTTTCTGATGATAAAATATTAGTAATAGATGTTTAAAATTTTCTCCTTTCTGCAGTTTTTCCTCTAACTTTCTTCTGTTTGTTTTATTCTATTTCCTTTTTCCTTTGTTGTCTGGTAACCCTTGGCTGTCTAGTCATATTTCAGAGTGGAAGACTAAAAAGTATATTGGAAGCTCTGGGTGGTAGAGGGGCTTACGGAATATGAACGTCACTATAGTTGTTCTCAGTAGGCTATTTAGTTGGGGAAACCATTTCAGTGTCATTCCCACTTCTCTTGGGGTATACCTAGGGAAGACTTCCAGTCTCCTGGCTGAAGTGTGAAGGCCTGATTGCTTGTGTTATGGGAGCCATGTTAGGGAAGAGAGCAGGAGATCCTGTTTTCAGTGTGACACCCTGACTTTCACTGTACCTAGTATTTTTCCCTAGTCCAAATAGCCTGTGTTTGAACCTCTCCAGAAAATAAACCTAGTCTCTTGCCAGAATGAGGGAAAGGCAGTCACCTAAAGCTGTGGAGGGAACTGGGGTCCCACTACTTCTCAAACGTACTCGAAAAGAGTCTTATTTTCATATCCCTGTTTCACCCCTAATGAAGCTATTTGGTGCCACCAATTCGTTAGGGTTTGGGGAAGGGGAGAGGTGGATTTTGGAGTGTAACTCAGGCTGGTGCTTGACTCTCCCCATTGCTGGCCTAGGATTCAGTTTTCTTAGGTCTTATAAATCATTTTCCACTCTTCTATCAGCTTCCAATGTATCATGGCTGTTGTTTCTCCCTGTCTTTCTCATCCTTTGGAATTCATACTTTTAAAAACAAATCTGGCCGGGCACGGTGGCTCATGTCTATAATCCCAGCACTTTGGGAGGCCAAGGCCAGTGGATCACTTGAGGTGAGGAGTTCAAGACCAGCATGGCCAGCATGGTGAAACCCCATCTCTACTAAACATACCAAAAAAAATTAGCTGGGCATGGTAGTGCATGCCTGTAGTCCCAGCTACCTGGGAGGCTGAGGCAAGAGAATGGTTTAAACCCGGGAGGCGGAGGTTGCAGTGAGCTGAGATTGCACCATTGCACTCCAGCCTGGGTGACAGGACAAGACTCCGTCTCAAAAAAAGAAAAAGGAAATCCTTTTATTATGGTTTTAGTGGGGTTTGGGGAAGGAGTAAAACCAGATGCATAGGTTCAGTTGACCATCACACACGGAAGTGTTTTTAGTTACAGTGTTTTTTAAGATTTTTATGTCAATGGTCACTGCTTAATATGATTAACTTTTTTTTTCCATTCTCATTTTACAGTTCCTGATGAATATCTGTTATCGTAAGTACATATACTGTTGTATTTGATTTTTTTTTAACCATTAATGTTAAAATCCTTTCAACATCAACTCTTGATTTTTAAAAATACTCTTGACCGGGCGCAGTGGCTCACGCCTATAATCCCAGCACTTTGGGAGGCCAAGGTGAGTGGATCATGAAGTCAGGAGATCAAGACCATCCTGGCCAACATGGTGAAACCCCATCTCTACTGAAAATACAAAAAATTAGCTGGACGTGGTGGTGGGCACCTGTAGTCCCAGCTACTCAGGAGGCTAAGGCAGGAGAATCACTTGAACCTGGGAGGTGGAGGTTGCAGTGAGCCAAGATCATGCCACTGCACTTCAGCCTGGGGACAGAGTGAGACTCTGTCTCAAAAATAAATAAATAAATAAATAAATAAATAAATAAAATAAAAAATAAAAATATTCTTACTACCAGGCACTGTGACTCACACATGTAATCTCAGCACTTTGGGAGGCAAAGGCAGGAGGATTGCTTGAGCCCAGGAGTTCGAGACCAGCTCTAGCAAAATAGGGAGACCCCCCATCTCTACGAAAATAATTTTAAAAATAGAATAAAAGGCCAGGCACCGTGGCTCACACCTGCAATCCCAGCACTTTGAGAGACTGAGGTGGGTGGATCACTTGAGGTCAGGAGTTCAAGACCAGCCTGACCAACATGGTGAAACCCTGTCTCTACTAAAAATACAAAAGTAGTGGGATGTGGTGGCACACACCTGTAATCTCAGCTACTTGGGAGGCTAAGGCAGGAGAATTGCTTGAACCCGGGAGGTTGTGGTTGCATATCTCGCTGCGATTGTGCCATTGCACTCCAGCCTAAGTAACGAGCAAAATTCCATCTCAAAAAAAATAAAAAATAAAAAATACTCTTAGAAACTAGGAATAATATTTTCTTGACATGATTCTTAAAAATTTGTCTCAATTGAATAGCCAACACCATATCCAGTATTGTCATATTTGCCACTCTTATTTAACATTGTTTTAAAAATTGTGGCTGTTGGCCGGGCGCAATGGCTCACGCCTGTAATCGCAGCATTTTGGGAGGCCGAGACGGGCGAATCACCTGAGGTCAGGAATACAAGACCAGCCTGACCAACATGGAGAAACCCTGTCACTATTAAAAATACAAAATTAGCCAAGCATGGTGGTGCATTCCTGTAATCCCAGCTATTCGGGAGGCTGAGTCAGGAGAATTGCTTGAACCTGGGAGGCAGAGGTTGCTGTGAGCCAAGATCATGCCATTGCACTCCAGCCTGGGCAATAAAAGCGAAACTCTATCTCAAAAAAAAAAAAAAAAAGCGTAGCTGTTCAACTAACACATGAAAAAGAAATTACAAATGTACCTATCTGCAAGGAAAGACAATTATCATTATTTGCAGTTGATACAACTACTTAAATGAGAATAATATAGAGTGGTCAGTTATTTTAAAAATGCAGAGACCAAAAAAGTAAAAGCTACCTAGGTATAAGTAATACTTAATTACTGATACACACTTACATTTAAAAATCCTGGCCAGGTGCGGTGGCTCACGCCTGTAATCCCAACGCTTTGGGAGGCTGAGGCGGGTGGATCACCTGAGGTCAGGAGTTCGAGACCAGCCTGACCAACATGGTGAAACCCCGTCTCTACTAAAAATACAAAAATTAGCCGGGCATGGTGGCAGGCACCTGTAATCCCAGCTATTCGGGGGGCTGAGGCAGGAGAATCGCTTGAACCCAGGAGACAGAGGTTGCAGTGAGCTGAGATCATGCCATTGCACTCCAGCCTGGGTGACAGAGGCAAGACTCTGTCTCAAAAAAAAAACAAAACAAAACAAAACAAACAAAAAAAAACAAAACCTGTCCCAGGAGGACTGTTTGAGCCCTGAAGTTCCAGGCTGCAGTGAGCTATGATTGTGCCACTACACTCCAGCCTGGGTGATGTGAGACCTTGTCTCTAAAAAAATAAAAGTTCTGAAGAATATATACCAAGCTCTACCAGTGTTTTTTCTTTGGGGCAAGGAAGGAGGTAGAATTGAGGGAACGGCCTTAACCTTTACTGTATTTCTTAAATTTTTAATAAGAATTAAATATTACTGGAAAAAAATGTACTACTTTAAAAACAAAAGGGCAAAGAATAAAAGATGTAAATAGCCGAATCCTTTGGGAGGAAAAAGACAAATCTTACTAGTGACCACAAAAATACAAATTAACATAACATAACTTTTCATCTAGAAAATTAGTGACCACAGAAAAGAAGTTGACACAAATATGGGGAAAGGGGTCATTTATAACAGGAATGTAAATTGCAGGGTAACAGGCAATAGGAACTTTAAAACATACATATTCTTTGACCCAGAAATTCCACATAAAAGAACATATACCCAGGAAGTAATTATAGATGTTTGTAAAGATTTTACAGTGAGGATATTCTCAGTGTGATGAATATCCAGTATTGTTTATGGTAGCAATAAAACATAGAAACAATCTAACAATTCATGGAGTTTGAGGAGAATAAAAATGATTCATCTTTACAGTAGAATTATTTGTAACCATTAAAAGTGATATGGAAAAATTTTTAATGCATTCAAGAGATGTTCACAGTAGGTATTAAAGTGGACAGAGCAGGTTAAAAAAATTCTTTTTTTTTTCAGACAGTGTCTCACTCTGTCACTGAGGCTGGAGTACAGTGGCGCGATCTCAACTCACTGCAGCCTCTGCCTCCCAGGTTCCAGTGATTCTCCTGCCTCAGCCTCCTGAGTAGCTGGGACTACAGGTGGCACACACCGAGGCAGGTGGATGATGAGGTCAGGAGTTCCGCCTGCCTTGGCCTCCCAAGGTGCTGGGATTACAGGCATGAGCCACCACACCTGGCCTTAAAAAAATTCTTAAAGGTAACTGTTGAGATTGATTGGTAAGGTTCCCGACAAATTTTATTTCATTGTTTTTTGTATTTTGTTATTTTATAGACTAAATCTTCATATGTTTAATATAAAAATTCAAAGCACTCTTTTCTATTTCCCCCAATAATTTGTTGTATATGTGGCTGGTTTGTTGGAAAATGAAGTAAGAAGTTGAACATTTTAATTTTGAAGCCTTACTAGGTTTGTCTTACTCTGTGTTAAGTCATATAAGTTCTTTAAAACATTAACTTTTCAGTTTGAGTTTAACCCTGCCATTTTATTTTCTAGTTTATAAAAATAACCCACACTTAGGCCGGGTGTGGTAGCTCATGCCTGTAATCCCAGCACCTTGGGAGGTGGGATGCGCCTGTAATCCCAGCTACTCGGGAGGCTAAAGCAGGAGAATCACTTGAATCTGGGAGGTGGAGGTTGCAGTGAGCAGAGGTCGTGCCACTGCACTCCAACCTGGGCAACACAGTGAGACTCCAACTCAGTAATAATAATAATAATAATAATAACCCACACTTATAAAAAACTTTTATTGGAAAATAAAACCTATAAAAAGCATCAATAATCATACCACCCAGTAATAATCACTCTTAAATTTTGGTTTATTGCTTTTTTTTTTTTTTTTTTGAGACAGAGTTTCGCTCTGTCACCCAGGCTAGAGTGCAGTGGCGCGATCCCGGCTCACTGCAAGCTCCGCCTCCCGGGTTCACACCATTCTCCTGCCTCGGTCTCCCAAGTAGCTGGGACTACAGGTGCCTGCTACCGTGCCCAGCTAATTTTTTGTATTTTTAGTAGAGACGGGGTTTCACCGTGTTAGCCAGGATGGTCTCGATCTGCTGACCTCGTGAGCCACCTTCCTCGGCCTCCCAAAGTGCTGGGATTACAGGTGTGAGCCACCGCGCCTGGCCGGTTTATTGCCTTTTCAAAAAATTAAATTTTGGCCAGGCATGGTGGATCACGCCTGTAATATGAGGATCGCTTGGGGCTGGGAGTTTGAGACCAGCTTAGGCAGCACAGGGAGACCCTGTCTCCACAAAATCAAAAAATTAACTGGATGTGGTGGTATATACCTGTAGTCCCGGCTGCTAGGGAGGCTGAGGTGGTGGGAGGATCACTTGAGCCCAGGGGGTTCAGGCTGCAGTGAGCCATGATTGCACCACTGGAATCCAGCCTGCCTGGGTGACAGAGAGAGACTTTGTCTCAAAAAACAAAAAACAAACAAACAAAAAGGCCAGACACGCTGGCTCACACCTGTAACCCCAGCACTTTGAGAGGCCAAGGCGGGGGGATCACCTCAGGTCAGGAGTTCAAGACCACCCTGACCAACATGGCAAAAGCCCATCTCTACTAAAAAATACAAAAATTACCTGGGCATGGTGGCCTGCACCTATAATCCCAGCTACTCAGGAGGCTGGGCCGGAGAATCTCTTGAACCCCGGAGGCAGAAGTTGCAGTGAGCCGAGATTGTGCCACTGCTCTCCAGCCTGGACACCAGAGTGAGACTCCATCTCAAAAAAAAAAAAAATTAAACTTTTAATTTTGACATAATTGTAGGTTTCCTTTAAAAAAGTTAACATGCTTGAGAGTTCCTAAAATATAATTTTGTCTTCAACCTTTCTCACCTAATATTATAAGAATTTTCTCACATATCAAAGTTTTTTCCTGTATATCATTTAACAGTTGGATAGCCTTATTACTAATCCAAAAAGTACACATTTATTATCTTCAGATGGGCAACATAAAAAAGCCTGATAATACTGGTGTTAGTGGGGACATGGAGAAAGTAGAAGTTGGTTTTTCTGTTTGTTTGTTTCATTTATTTTTTTTTTGAGACGGAGTCTCCCTGTTACCTGGGCCAGAGTGTAGTGGCGCGATCTTGGCTCACCGCAACCTCCACCTCCCGGATTCAAGCGATTCTCCTGCCTCAGCCTCCTGAGTAGCTGGGACTACAGGCGTGTGCCACCACGCCCGGCTAATTTTTTGTATTTTTAGTAGAGACGGGGTTTCACCATGTTAGCCAGGATGGTCTCGATCTCCTGACCTCTGGTGATCTGCCTGCCTCGGCCTCCCAAAGTGCTAGGATTACAGGTATGAGCCACCGCGCCCGGCCTGAGAAAATAGAAGTCTTATACAGTGCTGGTGGGAGTGCTGTTTTCACTTTTTTGTGTGTTTTAGTTTTTTTTTTTCTTTTTTCTTTAGAGATGGGGTGTCACTACATTGCTCAGGCTGGTCTTGAACTCCTGGACTCAAGTGATCCTCTTGCCTCAGCCTTCCAAAATGCTGGGATTACAGGCATGAGCCACCACTCCTGTTTCCACTTTGGAGAGCTATTGGCAATATCTATTAAAGTTGAAAATGAACATATGCTTTAGTTACATAAACTAAAGGGGGATTTTCAGAGATGTATGCCAAGGGACATGTATGGGGATAATTGAATATTATTTATAATAGTATAAAATGGAAACAATGTCCATACATAGAGTACTTAAATAAAATTCAGTGTATACATATAATGGAATATTATTCAAAGGTAAAGTAAAAATAAATGTCCGTCAACATGCCTCATTTTCAAAAATGCATTGAGTAAAAAAATGCAAGTTGCCAAAAGAAGTCTACGATATTTTATATTTTCTTTTATTTTTCATGAGCTATTTCAGGAACAGCAAAAAGAAGCCTACAATATACCTTTTATGTTTTAAAACAATACTATATATGTATATGCATACATCTATGCACGTGTGTTTGTTATGTATGTGTGCATACATATGTTCTATATATAATATTTAATATGAACACATTAACAGGAAGGAAACCAACAAATGCATGTGCTTGCCTCAGGGATAAGGGGAAGGTAGGAAGAAGGATGCACTACAGAGAAGTATAAAGAGGGCTTCTTTATCACTAACAGTTTACTCCCTTTATTAAAAATATAATACAGGCCAGGCGCAGTGGCTCACACCTGTAATCCCAGCACTTTGGGAGGCCGAGGCAGGTGGATCACCTGAGGTCTGGAGTTTGAGAGCAGCCTGACCAACATGGAGAAACCCTGTTTCTACTAAAAATACAAAATTAGCCGGGTGTGGTGGCACATGCCTGCAATCCCAGCTACTTGGGAGGCTGAGGCAGGAGAATCGCTTGAACTCGGGAGGCAGAGGTTACGGTGAGCCAAGATTGCGCCATTGCACTCCAGCCTGGGCAGCAAAAGAAAAACTCCATCTCAAAAAATAATAATAATAATAAATAAATATATATACACACACACATATATACATAATACAAGAAGATCTGAAATAAGTACACAAGATATTAACATTAATTCTGGGGAGTGAATGGGTCCATGGGTTTTGCTGTATTATTTTCCTTTTTTCAAAATTAAAATGAATTTTTAAAAAATACTAAGTCTAGTGATCCTTTGGGCAAGTTACTGAGGTGACTTTGAGAATCAGGCCTTCTAATCTGAAGTGTTTTTATTTCACAGGCTGAAGTTTCTCTTTGGCTCATCAGCCACCCAGGCCTTGGACCTAGTTGATCGACAGTCCATCACCTTAATCTCATCACCCAGTGGAAGGCGTGTTTACCAGGTAGAAGTCTAGAGATGGGGGTGATCCCTACAGAAACCCCTTAGGACAAAATGTTCTTCATCTCTGTAGAAGCTGTTGACTAGCTTTAAATATTTCCTGGACTGTTAAAAGGCTTTTGCCCCAACTTGGTAAAATTAACGAATTGATAATTTTTTAAAATTTTTATTTACTTTTAACTGACAGAAACTGTCTATATTCATGGTATATAACATGATGTTTTGATATATGGATACCTTGTAGAATAACTAAATCAAGCTAATTAACATATCTAATACCTTATATACTTCTTTTTTTGTGGTGAGATCACTTAAAATCCATTATCTTAGCAATCTTCAAATATACAGTACTTCAGTCTTTTTCTTGGTTTTTATAGAGACAGGGTCTCACTATGTTGCCCAGGCTGGTCTCAAACTCCTAGGTTCAAGCGATCCTCCCACCTTGGCCTCTCACAATATTGGGATTACAGGTATGAGCACCATCCCCGCCAATACTTTGTTATTAAATATATTCACCATGTTGTACCATAGATACCCTGAACTTATTTCTCCTAACTGAAATTTTGTACCCTTTGACCAATATCTCCTTATCTTCCTCTTCCTCCCCCACCCCAAGGCCCCTGGTAACCACTATTTCTTTTTCTATGAGTTCAACTTTTTTTTTTGTTTTAAATAAAGACAGGGTCTTGCTATGTTGCCCAAGCTGGTCTTGAACTCCTGGCCTCAAGCAGTCCTCCCCCTTCAGCCTCCCAAAGTGCTAGGATTACAGGCATGAGCCATTGCACCCAGCCTATGAGTTCAACTTTTTTTAGATTCCACATATAAGTGAGATCATGTGGTATTTGTCATTCTGTACCTGGCTTATTTCACTTAGCATAGTTTCACTTAACAAAATCCTCCAGAAATTTTTGTAACTAAAATAAGATGGCCAGGCGTGGTGGCTCACGCCTGTAATCCCAGCACTTTGGGAGGCCGAGGCAGGTGGATCACCTGAGGTCAGGAGTTCAAGACCAGCCTGGCCAACGTGGTGAAACCCCGTGTCTACTAAAAATACAAAAATTAGCTGGGTGTGGTGGCAGGTGCCTGTAATTCCAGCTACTCGGGAGGTTGAGGCAGAAGAATTGCTTGAACCCAGGAGAAGGAGGTTGCAGTGAGCGGAGATCGCACCATTGCACTCCAGCCTGAGTGACGAGCAGAACTCTGTCTCAAAACAAACAAACAAACAAAAACACAAAAAAAAACTTGGATGGTATTGTCCTACTCAAAAGAGACTGCCAATTATTAGATGAATTTTCTCATGGAGAACTTAGGAATAATCAAAGTCACTGAACTTGCAGTTTGTACCTGAGGAGGTGTGTCTGTCCTCTTTCCTGGTGTTTTTATTTTTGGTTTTTAGGTAGCTAAAATACCCGAAACTAGAGGGACCTTCAAGTTTTTCCCATTGCTTTTAGTTTGGGATATTTGGTCTTGATTCCATTATGGGCACAATACTTGACCTGGCAAGTAGACTTTTGTTTGAAATAGTTTAATTACTGTTGACTTTTTGTTCCTCCCATTGGTCAACAGTAACTTAAGTCACTGGTTTAGTTTTTGTCGTTCACATCTGGTATATATTACATTGCTTTATTAATTATAAAATACTAACTTCCAAGAATTGTGGCTGTCATCTTGGACTTTGAATTAAATGAGGCTGTAGAAATCTTATACACCCTCAAATTAACCTTAATGGTTGCATTGTATGGTAATATAGTAAGAATTTGGCTGAATTCAGGAGTTGTATGAGATGATAAAAGTTGAGTCACATACTGCCTTAGTGCCCAGCTAGTTATCTTTTCATAGGTCATTCTTCATCCCATAGGTCAACTCTAATATTATTGTTCTCCAGATGTAATGTGAAATAATTCTAAAGTCATTGTTATGTTGCTGACACCTGAGTTGTTTTCTATAATTTTTTTTTTTTTTTTTTAAGGCAGAGTCTCGCTCTGTTGCCCAGGCTGGAGTGCATTGGCATGATCTTAGCTCACTGCAACCTCTGCCTCCTGGGTTCAAGTGATTCTTCTGCCTCAGCCTCCTGAGTAGCTGGGATTACAGGTGTGTACCACCACGCCTGGCTAGTTTTTGTATTTTTAGTAGAGATGGGGTTTCACCATGTTGTCCAGGCTGGTCTCAAACTCCTGACCTCAGGTGATCCACCACCTTTGCTTTCCAAAGTGCTGGGATTACAGGCGTGAGCCTGCACTCCTGGCCACTTTTTATACTTTTTTGATTCACTTAATAAGGAGGATGTTTCAGTCAGGAGAGGCTAAGTTATGCTGTGGTATCAATGACCCCAAATCTGAAAGGCTTACAAAAACAAAGTTTTAGATCTCATTCATGCTGTGTATCCACCAGGAGCCAGCTGTAGCTCTGTTCCAAAACAGCTTCATGCAGGGATCCCAGTGGGCAAAGCAGCCCATATCTGGAACACTGTGAATCTCAAAGAGAAAAAGGAAAACATGGTACACAATTTTTAACATTTTTCGCTTGGCTACTCAGATTTTACTAAAGCAGGTCACATGGCCAGCCTGTATTTAACAGGCCAGGAATGTATAATCCTGTTTTCAGAGAGAAGCACCAAACACAAGGAACAATAACAAAGACACTGTGGAGTGTCCTAAGAGGCTTGGAGCGGTCATAAAATAAAACTGTACCCATGAATGGATGACCATGTAGATGGGTCACCTCTCCTTGCGACCTAACTGAAACCACAGTAGAACCACAGTAGAAACCACCTCCAAGTGAGGTTCCTACAAGTTCTGTCAGCCATGGTCTGAGTATCCTCTTTCCAGCATGTTCCTTTTTTAAAAAGCTCTCTCCTTCTGGGGATAAACATTCCAGACTATAAGCGGGAAAACTAGGAGCAATTCCTGTAAGAGGAAGTTGTTTTTTCACTGAAGGGTGAAGGAATTGAATTATGTTATCCTTAAGGTCAATTTCCAGTTCTAAATGTTTCTAACTCAGATTTTGCCTGATTGTTGGGTTCATTAGTTGTCCACTGCTAGATAAGCGAAAAGCAAATTCGAAATTTAACCTCTTTTGGTGTTTATTGCTTTAGGCAGTTGAACATTTTGAGTCTTAGCCCTTGAAAGGCTCAGGCAAGGAAACTCTGTAGAATTTCTCCCCATCTCAAGTCACCAGCTGTTTATTCAGCATGATCCAGGGAGGATTATGATGGACGGGGACTCGCAATAAGAAGGAAGCAGTGAATTATTCTAGTCAGTACAGAATCCCAGAGGCTTCTGCTTGCTTAAGTTTAAATCTAGAGAGAAGAGACGAGATAACTAAAGGGAGAAGAAACCTAAAGTTGTATTCATTGGTAATAGTTTAGACACCCAAGAATTATAGGCCGGGAGTGGTGGTTCATGCTTGGAATCCTAGCAGTTTGGGAGGCTGAGGCGGGTGGATCACCTCAGGTCAGGAGTTCAAGACCAGCCTGGCCAACATGGCAAAACCCCATCTCTACTAAAAATACAAAAGTTAGCCAGGCATGGTGGCACATGCCTGTAATCCCAGCTAATCAGGCGGCTGAGGCAGGAGAATGGCTTGAACCCAGGAGGTGGAGGTTGCAGTGAGCCAAGATTGCATCATTGCACTCCAGCCTGGGCAACAAAATGAAACTCTGTCTCAAAAAAAAGAATTATACATGTCACTGCTGGATGTTGTGGGTTTTTTCTTTAGGATTAAGTAGAAAACAATCTGCTTTAATGCTCTTCCTTCAGTGTAAGCTTCCACACATGCTGGGGAAATCTCTCCATTGATACTGAATGGTCTCGGTGATATGTTCATAACACATCAGAGCCTTGCAGTAGGTAATATGCAAGGTGTGCTTTTTCAACACCTAATTTGTAACTGGGTGGAAATCTTTTTTTTTTTTTTTTTTTTTTTTGAGACAGAGTCTTGCCCTGTCACCCAGGCTGGAGTACAGTGATGCAGTCTTGGCCCACTGCCACCTCTGTCTCCCGGGTTCAAGTGATTCTCCTGCCTCAGCCTCCTGAGTAGCTGGGATTACAGGCACCCGCCACCACACCTGGCTAATTTTTGTATTTTTAGTAGAGATGGGGTTTCACCATATTGACCAGGCTGGTCTTGAACTCCTGACCTCATGATCCACCCGCCTCAGCCTCCCAAAGTGCTGGGATTACAGACGTGAGCCACTATGCCCGGCCTGAACTGAAATCTTGAATGTGTTCAGTAGGCATCTTCTTACCCAATCATTGGCTATTTCTGGTAACCTAAAATCTCCCGAGGAATTCTGACTGCGTCAAAAAACCATACTGAGGCTGGGTGTGGTAGCTCATGCCTGTAATCCCAGTGCTTTGGGAGGCCAAGGTGGGAGGATCACTTAAGCCCAGCAGTTAAAGACCAGCCTGGACAACATAGCAAGACCCCATCTCTACAAAAAAAATTTTAAAATTAGCATAGGGTGGTGGCGCACACCAGTACTCCTACCTCCTCAGGAGACTGAAGTGGGAGGATCACTTTAGCCGAGGGATTCAAGACTGCAATGAGCTATGATCTGCCACTGTACTCCAGCCTGGATGACAGAACAACATCCTGTCTCCAAAAAACAAAAATTAAAAAAAAATGTTAATAAAAGCTGTACTGGGATAACTGCATTATATGAACCACTGAAAATGTGACAAAAGCACAGCAGTGGAACCTGCTGTTTGTTCTTGCAGTCAAACCATACCTGTAGCTTTATTCTCTGTGGGTAAGAAAGATTAAAGAATCCTAGGAGTGCTAACATTGTAATTCAAAAAAAATTTAAAAGTCCTTGCTTTTTCATTTAGATTGCCATCTGAGAGCCTAAAAGTGCTTTGAAGGCTGTGTGGCAAATTCCTAAGTGGCAGTTCATTATAAAATCACCCTCAGGACATTTCTGCTTCCCTCAGATACTAATAATAATCTTACGCCTCCAGGTGGGAAGTTAACTCTAGGAATGAAGACCTCAACAAAAAGTTTTTGGCTGCTTGGTGGTAGAGAGACTTAAACAAAGGATTTCTCCAGCAAATTTGTGCGATCATACTACAGATGTGTCTTGTTTCTCCTGTACCTCTCCTTTTTGTCCCTCTTGACCACCACCAAGACTGTTAGACTGTGCCTCTTATCAACCCACTATGTATCAGTGTCCTCCTTCCATCCTGCTAGATGAGTAGGCAGATCTGGGCCTGCCTCTTTTCCTGAGACCTCCATCCTGAACAGCTGAGTCATTCCTTTCGCAAGGGTCTTTGCTTTATTTATTCTCTCTGCTCTCAAATGCTTTTCAAAAGCCTCTTCCCAGTTTCTTCTTTTGTTCTTCTGTGACCTATCTTTATTTTAGAGATGGGATCTTTGTCACCCAGGCTGCAGTGCAGTGGTGCAGTCACAGCTCACTGCAGCCTTGACCTCCCAGGCTCAAGCAGTCCTCCCTTCTCAGCCTCCTGAGTAGCTGGGACTACTGGCATGTGCCACCATACCTGACTTTAAAAAAATTTTTTTTTCTATAGAAACGAGGTCTCACCATGTTGCCCATGCTGGTCTTGAACTCTGGGGGGGGTCAAGTGATCCTCCCACCTCGACCTCCCAAAGTGCTGGGATTACAGGCTTTGAGCCACCACACCCGGCCTGAGACTTATCTTACTCCTGCCCTGCTACTGACCCTTTGCCTGTTTTTACTCTCTCTTTAGGTATGTAGGAAGCTTTAGAAATTTATACACCTGCTGTGAAATACCAAAGGTTAAGAACCCCCACAATAAAATGTAGATGAGAGATTCCCCCCCCCCACTTCCTTCTTATTACAGTCAGCCCATAGAGTGGGCCCCATGAATCACTAGGCGTAGGAACAGAATGGTTTATGTGGTTGGTTGAACTAATCTGAAACTCTTCAGTTCCTTTATATGCTGTCCTAAAGGTGAGCACTGAGAGGTGAGGAAGGGAGAGTCTGTACACTGGAGGAAGAGAAGTTGTTTCCTCTTTTATGTAAAACATTACTGCAGTTCTTCTCGGTGCAATTTGCAGAGCAACTCTGAGTCTACATAAATAAAAAGGGAAAGAGGTGGTTTTTCCAGCACATCTGAGGTCTGATCCCATCTATCCTTTCTTTGTAGGTCCTTGGAAGTTCCAGTAAAACATACACATGTTTGGCTTCTTGTCATTACTGTTCATGTCCTGCATTTGCATTCTCAGTGCTACGGAAGAGTGACAGCATCCTGGTGAGGATGGGGAAGACTCTTCCCACTGTAGTTGAATGTAGAGAGAAATTGCCCTTACTTTGTGGTTTAACTATTCTACAAAATGGGAATCTTATTATATGTTGAAACAAATGGTAGTTTTTTGTCTTTGTCTTCAGTTAGTCACCTCTTAGGGGTTTAGCCTCTCAAAATGCAATGTCATTTTTAGAACTGCATCAATTTCCTGAATTTTTATGTAAAAGATCATGAGTGAAGCTTTGAGAAGGAAAAAAAGGGAATCCCAGAAGTGGGCACTGGGGAATTAGATGGCCCCATAAAAATATGAACTAAATTCGATGTTGACAACTTTGCATATCCTACTTTCAGCCATGTGGTATATCTTTGCACTACCTGTGAGACAGCCTGACACCACACTTGACCTTCACATGGGGCATGAGTACCTTCACCTATTCCTTTAAGCCTTTG
The DNA here is from genome assembly GCF_000001405.40 of Homo sapiens. Classification (NCBI taxonomy): domain Eukaryota; kingdom Metazoa; phylum Chordata; class Mammalia; order Primates; family Hominidae; genus Homo; species Homo sapiens. The sequence goes on along the minus strand of NC_000017.11, from coordinate 15,980,595 downwards.
CCAATTTCATCAGAGTCCAGACCATGAAGCAGAAACAGGACATACTCACACACACCTTATTCCAAAGGAAAAAACACTACCTTCCTGAAAGCAGGCAGCTGTTTTCTAAGTCTTGCGAAAGAAGAAAATAATGATGTCCACTCCATTCTTTCCCTTTCTTTTACACTGTTAACTTCTTAAACATCTTGGGACCTGGCTGGCAAGTTGGGTATAGCATTGTCCAAGAGGCCACATTCGTAACTGATGTGCCCTAAGTGTATCTCAACTGCAAGAGACAGGATTGAACCAAAACCCCTTCAAGATCTAAAGCTGTGTTCTCTGACATCAGATTCAACGCAATCATCTCCCCAGAGGTGTGTACAGGCCAATATATGCAAGAGTTTTGCCACTACTCCCCGCCCCCCAACCCCAGAAGTATAACACAGTAGTTAAGAGAGTAGCCTAGACCAGCCGCCTCGTCCGGGAGGTGAGGGGCGCCTCTGCCCGGCCGCCCCTACTGGGAAGTGAGGAGCCCCTCTGCCCGGCCAGCCGCCCCGTCCGGGAGGGAGGTGGGGGGGTCAGCCCCCCGCCCGGCCAGCCGCCTCGTCCGGGAGATGAGGGGCACCTCTGCCCGGCTGCCCCTACTGGGAAGTGAGGAGCCCCTCTGCCCGGCCAGCCGCCCCGTCCGGGAGGGAGGTGGGGGGTTCAGCCCCCCGTCCGGGAGGGAGGTGGGGGGGTCAGCCCCCCGCCCGGCCAGCCGCCCCGTCCGGGAGGGAGGTGGGGGGGTCAGCCCCCCGTCCGGGAGGGAGGTGGGGGGGTCAGCCCCCCGCCCGGCCAGCCGCCCCATCCGGGAGGTGAGGGGCGCCTCTGCCCAGCCGCCCCTACTGGGAAGTGAGGAGCCCCTCTGCCCGGCCAGCCGCCCCATTCGGGAGGGAGGTGGGGGGGGTCAGTCCTCCGCCCAGCCAGCCGCCCCGTCCGGGAGGGAGGTGGGGGGGTCAGCCCCCCGCCTGGCCAGCCGCCTCGTCCGGGAGGTGAGGGGCGCCTCTGCCCGGCCACCCCTACTGGGAAGTGAGGAGCCCCTCTGCCCGGCCACCACCCCGTCTGGGAGGTGTACCCAACAGCTCATTGAGAGCGGGCCATGATGACAATGGCGGTTTTGTGGAATAGAAAGCAGGGAAAGGTAGGGAAAAGATTGAGAAATTGGATGGTTGCTGTGTCTGTGTGGAAAGAAGTAGACATGGGAGACTTTCCATTTTGTTCTGTACTAAGAAAAATTCTTCTGCCTTGGGATCCTGTTGATCTGTGACCTTACCCCCAACCCTGTGCTCTCTGAAACATGTGCTGTGTCCACTCAGGGTTAAATGGATTAAGGGCGGTGCAAGATGTGCTTTGATAAACAGATGCTTGAAGGCAGCATGCTCGTTAAGAGTCATCACCACTCCCTAATCTCAAGTACCCAGGGACACAAACACTGCGGAAGGCCGCAGGGTCCTCTGCCTAGGAAAACCAGAGACCTTTGTTCACTTGTTTATCTGCTGACCTTCCCTCCACTATTGTCCTATGACCCTGCCAAATCCCCCTCTGTGAGAAACACCCAAGAATGATCAATAAAAATAAATAAATAAATAAATAAAACAAAAATTAAAATTAAAATTAAAAAAAAAAAAAAGAGAGAGTAGCCTAGAGACTCTGATGAGCATGTGGTTACAATACCTGTCTTCCTAGGGAGCTGTCAGATTTCAGTGAGATAATCTATGAGAAGCACTTCACAGCCTAGTGCCTCAAGGAATGTTAACCATTGCTGTGACAGCTTTCTGAAGGCAAGGAAGAAATATAACTTAGGACTAACGTGAGGAGTGCAGGTAGTCTGGGTTTTCACCATGGGTTACATACCTTGTGCCTGATGGATCTAAGCCATTTCCCAAAGCAGCAGGCAAAGTAAGTCTGTGTCCACTCTGATTTCTAAAGAGAATACTCCTGTCTCATCATCTTTATCTGCAGTTTTTATTTATTTATTTTTTGAGACAGTCTGGCTCTGTCACCCAGGCTGTAGTGCAGTGGCGTGATCTCGGCTCACTGCAACCTCCACCTCCTGGGTTCAAGCGATTCTCATGGCTCAGCCTCCTGAGTAGCTGGAATTACAGGCATGTACCGCCACACCCAGCTAATTTTTGTATTTTTAGTGGAGACAGGGTTTTGCCATATCAGCCAGACTGGTCTCGAACTCCTGATCTCAAGTGATCCATCCGCCTCAGCCTCCCAAAGTGCTGGGATGACAGGTGTGAGCCACCATGCCCGGCCCATCTGCACTTTTTAGACAATCAGTTAGAGACCCCGTAATCTGTATGCTCTAGTCTTCTCCTGCCAAATAAGATGGTAATGAGAAATCTTGGTTAGACTGGCCAGCCCTGGCCCTGCCTGTTTCTAATAGGTGTGTGTGTTTTATATTCCAGTGCAAGCATCTCTTGGCAGTTTACCTGAGTCAGGTTATGAGGACCTGTCAGCAGCTAAGTGTCTCTGACAAGCAGTTGACTGACATATTATTGATGGAGAAGAAACAAGAAGCATAAAAGGTACAGATTGAGCATCATTCTTTCAAAATAGAATCCTGTCAAGAAATGCATTGAAAGCGTCATGATTCACATGGAAAAGAGGTGAAATGGATCTTCAGACACTTCATGTTACTGTCCCTTTTCCCTCCAGGACTGCAGGAGGTGCTGTGGGTTGGAGCCGTGGGCTGTGGAGGGTTTGTGTATGATGAGAAGCCCTGTACAGTCTTGTCAAGAAATACCCTGAGCCAGTCTCTGAGACGCTTCGGTAAAAAATGTCCCTGGATGGAATCAAGATTTTAAATTCAAATAAAGCCTAATATCATGTTGTGTCCACATTATTTAGTCTTTTTTTTTTTCTTTTGAGATGGAGTCTCACTTTGTCGCCCAGGCTGGGGTGCAGTGGCGTGATCTCAGCTCACTGCAAGCTCCGCCTCCCGGGTTCACGCCATTCTCCTGCCTCAGCCTCCCGAGTAGCTGGGACTACAGGTACCCGCCACCATGCCCGGCTAAATTTTTGTATTTTTTTTTTAGTAGAGATGGGGTTTCACCGTGTTAGCCAGGATGGTCTCCATCTCCTGACCTAGTGGTCTGCCCGCCTCGACCTCCCAAAGTGCTGGAATTACATGCATGAGCCACTGCGCCTGACCCTATTTAGTCTTAAGTAACTAACTGAATTACTAGTAATTTTTAAAAGGTTGGAATGGTGGGCCAAACAGTAAGATGAAGTTTCGACGAGTAGGTCAGTTCTTTTCCTTGGGTCCAGGAAACTATTGAGCAGCAACAGAAGATCAGAGCAGAGATGTGGCTAAACAGTAGCAGGTATGAAAAGACTTAGAGGTTCTGGTTTCTGTAAGCTTCAAATATCTGTGATGCTTGTGCCAAAACAGCTTAAGTAGACTGTATTGTTTGAGAGTTAGTATCGAGAACAAGGGAAGAACTGGTTTCACTCTGCACTTCTGATCTTTACAACAGGGCAATTGAAGGAACAGACTAAAAATCGTGTCCTGGAAGGAAACTACAGGTACTACCAGGGATTTTCAGTCTGAAGAAGAAAAGACAAAATAGATGACAGAAGGAGTATTAGAAGGGAGAGCGATGAGACTCAGTTGGACACCGAGAGAGCAAAGAAGCAATAATACGTGAAGATGAAAATGAAATCAATTTCAGCATAAGAAGACAAGAACTTATGGTAAAGCTGCCCACAGCCAGAAGAGGATCCTAGAAGGACAGGAATTCCCTGTCTGCAGCATTTCATAAGCATGTAATATTGTTGCAGGGATACTGCAGAAGGAGTTGAAGCAGTGGACAGACAGATGATATAGGTGATTTTACAGCCTAAGAAAGCCCTGTGCTTGTGCCCCCAAAACATGAGGTGCTAGTGAATGAATGCTGGGGGAAAGCCCAGGGCCTAGGTGTTGCAATGTTCTGTGGTTGGCAGATGCTTTTTGTTTTGTTAAAAAGTGCAACAGATAAAATTTATCAATACTTTTCTGCTACTCAGGAAACTTGGACTCAGCATAACTTACTTTTTTTCCAGCAGCCTTCAGGGTAAAGTTTAGAAGGTAGATGCAACAAGCCAATGCAGCACCCTAAGCTTGTCTTTTTAAGTTTTATTTTTATTTAACCTAATATACACAGAGTTAAATAATTTTACTTCATAAAATTTTCACACTTTGAGTTCCAAGAACTTAACCAAACTTGAAATTTGGAGAGAAGCAAAATTCCCTATCTATCTATCTAGCTCTAGAAGGCAGAATTTGGTAGAGGAGGGATCCCATTTCACCAGTTTCTTCCCCACGGGTAGTTTTCTGTATATGGAAAAGAATGGAGCTTAAAATTATGTGATGAAAATTTGACTTATGAGACTATCAATCAATCATTTCCCTAAATTAATACAGCAGTTTCTTGATTGAATACTTTATTTATATATATATATATATATATATATATATATATATATATATATTTTTTTTTTTTTTTTTTTTTTTTTTTTTTTTCTGAGACAGAGTCTCACTCTGTCACCCAGGCTGGAGTACAGTGATGCCATCTGGGCTCACTGCAGCCTCCGCCTCCCAAGTTCACATGATTCTCCTGCCTCAGTCTCCTGAGTAGCTGGCACATGCCACATACCCAGCTAATTTTTGTATTTTTTAGTAGGGACGGGGTTTCACTATATTGGACAGGCTGGTTTTGAACTCCTGACCTCGTGATCCGCCTGCCTTGGCCTCCCAAAGTGCTGGAATTACAGGTGTGAGCCACCATGCCCGGCCGAATAATTATACTTTTAATTTTTGAGGTCACCTTCCTGGCAACAAGTATACATTTTTAGTACAGTCAACTTTTATTTTTCCATTGCCTCTAAGTTAAAAAGTATTTGCATTATAATAGTTCACACTGTTTCACAGTAAAATAGTTTCAGTAATTTTCCACCATAAACAAGGCAGACTTTTAAAAACAAAAGAGTCTGTTAGAATCCATTCAAGCTGTTGGCATAATCCACACAGTAAAAGCAGCTGAATAGATCATAAATATATTTGTCAATCCTTGGAGCCTACTACTGACACATACATATTAGCTAGATACGTGGTAGCTCCAGGGAAGTGCTCAAGAGAGGCAGTCCATTTCCTTGTGAGGTGTAGCTATCTTTCACAATGAAAACCAGCCGTGTCCTCTTTGTTTCTTGTGGATTTGTATCTTCTCCTGGAAGAGGCGAGAGCCTAGATCATAGGCCCACACCGAGAGCAGGCTGTACCCCAGCCTGACCATTCCCACTCTTGACATCTGCTTGGCAGAGAAGATACCTGGAGATAATTTTGTGAAAAGTGTAGCGGAAGTCTCGGTTCCGGTAAGCATAGACAATGGGATTGACAACTGAATTGGCATGTGACAGAAGAATGGCCATATTCATTGCCCACTTGGGCTTATTTTTACCCTGAGCTGGCTGGAAAAGAGTGACACAGTTAACAGCATGCACAGGTAACCAGCACAGGGCAAAAATCCCCACAATCATGGCCAGTGACTTGGCTGCATGGATCTCCCGCTGGAGGGTGGTCCTCGAGTGGTCCATCAGCTCAGTGCGCTGAAGCTGCCTGCAGGCCACCAGGAAGATCTTAATGTAGATCACCAGCATTATAAGCAGTGGGGGCAGAACACACCCAAAGAAATTGAAATATACCATGTAGCTCATGGGGACCACATTCTCAAAGAGACACTTCACAAGGCAGCAGCTTTCATTCGTGGTTCCATCCCAGGGTTCTGTGCAGTTGTTGGTGGCACTGTCTTTACTGTTCCACCCCAGGAATGGAGTCAATCCGATGCCAAAGGCAAGGACCCAGAGGACAGCAATGACCCCTCTTGCTCGGGTCCCCGTGACCAAACTTTTATACCTGTTTAAAAGAATACCATCTGTTACGGTCAGTTTATAGCGCTCTGCAACCACAATCCAAGACCCCACCTCCTCTTTTTTCCATGACCCTTTAACAACCTCTAAAGTTCACCTTCCAGGGCACTAAGGCCTTTACCCTCAATACTAAAGACATGCAAGCAGGGATGAGCAGCTTTGCTCTAGAAAACTCAGTAAGATCTTCATTCTTGACTTAGCAACTCCTTTCTGTTTAGTGACACAGGATGGCCAATGACAAGAGGTGGGGAAGCCTTAAGGGAGTACTGTAAGTCCTCAATGTCCTCGGTGGGTTCTCAAACTGTGACTTGAAGTATATGTCATAGGAAGTTAACTCTTGTTTATATTGTTAAATCAAGTTTAGCCTAAAGCTGCCTCCTTACATATTTTAAATTTGGCCTAAAGGTTTCTCTGTACATCGTGGACTACAACAAGTGGACGTGTAAACAGACTATAGCCTGCACTCATGCCAATCCTCGACTTTTGGCCAATCAAATGTGGCCAACTGTTCGAACCCTGTTCAAAAAGGGCAAATGCTGAGCTATAACCAATCCAGCTGTTTCTGTTCCTCACTTCCATTTTCTGTACGTCACTTTTCCTTTTTCTGTCCATCACTTTCTTTTTTCTGTCCATAAATTATCTTCCACCACGTGACTGCACTGGAGTCTCTGAGCCTGCTTTGGCTCAGCAGGCTGCACAATTTGTGAATCATTCTTTGCTCAATTAAGCTCTTTTAAATTGAATTCAGCCGAAGTTTTTCTTTTAACAGTATCAACTGTGGTAAAATTGGCTTTGTTATACAGTGCATCATTTTGCTTCAAGTCACAGTTTCCAAAAACCGATCGACTTCCTATACTTCCTACCTACCTAGGTACCGCTCTTTGAGTCTAGGTCTTCTGTAAGGCATTGTTCTAGGTCAGTGGTCCCCAACCTTTCTGGCACCAGGGACCAGCTTCATGGAAGACAATGTTTCCACAGACCAGGGGCGGGGGGTGATGCATTAGATTCTCATAAGGAGCGCACAGCGTAGATCCCCTGCGTGCACAGTTCACAATAGGGTTAGCTCCTATGAGAATCGAATGCTGCTGATCTGACAGGATGCAGAGCTCAGGCAGTAATGCTCGCCTGCCTGCTCACCTTCTGCTGTGTGGCCCAGTTCCTAACAGGCCACGGACCAGTACTAGTCTGCAGCCCAGGGGTTGAGGAACCCTGTTCTAAGTGCTTGAGATACATCAGTGAACAGAACACACAGAGATCCCTACTAAATTTTAACAGACTCAGATCTAGCAGGGGTAAACATAATAATAAACAGTATGGAGATATATGTGGTATGAAACATGAAAAAGCAGAGTAAGAAAGATCAGGATGGGCAGGACTGTAGTTTTAAAGAGGCTGACATCATGGATAAGGTGACACTTGAACAAAGGCCTGAGGCAGTAAGCACTGGAGTCAGCACCACCTGTGGCTCCAGGCAAGGATCTTTCTGGCTTCCCACAAACACCACAAGACATTTGCCTAGGACTATGGGCAGAATCATTTCTGAATACCTCTGCAGACTGCTGGAGAACAAGAGTCTAGCAGTGCCCCTGTCTACTGAGAAATACTAGCAGCAGAGTTGATAAAAATTGGGAAATAGCAAATATTAAATTTTTTGGTCATCTTCAAGCCATTAGATCACAAGTTGGAGACCAGCCTGGGCAACATGGTGAAACTCCATCTCTACAAAAAAGTACAAAACTTAGCCGGGCACGGTGGTGTATATCTGTGGTTCCAGCTATTTCGGGAGAATGAAGTGGGAGAGTCAGGATCACTTGAGCCCAGGAGGTTGAGGCTGCAGTGAGCTGTGATTGCACCACTGCACTCCAGCCTGGGTGACAGAGCAAGACCTTATCTCAAAAAAACAAACAACAAAAAAATACTAGAAACCACTACTGGGGATACCAATACAAAGGGACAAGATCCTAGTCCTTAAGAGGTTTGACCAGTATCCAGTTGAGAGATACAACATGTATCAGATAAGCAGGCTCTATGACAAGTGAGTTATGGGGCAAGAGAATGGGAGCGGCCACCTCTGCCTAAGAGGTGACCAAGAAAGGAAGTGACCTTATAAGAGCAACAGATGCCATAATATCCCTTTTAGACATTTTGCTATACACTAGTCTATCCATGGTTTATAGCAAAGGTACACATTTTGTTATTAACAACTGGTCCATAATACATATGTAATGTATAAATGAACATAATCAATGTAATGTATTAAGTAAATGAAATAAAATCCTTCTGTAATCTCTGGAAGAGAAAACTGGGAAATAATTTGATTGACATTACCTGAAGACTTGCCCATGGGAAGTGTTTGTTTGCTTTACCTGCAGTGTAAGACGTATACTTCCCAGCATGGCCGCAGAACCCCCCAGCCTCGGCTCCACACGTCCAGTGCCTGCCATTCTTAACCAATGGCTCCCTCTGGCTCATGCTATTCTCAACATCAGACAAAGCATCTGTTGCTCTTAAAAGGTCACTTCCTTTCTTGCTCACCTCTTAGGTAGAGGTGGCCACTCCCATTCTCCTGCCCCATAACTCACTTGTCATAGAGCTGGCTTATCTGATACCTGTGGTATCCCTCAACTGGAATGTCAGCCTCTTAAGGACTAGGACCTTGTCCCTTTGTATTGGTATCCCGAAGACCTAGCACAGTTCCCAGCACATAGTATGTTCTTAATATGGCCATCACAGGCCAGGCATGGTGGCTCATGCCTATAATCCCAGTACTTCAGGAGGCCGAGGCAGGCGGATCACTTGAGGTCAGGCATTTGAGACCAGCCTGGCCAACACGGTGAAACCCCGTCTCTCCTAAAAATACGAAAATTAGCTAGGCATGGTGGTGGGCACCTGTAATCCCAGCTACTCAGGTGGCTGAGACAGGAGAATTGCCTGAACCTGGGAGGCAGAGGATGCAGTGAGCCGAGATCATTACACCATTGCACTCCAACCTGGGCGACAGAGTGAGATTCCATCTCAAAAAAAAAAAAAAAAAATGGCCATTACAAATACATTCATCATTTATTATCTGACTTTATTAGGCAGCTTTAAAGAAAGATTCTACTTACTAGGAATACTTGAGGTTGCAGCCTGAACAGGCAGAAGAACCAGTCGTTTGCTGAGGAAGTTAGCTGAGGTCTTGCCTCATAATTTACAATGATCTCTAATCTTTTCTACTCCCTCTTAGCAACAGGCAGCTCAATCATGGGCCCCTATACTACAGAAGACCTGCTGGGCTCAGTTTTTTCACTGAATTTGTCTTGGCCAGTGAATTCATCTGTTTCCCACCTCATTCAGGAATGTAAAGCCTTCCTTAAAAACAGTTGTTCTCTGCCATTGCCTCACTGGAGATGTGAATAACACAATTAGTCCCTGCAGCATAACAAGGAAGCCTCCCAAAGGCGGAGTCCTAAGAATCACAGAACTTCAGGTCCATGAGGCAGCCCATGCAGCAGCCTGCCCTTACTCCTCCTTTGTTCACAGGACTAAGCTGTATCGAGTACAGCGGGTAACAGGTCAGCTCTGGGGGATGAATTTATGTTTGGGATAAGGAAATTATGGCACTTCCATTCTCATGATTGGTCTAGTGGATACATGAAGTGGTTCTGGCCAGTGAGACATACAAGGACATCTGCTAGGGACCTCCAGGAAAGATTTTACTCCCTGATGAAGAGAGAGGGACCCATAAGGACAGCTCTGCCCCATGACCATCCTTTTCTGCTTTTGATGCTCTTGTGGAAGGGTGTGATGCCCTCAGCTGTAGCAGCCACACTGTGACCATAAGGGACAAGCCTGGAGACAAAGCTGATGGCAAAGCAGAAGACAATAGTAGAGCCTGGGTCCTTGATGACACCTTTGAACCACCTGACTAACCCTAGAACCATCACAGCTCCATATTCTGGTTTCAAAAGATAATTAAATGTTTCGATTGCTGATAACACTGTGAGGTACTCCGTTAACACAGCCAAACTGGAGAGGACTTTTATCTTTCTAGTCCAATCTCTCTTATTTCACAAATAAGAAAAGAAAACAAAGAAAAGAAGAACAAAGCTAATACACAAACCAAAGACCAGAAGCTAAATCAGTACTCACAGGCCTGTGTTCCTTGCACTATGTTATGCTGCCTCTTTTTTTTAAAGCGATTTTATATTTGCAGCACCCTGTACATAGAGGCTCATTCATAGGGGTGGCTTCCTACTAGAGTTCAGAACAACAACTGGAGTCCACCCCATCTGAACTTCTCATAGCTGCTGGATCCGACACATGTGCAAAACTGTCATGCCTTCTCTTGGATAAGGAAAAGCAGCTAATTAAATCAGTGGGGCAGCTGGTCACTGCCTTCTCTGTAAACCTCCATCACCACCACTCTTCCCTGTTGGTTCATTAGTTCATTCGAAGAGTTTTTCATTTGTACCACACATTCTGCTAGGCACTGGAAACACAATCACTGCCCTTGTGGAACATAAGCTAATGGGAAACACAGAAAATAAGTAAACATATAAATACGAAGTTATGAATTGCGACGGGTTCCGCTATACCAAAATGAACTGGATGCACTGAGAAGAGAAACATGGAGGCCTTGGATACAGGATGTCAGGAGGCCTTTCAGGCAGAAGCTAAAGGTTGAGGAGTGAGAAATTTGAAAAGTAGAACATACCAGGCCGAGAGAACAACATGTGCTGCTTTCATGCAGGAAAATGAGCCCAAGATGAGGCAGGGGCCAGTTCATAGGCACCGGGACCCATGGAAGACTTTTAAGCAGGGGATGGTACTGATTTCTGTTGTATAAAGGTCACCTGGCCAGAGTACGGAGACTGAATTTTAGGGGAGCCAGAAGAAAAGCAGAGAGATCAGCTAGGAAACTATTTCGGTAGTTGACTCGAGACAACGTCGGCTTGGGCCAGGGTGACAGCAAAAATGATGGAAGTGGATATGCGCTGTGGAGGCAGAACCAACAGGTCTTGCAGATCAACAGGTGCAGGAAGATGAAGACTGGAGGATGATTCCTTAGGGTTTCCCCCTACGCATTTGCATTTCCTGAAAGAGAGGATTAAAGGAAGAGTGGGATAAAGATCAAGAGAATGGTGGATGCGGGCACACTGCTGAAAATGATCAGTAGAGAAGATGCAGGAAAAAGGGACAGATTATTATTATTATTTTATTTATTTATTTTGAGACAGAGTCTCACACTGTCGCCAGGGCTGCAGTGCAATGGCGCGTCTCAGCTCACTGCAACCTCTGCCTCCTGGTTTCAAGCGATTCTCCTGCCTCAGCCTCCCGAGTAGCTGGGACTACAGGCGCCCACCACCACACCCGGCTATTTCTTTTTTTGTATTTTTAGTAGAGATGGGTTTTCACTGTGTTAGCCAGGATGGTCTCGATCTCCTGACCTCGTGATCCGCCCACCTCAGCCTCCCACAGTGCTGGGATTACAGGCGTGAGCCTCCACGCCCGGCCAAAGGGACAGATTATTAAAGAAGGTAAGAATGGGAGGAGGTGGAGGATGCAGGGTCCAGGGCATGTGGGGAAGGACACTTCCTCAGCTGCAGTGGAAGGAAGGACAAGAACAGCGCCAGTGCAGGGAGTGGGACAGTTGAGTGGTGAGAAGATGGGCCAGCATCTCCTTGAGAACTGCTGTTACCTCAGAGAAGGATGGAGAAAGTTATCAGCTGAGGCAGGGGAGGAACCGCACAACCAAACCCCAAGTTTTGGTGACAGATGCCTGCACACCCTCCCCCAGCTGTCCGGACACATCCATGGCACAGCTGCCACCGCCTATGCACCTGCTATTTGGGCAGCTCTGGGCTGTGGACCCCTCACATCTCATCAAACCACGCCTCCTGAGGTGAGAGCTGCTATCCTCAGTTTACAGACGTGGAAGCCAAGGCTCAGAAAGGCTACATGATGTGCCTGCTGCTGCTAAACTGCAGTCAGGACACAGACCTCATCTAATCTGATTCCAATTTCGCCCCAAACTGCCATTTTCCTGCATAGGAATCTACAGCTCTTCCATGTTCAACTCACAAATTCCAGCTCCCTCCTCCGCCTGACCACACAGCCATAGGTCAGCAGCTTGAAGACTTGAAGGAAGGGGCTTCTGCCACCCTCCTGGGAGGCAGTCCTCAAGGACAGCAAAAAGAGGCATGCTGGAGGACATAACCAGACCCCTCAGCACAACCTCTGTAGGAAGCGGAGTGTGCTCTGCGATGTTATGGTATGTATGTATAGTCACCTCACCGTATGTACACACAGGGGGTTGGTTGCAGGATCCCCATGTATGCCAAAGTCCTCACATACTGAGGTTCCGCAGTCAGCAGCCCTCCGTATATGTGGGTTTCACATCCCAGGAATACTGCATTTTCAGTCATGTTTGGTTGAAAAAAATCCAATACAAGTGGACCTGCATAGTTCAAACCTGTGCTGTTCAAGGGTCAGCTGTGTTGGCTTTGGTCCACAGTTCCTGGCACATAACTCCCATAGCCCTTGTTACTTCTCCCCAAGACAGGCCATGATAACTAAAAATATATCTTCCTCTGTCTTTCTGTCTTGGAGCTGTCCATAAAGAAATTCTCTGATCTACCTTGTTTGATTGTGACTCATAAGACCCGCATTTCAGAAGGGGTCCTGCCCCTCCCCTAGAAGGAGCCGCACAGAGAGGCCAAGAAGCATTGGAACAGATAGGCTTTGCTGAGTTTCCCCATTCAGCCTGTCAGTCTGAATCATGCCTTTTCGTCCACTCACACTGCCACCCAGTTGTCCATGCTTGAGTCATGTCTATTCAATGGAGAATCCAAAAAAGGGCTACGACGAAAAGGTACGGAGAGCTACAGGACAGCCAAACACATGGAGGTTCCTGAAGGATGGTGCACCCAAGGAGGGCATGGAAACGCCTCGCTCTTTCTCACACCTCACCCTGGTCTATGTCCTTTGTAATATCATTTTTTGTTTTGTTTTGTTTTTTTGAGACGGAATCTCACTCTGTCGTCCAGGCTGGAGTGCAACAGTACAGCTGAGGAAGTGTCCTTCCCCACGTGCCCTGGCCCCTGCATCCTCCACCTTCTCCCATTCTTATCTTCTTTAATAATCTGTCCCTTTGGCTGGGCGCGGTGGCTCACGCCTGTAATCCCAGCACTTTGGGAGGCCGAGGTGGGTGGATCACCTGAAGTTAGGAGTTCGAGACCAGCCTGGCCAACGTGGTGAAGCCGTCTCCACTAAAAATACAAAAATTAGCCGAGTGTGTTGGCGCATGCCTGTGATCCCAGCTATTCATGAGGCTGAAGCAGGAGAATTACTTGAACCCAGGAGGCGGGGGTTGCAGTGAACTGAGTGAGATTGCACCACTGCACTCCAGCCTGGGTGACAGAGCGAGACTCCATCTCGAAAAAAAAAAAAAAGGCAAGCAGGTGTCCCTGCACTGGGCAGGACACTGGAAGGAACGAACCCCTGGGGACTCTGGCATCTCAGGAGGGCTCTGGTAACCACCTGCCACGCCCTCTCCTTTCCCACTTCCTGCTGGGCCTCTGTCCTCTCCCCAGGCCAGTCTCCCTCCTCGGCCCCACCCCTTGCTGCAGACTCTGCCTCCCTCCCTGTGCTCCGAACACCCTCAGGTCTGCATGCGTTTGTCCATCTCCCCAAAACATTCCTGAAGGGCATGGGCCACGTCCTTCCGTCCTTCCGTTCGCCAGCCCGTGGCAGTCACTGCTCTGCTGCAGAGGTCACTGAGCACTGCAGTGAGGCCAGGGAAGCAGGACAACCGCCCCAAATGTAGGAGAGTGAATAACAGGCGACTGAAAAGTGAACACAGGAAACACAGGCAGCTTTATTATTCCAAACAAGGCAGAAACAATCCCAGCCTTTGCAGGCCCACACAACAGGGGAGTTCTGGGAAAGTCCACACTCTGGGAAATGGCTATGCCCCACCACTGTGTACGGAGCTGTGCTCTGATCCATCCATTCTCCTTATAAGGAGCTCATTAGCTAAGGAGATTGACAGAAAAACAGTCACACGGAGGGAATCAACAAAAGGAAACAGCGTGAACACTGAGGTTACGTAAGGAAACGGGGAACCGCCAAGGCCTGCATAACAAGCACTGGCCTATTTCTGGGGCAGGGTCTCCTCCTGCACTGGCTCTGTGGCCCTCAGCTCAAACCAGGCTTAGAAATCAATTCCCAGCTCTCAAGGTGCTCCTAGTATAGATCAAGGGCAGCTACCTGGGGAGTGACATTGAGCCTGGCCAGTCCAGCCACAGGCTGGATGGAGCCTGAGCTTCCCATCGGAAACACTAGCCCCAGAACCCGCCTCCAACCTGCTGCTGAGGCTTTTAACATAGACGGAATGTGTACAAAGCACTTTAGAAATGCAGATTGCTAAGTAAATGCACACAGAGTTCTACTGCCGCTTCTTAAAATTGTTTCCTGTTTGTTTTAGGGATGTTTCTTCCGTTTATAGTCTATCTAGCTCACAAGCTTTAAATTCCTCTGAAATACATACATTTCTGCTATAAAGCAATATATACATTCTTAGAAAACCTCATGTTATCTTATTCCACATATTAACAGGACTTCTGTGAAACATGGGGCTAGAGCAGACCACTCAAACCTACAAAACATTGTCACTAGAGCACTAACAAAATCTTTTGGGACACCCAGGCAGGCAGTTCAGTGGGGCAAGAGGCTGCCACCATGGATATTAAAACTGCACCAAAAAAGTCAAATAGAAAGCCTGGCAAACTTTAATTAGAGCAAGGCTGACAGGTGCCAAGACAGTGCAGATGAAAGAGGAGTTCTGAGCCAGGGGGCTGTTACTAAGATGGGCCTGGAGGCAGCGTAGCCTGCCACGGCCAAGACCCCAGCAGGCTAGGATGTGGCTTTCTACGGGAGTGCCAGCTGCAGGCACTGTTTTTTTCTTGTTCCCAGGAGCCCACAGGGGCTCCTGCGGCAGAGCAGTCAGAGGGCTTTTTCCTTTCCTGCTGAACACTGTCATTCTCCTCCCACTATTCCACCTCCTTTGCCTAGGCAAAATCACAGGTGAACCAAAGCAGTGTCTCCATTATACCAACATCCTTCCCCTGGCCACCTGCCACGCGTGAATTAATTCACAGTACAGAAGTTCACATGGAAGCAGAGCAGCTTATCTGCCCCTGAGCTCTCAGGGCAGCTCATGACCACCCAGAGCACCTCTCCCGTGTACCTACCACACAACTGCATTTTCTGTCTCTTTCCACTGAAGGATGAGCTCCTCCATGGAACAGACTCACAGCTGTATCCAAAACACCTAACACTGCCTGGCAAGCAAATGGTGAGAGAAAGCCTGAGTTTATAAGAAGGGAACAGAACCCTGCCTTCTTAATCAAAGAAACATGTTGAACACCCACCTGGGACTTGGGAGTTCTAAATAAAGCAAGGCATCAACATCAAGTGCATGAACATGGTTTCAGCTTCAGCTTATAAACCACTAGAGGCTATCTATATAAGAGGGGATATTGTTATGACGAGCTTCTGAGCAGCCTCCCATTTTTTCAGATTTCCCATGGGATCAAACTATGAAATTTTGTTTGTTTGTTTTTGAGACAGAGTCTAGCTCCGTCGCCCAGGCTGGAGCGCAGTGGCACGATCTCGGCTCACTGCAAGCTCCGCCTCCCGGGTTCACGCCATTCTCCTGCCTCAGCCTCCTGAGTAGCTGGGACTACAGGCACCCGCTGCCACACGGGCTAATTTTTTGTATTTTTAGTAGAGACGGGGTTTCACCGTGTTAGCCAGGATGGTCTCGATCTCCTGACCTCGTGATTCGCCCACCTTGGCCTCCCAAAGTGCTGGGGTTACAGGCGTGAGCCACCGCGCCCGGCCAGATTTTTTTTTTTAATATTCATCTATTTTTCAGATTTCCTATGGTACCAAACTATAAAAGGTTTTTTTTTTAATATTTATGAACAGAAAAATAAATAGAAATTTTAATAGCACTATAACAATTAAAAAAGTAGAATTCATCTTTTCTTTTTTTTTTTTTTTTTGAGACAGAGTCTTGCTCTTGTCGCCCAGACTGGAATGAAGGTGCAGTGTCATGATCTCGGCTCACTGCAACCTCCACCTCCCAGGTTCAAGCGATTCTCCTGCCTCAGCCTCCTGAGTAGCTGGGATTACAGGCGCCTGCCACCACACCTGGTTAATTTTTTTGTATTTTTAGTAGAGACAGGGTTTCACCATGCTGGCCAGGCTGGTCTCGAACTCCTGACCTCTGGTGATCCGCCAATCTTGGCCTCCCAAAGTGCTGGGATTACAGGTGTGAGTCACAGCGCCCAGCCTAAAATTCATCATTTTAAACCTTCCCACAAAGAAAACTTTAGGCCTAGATGATTTCACTAATTCTGCCAAACATTTAAGGAACAAATAAAACCATTCTTACACAAAAACAACAATAAAAAAAGTAGATACTATTAGATTTTACTTATATGAACGGGAAGCAGGCCTCTCTGCCATCTGCGTCCTGAGGGCAAACCACCTTATCTCTGCAGATGGGCACGGCTGTAGCCTGCAGGCCAGTCTGAGGAAAGGACAGCATCTGCCTGCCCACTGGATAGCAAGGTGTGGTCACCAAAGGTTACTTTCAGGCCGAGTCTTCCCAGGAGGCCCTGGCCCCGGGCTGCTCTGGCTCCTGTGGGGTTCTCATCTACTCCAGCAAGTTCAGACATGTCTGAATTCCAGTGATGGACCTGGCTGGGCCTGAGCTGAGCCCACTGTCTTATGTGAAGGTGGCTGGGAGAGATGCCATTTGTCCTTCACAGTCCCCTAAGAACAAAAGATGAGCAATGCAGGTTGCGGTCAAGAAAGTTGGCAGCACTCCCAACCAGCTTCCTATGGCAAGAAGAGGCAATCCAAGGTGGTCCACCAGTGATTCAACCAGTTGAGACTGAGGTTAGGGGCCAGGACCAGGTCTCCCAGAGTTCCCCTTTGGGCCTGGTGATTCTCATGTGCTGTTTTCATGGATCACATGGGACACAGAGACAGCCCAAAGCTACTGGGCTCCAGACTCTGATCTCCTTCCCATAAAATAAGCAGTCCCTGAGAGAAAGGGCTCCTGCCTGGAACCAGACCAAAAGATAACAGGACACTCTGTCCTCTGCCCCAAAAAGTGCCCTCCCAAGGCTGGGGTTACGGAGCACTGCCTCAGATGTGACATTAACTGTCAAAAGCATCAGCCGCCATAAACACAAGCGACCAGCAAGAGGGGTACATGAGAAGGCACTTGGTTGATGTGGTGTCTGCCAGGTTTCTCCATCATAACTTTCCCATTTTAATTAGCAGGTATCTTGTGGTACGTGTTTGGGGACTGTAAGTATCTTACTCCTCATCAAACTTTCACCTACAAGTTTTAGCACCTATTGATGATTCTTGCCTGAATCAGTTCTTACTATGACAGTCGTGAAATGGTGATTTGCTTAACTCAATCATTCCTTTTCATTAATTAGATGGCATTGTATTATAAGCAAGAGTTCTTGTAATTCACTATTTTTTATTAAAAAAAACCTCCTACCTCTGTTTATTGCTAGGGCCCAGAAAAAAGGATACTCCAGTAGCACTGAGCAAATCTACCCAAATCTTGGTTTTTATATATAATTCTCCACTAAAAGGAACCAAGACTCTTTGGAAAATGGCTAGTACTCAAACTGGAAACTACAATGTGAGCCTGGAATACCTTTCTATGCCAAAATATAAGAAAGTGCTCAAAAACAATAGGAACACTCAAACAGAAGTGACCTTGTAAGGGCCCTCTCTCACTGGCTGAATTTGGGCATCAAAATAAATAACAGGGGCCGGGCGCGGTGGCTCATGCCTGTAATCCCAGCACTTTGGGAGGCCAAGGCGGGTGAATTGCCTGAGGTCAGGAGTTTGAGACCAGCCTGGCCAACACGGTGAAACCCCGTCTCTACTAAAAATGCGTGGTGGCAAGGCGCCTGTAATCCCAGCTACTCAGGAGGCTGAGGCCACAGAATCTCTTGAACCTAGGAGGCAGAGGTTGCGGTGAGCTGAGATTGCGCCATTGCACTCCAGCCCAGGCAACAAGCGCGTAATTCTGTCTCAAAAAAATGGAAAAAATAAAAATAAATAAATAAATAACAGGAATGGATTATAACTCGTTTAATGAAAATAAAATTCTGTAAGTCCATACTGACATTAATAAAATAAGGAAGGGCAAGGAGAAGCTAAAGCTTGTCTTTACAGAAGAATGCAAACTGATAAATGTGGAAGGAATGAGGAAAAAAAAGAAAATTACCAATTTTGTTTTGTTTTGTTTTGTTTTGTGTTGTTGTGTCTTGTTTTGTTTTGAGACGCAGTCTTGCTCTATTGCCCAGG
Source organism: Homo sapiens (assembly GCF_000001405.40). Taxonomy (NCBI): domain Eukaryota; kingdom Metazoa; phylum Chordata; class Mammalia; order Primates; family Hominidae; genus Homo; species Homo sapiens. The sequence goes on along the minus strand of NC_000017.11, from coordinate 15,962,274 downwards.
ATGGAGTGCAGTGGCGCGATCTTGGCTCACTGCAACCTCCGCCTCCCGGGTTCAAGCAATTCTCCTGCCTCAGCCTTCCGAGTAGCTGGGATTACAGGTGCCCACCAACATGCTCAGCTAATTTTTGTAATTTTAGTAGAGATGGGGTTTCACCATGTTAGCCAGGATGGTCTTGAACTCCTGACCTCAAGTGATCCACCCACTTTGGCCTCCCAAAGTGCTGGGATTACAGCCATGAGCCACTGCACCCGGCCTGAAAATTACCATTTTATAATCACCGTGGTTGCTGTGATTTGAATGTGCCCCCCGAAGTTCATGGGTTAGAAACTTAATCTGCAATGCAACAGTGCTGAGAGGTGTGACCTTTAAGAGGCGATCAGGTCATGAGGGCTCTGGCCTCAGGAATGAATTAATGTCACTATCATGGGAGTGGGTTTTTTATCTTAAGAGTGGGTCTGTTATCTTGAGAGTGGGTCTGTTATAAATGCAAGTGCAGCCCTCTCTTGCTTGCTCACTCTCTCACCTCTCTTACCCTCTCACTTTCTGCCATGGGATGATGCAGCCAGAAGGCCCTCGCCAGATGCTGGCACCTTAATATCAGACTTCCCAGCCTTCGTAACTGTGAGAATGTATTTGTTTTCATTATAAATTATGCAGTCTGTGGTATTCTGTTATAAAAGCATAGAATGGACTAAGACAATAGTAGTAACTCATTCAGGCAAGAATCATCAATGGGGAAAACATACCCTTACAGTGAAGAACCCTGGCAGACACAACCTTTACCATGTGATCAGATTTATACCAACAATGGGAGAAACAGACATTGTGTCCTTCTTACTTAATGGACTGACTGAGGATGCAGCACCACTCATGTAGACAGTATTGCCACCAAAAAGGTTTAACCTGAATGTAACCATAAGGAAACAACCAAACTCAAATTGAGGGACATTTGGCAAAATCACCTGAACTCAAAAATGTTAATTTTTTTTTTTTTTCCCCAAGAAAAGGTCTCACTCTGTTGCCCAGGCTGAAGTGCAGTGGTACACTCACTATTGTATTAGGGTGATGCAAAAGTAAAAGTAATAGCAGCTTTTGCCTTTTTTTTTTTTTGACAGAGTCTCGCTCTGTTGCCAAGGCTGGAGTGCAGTGGCATGATCTTGGCTCACTGCAAGCTCCGCCTCCCAGGTTCACGCCATTCTCCTGCCTCAGCCTCCTGAGTAGCTGGGACTACAGGCACCCGCCACCACGCCTGGCTAATTTTTTGTATTTTTAGTAGAGACGGGGTTTCACCATGTTAGCCAGGATGGTCTCAATCTCCTGAACTCGTGAATCGCCCGCCTCGGCCTCCCAAAGTGCTGGGATTATAGTCGTGAGCTACTGCGCCCAGACTTTTTTTTTTGAGACGGAGTCTTGCTCTGTCGCCCAGGCTGGAGTGCAGTGGCATGATCTCGGCTCACTGCAACCTCTGTCTCCTGGACTCACGCCATTCTCCTGCCTCAGCCTCCCGAGTAGCTGGGACTACAGGCACCCACCACCATGCCCGGCTAATTTTTTTGTGTGTGTTTTTAGTAGAGACGGGGTTTCACCGTGTTAGCCAGGATGGTCTCGATCTCCTGACCTCATGATCTGCCTGCCTTCGCCTCCCAAAGTGCTGAGATTACAGGCATGAGCCACCGCGCCCGGCCAATTTGTGCCTTTTTTTTTTTTTTTTTTTTTTTTTTGAGACGGAGTCTCGCTCTGTCGCCCAGGCTGGAGTGCAGTGGCGCGATCTCGGCTCACTGCAAGCTCCGCCTCCCGGGTTCACGCCATTCTCCTGCCTCAGCCTCCCGAGTAGCTGGGACTACAGGCGCCCGCTACCACGCCCGGCTAATTTTTTGTATTTTTAGTAGAGACGGGGTTTCACCGTGTTAGCCAGGATGGTCTCGATCTCCTGACCTCGTGATCCGCCCGCCTCGGCCTCCCAAAGTGCTGGGATTACAGGCGTGAGCCACCGCGCCCGGCCCAATTTGTGCCTTTTTTTAATGGCCAAAACCACAATTACTTTTGCACCAATCTAATAGCTCACTGTAACCTTGAACTCCTGGGCTCAAGCAATCCTCCCACCTCAGCCTCCTGAATAGCTAGGACTATAGGCATGCGCCACCACATTTGACTAATTTTCTTAATTTTCATAGAGATGGGGCCTCGCTGTGTTGCCCAGGCTGGTCTTGAACTTCTGGCCTCAAATGATCCTCCTGCTCAGGCTCCCATTACAGGTGTGAGCCACCGTGCCCGGAGGAAAATGTTAATGTCTTGAAAGACTAAAACAAACAAAAGACTGAGGAACTCTTTCAGATTAAAGGAACATATTAAATGCAAGCATGACCTTTTAATAGAACCTGGATTTTTTAAAAAAGAACAACTATAAAGATATGATTGGGATAACTGGGAACATCTGACTATAGACTGTGGCACCTATTACAATTTCTAAATGTGGCTAGGCACAGTGGCTCATGCCTGTAATCCCAACACTTTGGGAAGCCAAGATGAGTGGATCACCTGAGGTCAGGAATTCACGACCAGCCTGGCCAACATGGCAAAACCCCATCTCTACTAAAAATACAAAAATTAGCCAGGCATGGTGGCGTGCGCCTATAATCCCAACTACTCGGGAGGCTGAGGCAGGAGAATCACTTGGACCCAGGAGGCGGAGGTTGCCGTGAGCTCAGATCGCGCCATTGCACCCCAGCCTGGGTGATAGAGCAAGACTCTGTCTCAAAAAAAAAAAAAAAAAAAAAAAATCAGAATGTGATCATTGTGCCAGTGTATGTGTGTGTGAGACAAACCAAATGTAGCAAACTATTCATAATTTGTGAATGTAAGTGAAAGGTATATAGTAATGCACTGTATTAGTCATGCAACTTAAAAGCTGTGAAACAATACACTGTTTCAGAATGACTCATTATTTCTGAAACCACAAACTTCGTTAGATGAGTCAGATACAAATATGTACTGTACTCATTTTGTAATTTTTAAAAAATCCCTGCAATTAAAAGACTAGGTTGCTAAATGACTTCTGAAAATGCCAAATTTAGGAGGCATTTTATCCCTCTGTAACACTGCTAACCATTCCCCATCAAAGTCTCCCTGCTGGTTTTAGTGAAGCCAGTCTAGCTTTTTGGCCTCTTCAGTTTCTCCTATCTCTCCTCTCAGGACACACGATGTGGGATTCTTATCTTTAGGCAACAAGCTCATCGGTTCAGAGCTAATCCCACCCCCGATTATACACACACAGAGACACATGTTCATACATTTGCATGCACATGTATACTGCCGACTCTTAATATGTCACAAGCCAAGCCAGTGACTGGACAACACACAGGGGATAATGAGAAAGCAACAGACATGTGCCCTGCTCATAACAGAGAAAGGATGGCAAACCTTAAACAAATTACAAATAATTAAGAAAAGAGCTGCAAGTATGCAGAGAGCTGCAAAAGAACCCTGTGTGCCCCCCAGAGGGAGTGTCATTTTCAGGGGCACAGAGAAAATGGGGAAGAATCAGCAGGCAAAGAGATAGAGAGAAGGTCACCGCAGGCAGAGGGAAACACATGCGCAAAGGCCTGAGCTCCAGAAGTCTCAGGAATTGAGAGGGGTCCTGAGAAGTCAGGGTAGAGAAACGAAGGAAAGAGAGGACGGGGATGAGGCCAGAAGCAGACCTAGGCCCCAGACCAGGTGGGGAGTAGGGGCAAGGGAGAGATCTGGGATGACATCCTAAGGCACTGGGAGCACTGGGTAAAGGAAGGAGGTGCACACAGGGGTTCATTTCAGAAAGATTGCAGCTATGTGAAGAATGGGCTAAAAGAACAAGGATGGATGCGGAGAGACCAGATAGGAGAATGCTGCCCTGGAATGGGGCAGACGTGGAGATGGGGCCTAAGAGAAGTGAATGGAGGGAGAGTTTAAGAAGTGTACCTGGGCCGGGCGTGGTGGCTCACGCCTGCAATCCCAGCACTTTGGAAGGCCGAGGTGGGCAGATCACCTGACGTTGGGAGTTTGAGACCAGCCTGACCAACATGGAGAAACCCTGTCTCTACTGAAAATACAAAATTAGCCGGATGCAGTGGCGCACGCCTGTAATCCCAGCTACTCGCGAGGCTGAGGCAGGAGAATCGTTTAAACCTGGGAGACAGAGGTTGCGGTGACCAAGATCGCACCATTGTACTCCAGCCTGGGCAACAAGAGTGAAACTCTGTCTCAAGAAAAAAAAAAAAAAAGGAAGTGTACCTGACAGGTCCTGGTTCTACAATGTCGTTCAATAAAGCTTTGTAGTTCTCTATGTTTAAAAAACAAAACAAACAAACAAAAAAAAACACTCAGCAGTGGTGCTAAAATCAGCAGTGGAAATCAGGATGTCATAGACAGAAAGCTGCTTTGGGAAGTCTGCAGGTGGCGGGACTGGCGCAAAACAGGTGGCACACCAAAGAAGGTTGGGCGGAGACGGGTGGGAGGAGTTTGAACACATTTAAATGGGGAAGGGAAGAGGCTGCTGTGCAGGAATAATGAACGGTCCAGGGCTCCCATAAAGCAGGAGTTGGGTCCAGAGCCAGGTGGAAGAACTAGCAGCCCCAGACTCCCCAAGACTCGACCACTACTGCGTCTCTCAACCTGCAGGCACCTTAAACACAACCTAGGCAACACCTTCCCAAAGCCCCCATCTTCAGGATGGCATCACCCAGGCGACCGGAAATCTGGGAGTCATCCTGGAGTCTTCTTCTCCTTCATGTCCACATCCAACTGAGTCACCAAGTCCTCTTGAACCTGTCCCGTGTGCCCTGTCTTCCAGCCAGAAGCACACGACTATGTGCTATCGATCAGATCTGCTTGCCAGTCACTCATGCTGACTCATTACTGCTCCACAATGGCAGATCTCACGCACATCAATTCCACTCAGCCTGGCCCTAACTACCCACATTTCTAGGTGTCACTCACTGATTGTGGCTCCAGGGCCCATCTGTGGTTCTCAGGACTCTTTCCTATATGATTTTACCTGTGGCTCCTCTGCTCCAGACTGCTGAACTCCATGGCTGGCATCAAACATCAGCCTTCTCTGGTGCAGAAATTGTGGTTCTACGAGTCTCCAATATCTGTAGAGTCTGCTGCCATCTCCATGGCCTCTGCCCTGGTCATGCTTTTTTCCTTCTCATCTGGATGCCAAGTGGCTACCCTATATCATCTTGTCCCGTCCATTCCTTCCTTCAGCTGTCCACCAGTGACTTTTACAATGCAAACCTGACCATATCAAACTCCAGATTAAAATTGTACCTTGGCATTCCAAGTTCCACCTAATTATCACTCCTCACAAAATCACATTTTAATGACAGTAAAGACACACAGGCCGGGTGCGGTGGCTCATGCCTGTAATCCCAGTACTTTGGGAGGCCGAGGCGAGTAGAACACCTGAGGTCAGGAGTTTGAGACCAGCCTGACCAGCATGGTGAAACCCCGTCTCTACTAAAAACACAAAAATCAGCTGGGCATCGTTGGTGGCATGTGCCCGTAATCTCAGCTACTTGGGAGGCTGAGGCAAGAGAATCGCTTGAACCCAGGAGGCAGAGGTTGCAGTGAGCCAAGACTGCACCATTGCACTCCAGCCTGGGCAGTAAGAGCAAAACTGTCTCAAAAAAAAAAAAAAAAAAAAAAAAGACACACATAATCATCCTAAAAAAAGAAGTAGAGGATGATATCAGCAAACCGGAGATTTTTATGAGTTTCTAAAAACAGAAGGTGGACAGGATCATCAGCATGAACCATGGAACCCTAAATTGGAAACATGGATGGCCAGGATGAGAGGCTCCAGTCTAGCAAACAGCAGGGATCAGAATGGGATTAAGAAAAGAACAGATGTCAAGAGGAAGACAGCCTGTGGGCAAGCTTTGGGAGCTGTGGCATTGATCCCCTCCCCCTCCCACACTCTCCCCAAGCTGTGGCTAGAGACCTAGTGATAACGGGTGGGGGAGGGGAAGAGTTTAGGTTATGTACACTCTGCCACACGAGGAATCTCAACCATGTGAATCTAAAAAATGTTTTTCAAAGTCAATTTAAAATCCCTTAGTCTTCATCAAAAGTAAACATATGAATGCTAAAATTGTATTGAAAAATAGAAGAACAAAGGAAAAAAAGCGAAGAAACTCTTACAAAGAATGAGAAAGCACTGGGAACTGTCAGAGAACAGTGATCAGGAAAGGAGGGGACGTCCCCATCTGCCTATTAAGAATCCCAGAGGCGTGGCTCACGCCTGTAATCCCAGCATTTATGGAGGCCGAGGCAGGCAGATCGCTTGAGGTCAGGAGTTCGACACCAGCCTGGCCAATATGGTGAAACCCCATCTCTACCAAAAATACAAAAAATTAGCCACGTGTGGTGGTGCACGCCTGTAATCCTAGCTACTCGAGAGGCTGAGGCAGGAGAATCACTTGAACCCGGGAGGTGAAAGTTGCAGTGAGCCAAGATTGTGCCACTGCACTCCAGCCTGGGTGACAGAACAAGATTCCATCTCAAAAAAAAAAAAAAAAGAATCCCAGAGGCGGCCAGGTGTGGTGGCTCACGCCTGTGGTCCCACAACTTTGGGAGGCCAAGGTGAGTGGATCACTTGAGGTCAGGAGTTCAAGACCAGCCTGGCCAACATGGTGAAACCCCGTCTCTACTAAAAAATACAAAATACAGCCGGACTTGGTGGTACATGCCTGTAGTCCCAGCTACTCGGGAGGGTGAGGCAGGAGAATTGCCTGAGCCCGGGAGATGGAGGTTGCAGTGAGCCAGTGAGCCCAGATCGTGCCACTGCACTGCAGCCTGGCCAACAAGCGAGACTCTGTCTCGAAAAAAAAAAACAAAAAAAACAAAAAAAGAATCCCAGAGAAAAGAACAGAGGAAATGGAGATAAGGAATTAATTAAGAAAATACAGTTTTCACTTGGTATACACAGGGGATTTGTCCCAGGGCACCCAAGTACTCCAAAATCCGTATGTAATCAAATCCTGAAGTTGGCCCCAAGAGCCCCACTACAGGAAAAGTTGGCCCTCTGTGTACTCGGGTTCACAACCCGCAAATACTGTATTTTCAATCTGTGTTTGGTTGAAAAAAAATCCATTTTAAGTGAACCCACACAGTTCAAACCCAAGTTGTTCAAGGGTCAACTGTATTCTTTGAAAATTTCAGAGCTGAAGACAGACCTAAGTCTTCAAATTGGCAAGGTTCACCTACCTACTAGTGCCATCCTCAATGAAAAAAAAAAGTAAGAGTTACCATTTAGACCCAGTCTCACAAAATTTCAGAACACCAAGGAAAAACAAATGATCCCAAAGGTTCCCAGAGGAGAGATACAAGTTACAAGTAAGAATCATTACACACCAGACTTTGTGAGCAACACTGGGTGTTACAGCAACCCCTTCAGACATCTGAGGGAAAACACTTCCGAACCACAATCTATCAACCAACCAATCATATGTGAGAAATAAAAAATTTTTTTTGAGACAGGGTCTCACTCTGTTGCCCAGGATGGAGTGCAGTGGTGTGAATGCAGCTCACTGCAGCCTCAACCTCCTGGGCTCAAGCGATCCTCCTGCCTCAGCCTCCCAAAGGGCTGGGATTACAGGTGCGAGCCATTGCACCAGGCCAAAAAAACATTTTTGACATATAAGAACCCAGAAAGTTTATCCTCGTGTCTAACAAATATGAAATCCTAGAAAGAGGAAAGAGAACATGGAATGCAGGAAATGCTGGAACCACTCCAAGGGCACAGTAAAGGAAGCCCTAGCGGCTGTGTGGCACACATAGCAAAGGGGTGAGGAGGCTCAGCATGAGGGTGATTAAGAAGCTGGGTGATCACGAGGATGTGGGAAGGCATGCTTCCTACTTTAACTTTCTAATTTCCAGATGGTAAACCTGAAGCAGGCTAAAATGTGACATAATTTTGAGTAATGTCTGAGTAATGGATGGCATCTAAAAATAGGATCCTGGCCAGGCGCAGTGGGTCACACCTGTAATCCCAACACTTTGGGAGACCGAGGCAGGTGGATCACCTGAGGTCAGGAGTTCGAGACCAGCCTGGCCAATATGGTGAAACCCCGTCTCTACTAAAAATACAAAAGTTAGCCAGGCGTGGTGGCACGTGCCTGTAATCCCAGCTACTCGGGAGGCTGAGGCAGGAGAATTGCTTGAATCTGGGAATCGGAGGTTGCAGTGAGGTGAGATTGCACCACTGCACTCCAGCTTGGGCGACAGAGCGAGACTCTGTCTCAAAAAAAAAAAAATGTAAATGGTATAAACCTTAACAGCATAAAAGTCATGGTATAATGCAAATGTGTTCAATACACCATCTGTGCAGAGGAAGCCATGAGAAATAGTGGCTGCCTCTGACAGGCAAAGTAGGAAAGCAGAGATCCAAGACAGGGGACAACTCTACAGCTTCCCCCTGTGCAGTGTCAGCTTCTTTCCAGCAGCACGAGTTACCTTTCACAAGGAAGACTTCCTGAGAGGCAGCGCGCTCACAGTAACAGCGCGGCTCACAGAAACCAGGAGCAGACCTGGGAAAGGAATGGGGGACACGTTCTTCCTTGTTTTTCTTGACAGTCAGCAAATATAATCACCACTTGACAGAAACACAGGCCGAAATGTCCACAGGAAAAAAATCAAAACATAACAGAAATTCAAGTGGGGCATAGGGGAGAAGGCTGGCATGAGCCACGGGCCTGGCGGTTCACAGTGGGGAGTCAACAGATTCTGCTTCAAGATGGCAGCACAAAACCAGGGCTCAGCCCAGAGCGCCCCTCGGGGCAAATGCCAAGAGAAACAGGCTGGGGGCTGCCCCCGGCAGAGGGACTGGTGGGGGTCTCTTGCTTTCCCTTTTGGGCCTTTTTGTACTTTTGACTGTTTACTTCTATGCCCACTGGTTGATTTCTAACTCAAAAAAATAGAAGATAATAAATGCGACTCATTCATGGACTCACCAGCACCTTCAGGACAAAATCCAAAACCCTCAGCAAGCTCAAGGCCCTCCTCGAGCTGCCTGCTCCCTGGCCCGTCCCCCACCACAGCCCAAATCCCATGCCCACTCACGGGTGCGAAGCACCCAAGGTGCCAGGCCAGCTCAGGAGTCCCCCTGCTCCTGCGCACCCTGCACTCCCAGCTCTGCAGGCACTTTCCTCCCACCTACCACACCACTCAACCCTCCACCCTCCAGAAAAAGCCCTGCCCCTCAGCCTAGACTGAGTGGAAGCCTGCCCGCCCGTGCCTGGGACAGGCTGTTCTCCACTTTAATTCTGTCCAAGAAGATACATTTGCTATTTGCCATTGAGTTCCCGCTGCCCGTGGCGCTGTCTCCAGCTGGTTAGCCTCGGAGTCCAAGAGCCTATCGAGTTAATAATTTAGGAGAGAATAACCATGGCTAAAGCCTAATTCTGGAGTCACTAATAAATCTGAGGCAAAAGGAAAGGTTGGGCCTCAGTTCCCCAATCCGAGGAAGGTGCAGGTGGGAGGAGATCCACAAAGCCTCACAGCTGTCAGGCAAATGCTGTGAGATTCCATTCACATTGGCCAGGGCTTAGCTTCTTTCCTCACTCGTCCATTTGACAGGTTAGCTGGAGTCTTCTTTGTCCAGGTAATAATTAAAGGAATCTAATCACAATTTGCCAGTGTCCTTATTCATCCACCACTAGAAGGGACCCCTCATCAAGGGGGTGTTTGGGGGTGACCTCGGGGTGTGCAGTCCTTCCCTCCAGCTGCTCACATGATGGTTAAGGGCTCCTGGGAAGATAGGCTGCCTCAGTCCCGGCTTCCGTGTGACCCTGGGCTAAACATAATTTTCTGCACCTCCATCTTCTTATCTGTGAGGTGGTGAAGATAACTCCATCTGCTCCCATAGGGCGGTCGCAAAGATCAAAGGAGATTAGGGATGTAAGGTGCCTGGCACCCAGAAACGGCTTGGGAACAATGGCTGCCATTCACAAGACTGAAAATCTCTATGTCCAGAATAGCTGAGGACACTTCCCCATATCTGTCCCTGCAGTGTACACCCATGCTGTGATAATAAACTGACAAATGAGAAGAGTGAGATACAGGGATTGGGTCCTGCCCTGCACGTGGTCACCGAGAAAGGAGCCAGGTGATCTGTAGTGGGAAAATGTTGACTTTTTTTTCATTTACCCTCTTCTCCAGACAACCAAAGGCAGCCACTGTCCTTTTCAGAATTCAGTGGGAATGTCCACAGCATGAGGCCAGGCGGTGTTTCCCTGGCTGTGCTGCTCCAGGGCACCAGGCCACCTCCAGGCATGCAGAGCTGCTGCAGACTGTGCCTGGTCTGCAGAGGAGGCCTCTGCCCTCTGGGAGCAGCTCCAGGCTCCGGTCTCAGGGCAGGGCCCAGGGTGGCTTGAGCGGGCCCTCCTTCCCGGCCTCCTTCAGAGGGAACCTGTCCACAGCACCCCCACGCACACCAAGTCCACCTCCATCTCCCCTGCCCTCCAGTTCCCATGTGCTCCTGATGACCAGCCAGGTCAGGCTGACTCTACCCTCCCCGAAGGGAGAGGGCCTTCAGGTATCCTCTGGATTGAATTACCCCAGTTCTGACCTGGTTCCAAGACACATTTGAGGACCTCACTGACCAAATCAGACCTTGGCCCCTGCCTAGCCATGTGTGTGTCCTCTGGAATCAACATGCCAGGAACCAGCCCCTTATGTCAGCTGGAGGCCCCAGCAGGATTATAAACAGCACCTGCTGGTTTTAAGGTTGCTACATGGCCTGGGAAGTGGAGTTGGGAGGACTGTGTGCTAACAATGGAGGACAAATGACAGCAAAGTAACACTCAGGCTTGGGTGATGCCCTGATGCAGGTAACAGGGTGGCTCCTGGCCTGTGCATGGGACCAGGAGCCAGGGCCCATGGGCCACGTCCCGCGTGTCTGCAGCCCCTGGCCTCAGCCTGGGCCTCTGGCCCACAGCCCCTGCTGGCTGCCTGGCAGTCCCCGGACACCTCTGCACTCCTCTCCACCCTTTTGTCCCTTAGGCCCATGAGAGATGTTTTCAGAAGACGGTTTTCCTGTCTTCCGATCATTAGAACTTGTGGGGGCAGCTCCTCTTCTGGCGTTTCACAGAGCCCTTGGGCCCTCACTGTACACCTGCTGTCTCGGACCCTCCCTTCCCACCTGTCCAGCTGTTCCCCGGGCATGACGTAGCCTGACATGTGCCCTTTTCACCCAGTCACTCATGCATTCATCCACAATGTGCTTTCCTAGCCTGTGCCGGCATCGCGCTGCATCCTGGGGTGTAAGGCCCCTGCCCACAAGGCTAGCACACTGGGCGCAGAGAGACTCTGAGTAAGGACATGGTTTAATGGGATAACTAGAGATGGCGGTAAACCAATGCAGTGGCTGAGAAGCCTCTCCAGGTGGGTGAAGTGAGGAACGGGGGTGCAAAGACCATGGGTGGGAATATAACTTGGCCGTGGTGAGTGAGAATTGGGGGGTGAAGGCCGACCATGCACAGCCTCAGGCTAGGGTAGGGCATAGGGATTTCACTCTCTGTGTCTCTGCAGCGTGGTAAGCAGGGGAACGGTATGATGTGGCTTAGGTTTTAAGTCATCCCGTCTGGCTGCTGTGTGGAGTGGTTACAGGGGAGCAGGAGTCCAGCTGGGGGCCCACAGTGCCCACCAGGAGCTGCTGAGAGAACATGTTCAACGAGGTCCGGGAAGTGACTGCTCGATTCTGCCAAAAGAGGGATGGCGCATGGGTGACCTGACAGGAGAATTCAGTGGCATCCTGGTAACAAGTGGCAGAGTTTGCCAGGGGGGAGGCAAAGGAGTGGATGAGGAAGTGAAGGGGCGTTGATCTAGGGGTATATTCGTGTACTGATGGGTGGCTTCCTGGTGCTGCTCTGACAAAGCCCCACAAACCTAGTGGCTTAAAACAAGCAGGGCGAGAAGGCTGACTTCCAGGTGTGGGCCACGCTCCTGCCAGAGGTTCCAAAGGAGGATCTGTTGCCTCTTCCAGCTTCTGGTGGCCATCCTTCATTCCTTGGCTGTGGCCTCCACCTTCAAACGGCCTTCTCTGCAGATTTATCTTCTAAGAGTGCAAATGCATTAAGAGGCCGCCCAGATAATCCAAATAAGCTCCTTCTCTCAAGATCCACAGAAAGCAGTATTTGTGGGGTTTTGGTTGGTTGTTTTTTGTTTTGGCCATATAAGGGAATAGTCAGAGGTTCTGGGAATTAAAATATGGACATACGTTTTGCAGGGGGCCATCATCCAACCCATTACCATGGGAATGATCTGGAAGAGAAAGGTAACACTGATGCAGAAGGGTGAACCCAAGGAGGGAGCTCTTGGGAAAGCTGGAGGATACAACCCAGAGCCAGAAATCTTCCTGCCAAGCTTTTTTATTTTTTATTTTTTTTGAGACAGAGTTTCGCTATTGTCACCCAGGCTGGGGCTCACTGCAACCTCCACCTCCTGGGTTCAAGCAATTCTCCTGTCTCAGCCTCCCTAGTAACTGGGATTACAGGCGCGTGCCACCACGCCCGGCTAATTTTTGTATTTTTAGTAGAGACGGGGTTTCATCATGTTGGCCAGGCTGGTCTCGAACTCTGACCTCAGGTGATCCACCTGCCTCGGCCTCCCAAAATGCTGTGATTACGGGTGTGAGCCACCGTATCCAGCCCCTGCCAAGCTTTATTTCGAACATTACCAGTGAATTTTATGGGACGGGAATTATAGCTTAATTTTTTGTGTATGTGTGAGACACAGTCTCACTCTGTTGCCCAGGCTGGAGTGCAGCGGTGTGATCCTGGCTCACGGCAACCTCTGTCTCTTGGGTTCAAGCAATTCTCCTGCCTCAGCCTCCCGAGTAGCTGGGATTACAAGCGTGTACCACCACACCCAGCCAATTTTTGTATTTTTAGTAGAGACGGGATTTCGCCATGTTGGCCAGGCTGGTCTCAAACTCCTAGCCTCAACTGATCTATTCGCCTTGGCCTCCCAAAGCACTGGGATTACAGGCGTGAGCCACTGTGCCTGGACTATAGCTCAATTTTTTTTTTTTGAGGCAGAGTTTTGCTCTTGTTGCCCAAGGTGGAGTGCAATGGCGTGATCTTGGCTCACTGCAACCTCTGCCTCCCGGGTTCAAGCGATTCTCCTGCCTCAGCCTCTCAAGTAGCTGGGATTACAGGCACCCACCACCACACCCAGCTAATTTTTATATTTTCAGTAGAGACAGGGTTTCACCATGTTGGCCAAGCTGGTCTCGAGCTCCTGACCTCAGGTGATCCACCCTCTTCAGCCTCCCAAAGTGCTGGGATTACAGGCGTGAGCCACCGTGCCCGGCCCTATAGCTCAATTTTTTTAAGTTTTGAAAAACATTCAGAACCCCCCGCCAACTCCTACCCTAAGCACAAAGTCTTGCTAAGAGGTCTTTAATCCCTACCTCAAAGACCAGATACGTGAGGCACAGAGAAAAGCCTCAATGTGGCAAGAGCAGAGAGGGTGACTGGGCAGGGTCCAGGGACAGGTCAGATACACGGCACTGGACCCATTCGGCCAACTAAACCCTCCCGGATCCACCCTCTTTCAGCTCCACTAGGAAAACAGCTGGCCTCAGCCCTGCCAGAGACTCAATGCCACAGGGCCAGGGAAACTGGGTCTACAAGCAGCGAAGACCCCCACAGTGGGTGTGGCATGAAAGGAACAGGATTCAAGCAGGGAGGAGGAAGTGCTCCTGCCTGAGGGTGAAGTGAGAGCTGGGAGCAGCTTTGGGCATGGCCCACACCCTCCTGCCTGTACACGTCCACCTCCCCCAGCCCAGGAGCTACACGCCCACTCCCGTCGGCACCACTGGGGACTGGAGCCCCCCGCCGCCAGGGCCCAACATCAGGAATTGTCTATGGACTTGAACCAGAGGCAATGGACTTCTGTTTGTGGCCAGCCCTGTCCTGAAGGCAAAGGGCCAGGCCAAGGGCGTCATATTTGTCCCTGGCATTCCCTCCGGCTCCCCTCCCTTCTACACTGTCATCTGTCACATCAGTAAACACCTTGGCAATGCGGTGGCAGGTGGGGGCTGTGGTCTCTGCGGCCACAGGCCTCACACTTGGAGCCCTCGAACCGGGAGGAACTGGGGGTAGGTCCCAGGACTGTCCTAGCCTAAGCCTTTAGCCCTCACTCCCTGCACCTCACCCTCCTTATTGCTTGGCTTCAAAGGGGACACACCTCCTCCCAAACAGGGCACTTCCAACTTTACTCTCACCTGGAGTTCCACAACCCCAGGAAGGCCTCAGGGCCAAGTCAGTGCTTGGGGCGCCATGCACCCAGCCTGTGTCAGTCAAGTGAGGAAAGCTTCAGGCCCTGAATCTAGGAGGATTCTTAGATCGCTGGACCCAAATGTCCCTGGTTAAAGATCCCACTGCTGGAATCCCCTCGACACCCACTCCAGAGATTCTGATTCAGTACAACCAGGTGAGGCCCTGTAATCTGTATTTTAACCTCTTCCCAAGGGGCCATGAACTGCTAGGCCAGCTGAGGGAAGGCCTGCCCCAGGCACCAGCCCCTGAGAGGGAAGCCCTGGGGGCCCTAGTACACCTCTCCCACCCACCAGGGTTGGGGTGGTGCTGTGGCCAGGTCAGACGACTAACTCTGGGGCAGGGAGCTGGGGACTGCCTGTGCACCTCTTCCAGACCTCCAAGCTCTGGACGGGCCAGGAAGGCAGGATGGGGCGAGCCTCAGTGTTCTTCCCTCCTGCCCTTGGCAATGCAAAGAAGCTCAGGGCCTGTGATTCACAGCACTTTCCCCTTAACACACCCACACCCATTTTTTTCAAGACCTCACCCAGCACAAACCAGGACAAGAAGGAACAGATTTAAACTTTCATGGAACTTCCTGCTCCCTGTGGCCTGGGAGATTGTTCCACTAACTCCTCTCTGGGTCTCTGGTCTCTGCCAGGGCAAGTCCAAGGGGTTTCCATTAGATGGACAACTCAGGCTGGGGCTTGTGACTGCTCTGCTGGATGCAAAACATCCAAAATGCCATCAAGTAACAACGATGACACCAAAAGGCAGGGAAGGGATCCAGAAGAGAGAGAAGAAACTGCTGTCCTCCCTAAGCCTTGGAAATCCCTGGGCTGTCACACCTGATGGGAGACATAAGGCCTCCTGGTCCAACAGCACGGGCAGCAGCACATGGAGTGGCCAGACACCCACATAAGGCTCACAGCCCTCCCAAGCAGGAGGCTCCTGTTCCTGCTGGGACCCACGAAACAACCTGCAAGGACCAGGCCCAACACATCTGCCTACTCAAATGGCCTCTGGGAGCATTCTCCGGCTCCATTCCCACAAACACATTCCCCTACAACCACCAGTTTACTGCAGGCAGGCTCCTCCTCCCAAAACAGCAGAGCACTTTTCTCCCTGACTCCTAAACACGGTGCCACACATGGCCTTGCAGAGTGGCCTGATGGCATGGGTGGGGACACGGTGCCAGCTGTGAGTTCAAGCCCCGGCTCTGACACCCATCCCTGATACACCATCCTGGGCAAGACTCCAACCTCCCTGGGCCATCACCCCTCCTCTACGAGATGAAGGTTACAGCACCCGTCCTCTGGTACTACTGCAAGGACTGCTGGGGACACGTTTATTATAAACTGTCTGCACAGAGTTGGCACCCAATAAATGAATTCCTTCCCTTCCTTCCTACTCTGTGATTTAGTTTCCCTGTCTCAGCTCCAAATTTAAAGAGATCTCAAGCTCTCCTCAGAAATGCCAAAGTGGCCCAGGCACCAAAGACAGAGAATAAATACTTTCAACAAACTCTCAATGTTGAAGTCATCAGCTCCAACTGGGAATCCACTCTGGTCGCTGGCTGACTCCATCCCCTGAATCCTAGATTTTCTCAGTGTGGGAGAAAGAGTGGACAAGTAAGTTCGCCACCATTTTCTGCACTTCTCAGCCCGCTCCCAACAGGGCAGCAGGAGATAAATAGTTACACAAGGGCAGTGAGGCTGTAAGGCCGTTTGCCAGACACGAGGAAGCATTGTAACTCCTTTTAAAAGTATATAATCTGAGTCCGTAGCGTTCCCCAAAGTTAACGGACACCTTCCCCTGGGATGGGCCGGGCCGCCTCTCCGCAGCAGACACGTTCTGAAGCTGGCTCATGCGTGTCCATTCTGACGGTGCGAATGCCCAGCGTCCAAAGTTGCCTTGCCCTTAGTGGGAACCTCCCGGGCCTCCGGGAGCCGCAGCACTCACGGGACTGCCGCTGCACCGCCGCTGCGGGCGAGTGTTAGGAACGGCCTTCGTGGCAGGAGTGGAGATGTGATCACCAAAACTCCCGCGCCCCGGGCTCCACCCGCCCACGGGGGTGACGCTTTCCCCGGGGGTGACGCTTTCCCCGGGGTTTCCACGGCGCCTCCCCGGGCGCCGGGGACCGCACTCCCCGGACCCCCTAGAGCTGTCCCTACGCAGATCTCCTTAGAGCGACGCGCATCTGGGATGTCTTGGGTGCCCGGGCGCACTGGTCTAGCGTTGCGGGGTGGCCAGGCTGGGAACCAGCCCTCCAAGCGCCCCGCGCGCCCCCAGCCTGGCCCGTCTGGGGCCCCCGAGGGAGGAAC